>NC_000001.11:46220501-46523531 GCF_000001405.40 Homo sapiens
TCACTGCAGCCTTGACCTCCTGGGCTCAAGCGATCCTCCTATTTCAGCCTCCCCCATAGTTAGGACCACAGGCATGCACCACCATGCCCAGCTAATTGTTTATTTATTTATTTTTTTTTTGTAGAGATAGGGTTTCCCTGTGTTGCCCAGGCTGGTCTCAAACTCCTGGGCTCAAGGGATCCTCCCGCCTCAGCCTCCCAAAGTGCTGGGATTATGCCCAGCCCCTAGAGATACTTCTATAGAGATATTGACTCTAAAGGATTGACCTATGGCTTTTGGTATTTAGTATCTCTCACTACTCCCCCCAGCTAAGTAAGGATTTAAGGAATTTAGGACTCCCTGGAGTTAACAGATGAAGAGATGGGGGCATAATTACTTCACCCAAAGTCTAGAAGCCTTGGCCTCTCTCTTGGCCAAGATGGAGGATTGAGGAGGGACATGGACCTTCAGGACTAACCCTCTATGGATTGGCCCTCCCAGAAGCGTTTGGGCTGGTAGACCCACCCCTTCCTACCTGCTGAGTGATGTCATTTCCTGCCAGGATGGGTAGCCCTTTGTACGGGTCCTTGGATGGTAGTAGGTCATATAGGGGCATCTGAGCCCCTGCTGCTAAGTGAGATCACATTATTTATCGTCCATACCATTACTTCTTGTGAACAGTAACATGTCACTCCTCCTGGCAGGAAAGTTTCTCATTGTCAGATGTTTGTGCTTCTTTTCAGGTCTTACTTTTTAAATAGAGTGTTCTCATTTTATCCTAGGGGATCTCACTTCCTCTGTGGCTCCATCCCTGCATCCCTGTCTGGGCCAGCACTCCTGACTGCTTTTAGGGAGAGAAGCTTTCAGGGGCCTCCATTTATTTCTCTCAAGTCTGTTTGGCTCACCCTGCCATGGTCCCCTGTCTTACCCTGTCCCTGTGTTGCCCCTATTCCTGTATTCCATTTTTTTGTTTTGTTTTGTTGTTTTTTTTGAGATAGGGTGACAGGGTCTCCCTCTGTTGCCCAGGCTGGAGTGCAGTAGTGCTCACTGCAGGCTCGACCTCCTGGACTCAAATGATCCTCCTTCCTCAGCCTCCCAAGGAGCTAAGACTACAGGCATGCATCACCATGCCTGGCTAATTTTTGTATTTTTTTCCAGAGACAGGGTTTCACCATGTTGCCTAGGGTGCACTTGAACTCCTGGGCTCAAGCAGTCCTTCCGCCTCAGCCTCTTAAATTACTGAGATTACAGGCATGAGCTGCTGTGTCTGGCCCTATTCCTGTATTCTGACTCCATATCTCCCTTCCAGGAGGTTCAGCTTCTGTGTGTCCATGCCTTTTCAGTTTCTCCAGGCCTTTTATATGCAAATGAGTCCTGGCCTCCTCTGCCCTTTGTTGATGGGAGCCAGGGAGAGAGAACCTCAAGGTCTCAGAGCTCTGGGGGTGTACCAGAATCTTGGATAGGGGAGGTGTCATCCTTTCTGACTTTGTGACTGCCCTTCCCCCACCCTGTCCCCAGCCTTCCACCATTTGGTCACAAGGATGCCTGCCTGAGGTCGGGACACAAGGAATCTCCTTGTCTAGGCTGCAGCGTGGGGGCGTGGCAGGGAAAGACAGAAGCTCTTTGGTCCCGGGGCCCCATCCTGGAAAAGGAGAGGGAGCAAGGGAAAGGCCTGTTTACTTCCTCCCTTAGAGCAAGCCCTGACTCCCGGAAACTGAGGAGAGAGCAGAGCCTGGGTCTCTGAGCCTGGGTCCCAGAGCCCTGCCGAATTACAAATTATATCATAGAAGGAATTCAGGGAAGCTGCCAACCTGGGGCTCAGAGGGGACGGTCCCAGAGATGGGGACAAGAGCTGTGGCTGGTGTCAGAGAATGAATTCTTAGAGATTAACCCTTTGAACTCTGGGGTAACTGCTCCATATGTTAGTCCCTGCCTTTCCTGGGCCTTGAAACTGGGATACTAGAAGGAAAAAGATGGAAAAGGATGTCAGATGACTTTGGCTGTTCACTGCATCCTCCTGCAAAAGAGGCGTCCTCCTCAAATCCTGGAATAACTCGTGCCATTTCTCTATTTTGTATTCTGTGTTGGGGAAGGGAAGGAAGCCAAATTGATCATCTCTGCTTCCCTAAATTCCTCAAGTCTCATTTTGAAACTCCCACCCCGGTCCTTCTGGAGCAATATTCAGTCCATGGCTTGTCCCTAAACACCCTCTCTTCCCCTCCCACCCCCTCAAATGATTGAAATGTCCAAAGTATATTCTCAGCTTCTTCCACTGCTCACAAGACCTCTCCATACCACTCCTATGGTCTTGGGACTCCTGACTTCCCCTCAGACTGGGAATTTGAATCTCCTATTCCAGTCCCTACTCTGTAGTCATTTTGTAGTGTGCCCTCGGTTAATTACCCTTCCTGTTTTTTTTTGTTTGTTTGTTTTGTTTTGTGTTTTGTTTTGTTTTTGAGATGGAGTCTCGCTCTGTCATCCACGCTGGAGTGCAGTGACGCGATCTCGGCTCACTGCAACCTCTGCCTTCCGGGTTCAAGCGATTCTCCTGTCTCAGCCTCCTAAATGGCTGGTATTACAGACGTGCACCACCATGCCTGGCTAATTTTTGTATTTTTAGTAGAGACGAGGTTTTGCCATGTTGACCAGGTTGGTCTTGAACTCCTGACCTCAAGTGATCCGCCCATCTCAGCCTTCCAAAGTGCTGGGATTACAGGTGTGAGCCACCTGCCTGGCCTGTTGTTTTATTTTTAAGACAGGGTCTCACTCTGTCGCCCAGGCGGGAGCGCAGTGGTGCGATCTCGGGTCACTGCAGCCTCTGCCTACTGGGCTGAAGTGATCCTCCTCAGCCTCCTAAGTAGCTGCGACTACAGGCACGCATCACCATGCCCGGGTTACTTTTTGTATTTTTTCTAGAGACAGGGTTTTGTCATGTTGCCTAGGCTGGTCTCAAACTCCTGGGCTCAAACAATCCTCCCACCTCAGCGTCCCAAAGTGCTGAGATTACAGGCCTGAGCCACCATGCCCAGCCTTTATTTCTTTTTTTTTTCTCTTCAGCAACATTGTTCATGGAATTATACCCTTCTTGGAAGACACTGTATAGTATTCTTATTTGAGGTTCACTTGTTCAGTCTACACACTTATGAGCTGAAGAGGTTGCCCGCCCTCTTGTGGCCATTATGCACCACTGCTGGAGTTGCTGTGTGGAACCTCCAAGCTCAAATAAAACATGGCCTTCTAAAGACCAGCCCCCGTCAGTGCGCAGAAAGGCTAGTGAGTCAGACCTAAAGAGGGCATAGACTTGCCCAGCATCACCCATTGTAAAGTTGTGGCGACGTCCAGGTCAGAAAACCCAGATCACAAGCCCACATGCCCACAGCTCCATCACCTGGCCAGTCAACACCACTGAAGCCCAAAGGGACTGAAAGCAATTTTGCCCCTGTTACAATGTTTGCGTTCTCACCTCTTCCTAAAGAGGCAGCTTAGTCTTTAGAGGAAGAGCTGCAGGAAAGAAAACCCTGGGCCTGGACTGGATGAAGGGGTGAAGGATGCACTAGTCTGGATCACAGATAGGAGGAAAAATCAATCCTGGACCCACCATTTTTCTGGGAAGGAGGGCTAGTAGCTCCAGACATCATAGGAACAGAGCTCAGCATTTCAGACCTGGAGGTTAGAAGCAGAGGTGGGGGTGGGGAGCTGTGAAATTAGGAAACTTAGATGGGTCTTGCAGAAGTAGGTGTGGCTCCACAGGTCAGGGAATTACGGGTCAATTGGATAGCACCTGAGAGTGTTGTGGGGCTGGAAAGCTGGGGTGAGTGAGGCTGCCTGGGTATTCCGCTTAGGTCTAGGCATCCTGGCTGAATACCTTAGATTTCAGTTCACCACCAGAGAAGCCCGGAAACTCCAGTAAACACATATCTTTGGTCCCTTCTACCTGCCTCTAACTTGGCTGGTTGAGGCTCAGCTTCTCTCTAACTAGACTTTTCTGGCTTATAGGGTACAGCTGTTTGGGAGCTCAAAGAAGGAGAAGGTAAGAAAAAGGGCAGAAATGCAGAGAGAGGAGAGGATGGGATGAAAACGGGGTGTGGAAAATATCAGAGGGCGCATACTGCCCTCAAGTGCACTGGGGGCTTTTGTCCGGGGTCAGAGTAAAGACAAAGAAGAGGCTGCTCATGAAAGCTGCAGAAACAGTGCCTGGGGGGATAAGCGGGGGCGGTGCTGGCTGAGACAAGAGACCATGGGAGTGGGCATTGTAAAGACCTGCATTTATTTATTTTATTTATTTATTTATTTATTTTGAGACAGGGTCTCACTCTGTCGCCCAGACTGGAGCGCAGTGGCATGATCTCGGCTCACCGCAACCTCCGCCTACCAGGCTCGAGCGATTCTCCTGCCTCAGCCTCCTGAGTGGCTGGGACTACAGGCACACGCCACTACCACCCAGCTAATTTCTGTATTTCTAGTAGAGATGGGGTTTCACCATGTTGGCCAGGCTGGTCTCAAACTCCTAACCTCAAGTGATTCACTCGCCTCGGTCTCTCAAAGTGCTAGGATTACAGGCTTGAGCCACCATGCCCGGCTGAGGCCTGCATTTAGGATGGAGGCATTGAGGTTGAGCACTGAGCTAACTGGAAGCTCAGTGACAGCTTCAGTGAGAAATGCTTGAGAGTTGTAGCAGACACAAGCTCATTGTGTGTATGGTGCCAGGCACACACTGGGTGTTCCGTGACACCTGTTCAGTGAATGGAAGAATGAATATGTGTAAGCCCACAAGGAGATGTGACTGAAAAAAAAAGTTGCTAATTTACAAATTAGATAATTGAAAATATTTTTAAATTTACTTTTTAGCAATCCTATAAACAGTGCATTGTTAACAATAGTCTTACTTATAAATTTGCTCAAGGTCAGTTAAGTAACAAATGAGCTGTAATAACCCAGATCAACCTGACTGCAGGGGCTTCCAGGAAGCCTCCTCTGATTCCCTACCCATGCCATACACTCACTTAGACCCTACTCTCCTAGGAGAACAGATTAGTGCTGCCCAGAAGCTGGGGCAGGACATTAGTTTCCTATTGTCACTGTAATGAATTACCACAAAGTGGCTCAAAAAACAAAATTATTATGTTACAGTTCAGAAGTCCAAAATCAGCTTCACCAGGCTAAAGTCAAAGTGTTGACAGGTCTACACTCCTTCCGTGGGCTCCAGGGAAGAATGTTTCCTTGCTTTTTCCAGCTTCTAGATGCTGCTTGCAGTGCTTGATTCGTGGCTCTTTTCACCATCTTCAAAGCCAGCAGCAGAGCATCTTCTCTCCTCTCTAACCTCTGTTTCCATCCCTACATCTCTCTAATTCTACTGCCTCTCACTTGTAAGGATTACATTGGGTCTACTGGGATAATTCAGTATCATCTTCCCATTGGCAAGATCCTTAATTAAATCCTGCCTTCAAAGTCCCTTTTACCATTTAAGATAAAATGTTCACAGGTTAAGCAGCTGGTGAGTGTCTGTAGTCCCAGCTACTCAGGGGGCTGAGGCTGGAGGATCACTTGAGCCCAGGAGTTCAGGCCAGCCTGGGCAATATAGTAAGACTCTTCTCTTAAAAGAAAATTTATATTTATCCTCAGGTCCTGGGGATTAGGAATTGGACATCTTTGGGAGAGGGGCTTTTAGCCTGACACAGGCAGGGTGGAAAGTGGGCAGGAGGATGCACCCAGGCCCAGAATGAACCTCTGTGCTTTGTCCAGCCTCCCCTAGCCTGGAATGAGAGGTGGTACCAAGGCGGAGGTGGCAGGTCCAGACCCCATGTCTAGAGAATGTCAAATGCCTCCTGTACCATCACCACCAGGGAGAGCCAAAGATGAAGATCAGGCTTAGGAGAAAGCCTCAGTTTAGGAATCGTTTTAGACCTGAGACCTTCCTGGTAACCACAGTGGAGGATTCCTCAACACTGTCTCCTCTCCAGAACCATTCTGTGCTCCTATTCCCCAAGGCTGAAGATAATTATATTCCCAGTGAACTAACCTGGGTTCTCTCTGGAAAGGGCAGATTGATTAGTTGTCTTCTTTTTAAATTGTTATTTTTAATTATTTAATAGTTAAACCATGCTTCTCATAGCATAGTGAATTCCATCACCAGGCCCCTTTCTTATTTTATTTTCTTCTTTTTTAAAAAAATTTTAGACTGGGCACGGTGGCTCATGCCTGTAATCCCAGCACTTTGGGAGGCCGAGGAAGGTGGATCACCTGAGGTCGGGAGTTCGAGACCAGCCTGGCCAACATGGTGAAACCCCATCTCTACTAAAAATACAAAAATTATCTGGGCATGGTGGCGCATGCCTGTAGTCCCAGCTGCTCAGGAGGCTGAGGCAAGAGAATTGCTTGAACCCAGGAGGCAGAGGTTGCAGTGAACCGAGATCATGCCACTGCACTCCAGCCTGGGCGACAGAGCGAGACTCCGTGTCAAAAAAAAAAATTATTATTTTTTTAAGAGACTGGGTCTCACTGTCACCCAGGCTGGAGGACAGTGATGTGATCTTGGCTCACTGTAACTTTGACCTCCTGGGCTCAAGCAATGCTCCCACCTCAGCCTTCTGAGTAGGACTACAAGTGCACACGAGCATGTCCAGCTAATTAAAAAAAAATTTTTTTTAGAGATTGGGTCTTACTGTGTTGCTCAGCCTGGTCTTGAACTCCTGGCCTTGAGAAGTCTTCCTGCATCAGCCTCCCATAGTGCTGGGATTACAGGTGTGAGCCACTGTGCCTGGCCTCTTCTTTTGATCCCTCATCCCTATTCTCATTCCTCTCCCTGTGTCAGTATATGTTTGGATATGTATGTATCTTTGAAAATATATGTAATTATGTGCCTATGTGTTTTAATATATATAAATGGTATACTTTTATGGTAAGCCAACTTCTGTAATGAATTGCTCCCATATTTCAGTGATTTAACACCACAGATTTATTTTTAACTTATTCTACATGGCACGGGTGTTTCTGGTTGGACAGCTCTCCTCCACTGTCCACTCCAGCTCCCAGGCTTCTTTTATTTTCAGATGGTGATAGCCTCATCCCAGCATCATAAAGTTTCCGGTCAATTTTTCACCAAGTTGTTTTACTATCCGTTGATTATCATTTTATGAATTGCTTGTTTCACTAGGGATTACAGAATGGTGATTTTCTAAGGCTATTAATTTTTCCTCATTTATTAGCTCTAATTCTGTACAGAAAACCTTTTTCACATCCTCTAGGACCATTTGATTACTCCGAAATAAAATTCATACCAGAATGGCAAGATAAATGCTTAAATCTCTTCCCTTACCGTTTTCAAAGTAGTTATGTCCTAACAACTTCTAATGGTGTTCAATGATTTTTTTGTTTCACTCTCTTTTTAAATGATCTCAAACAACCTGTAGTTCTTATGCATTTAATGTCGTTTAATCATTTGCCATTATTTTTTGCTTTATATTATATAAAGTATCAAGCATATACAAAAATAGAGAAAATAGTGTAATGAATTCCCAGGGACCCAGCTTCAATAATTATCAATTCATGGCCAATCTTGGTTTATTTATTCCCTCAACTACTTTCCCCCTAACCAAGATTATTTTGAAGCAAAACCAGATATCATACCAATTTAATCTGTAAATGTTTTAGCATGTATCTCTAAAAGATAAGGATTTTTATTACCATTATTGCACCTAAAAAGTTAATAAATTGTCAGTATAATAAAATATAGTTGGTGTTTAATTTTCCCACAGACTTAATTTTTAAAAGTTTTGGGGCCGGGCGCGGTGGCTCACGCCTGTAATCCCAGCACTTTGGGAGGCCGAGGTGGGCGGATCATGAGGTTGAGAGATCGAGACCACCCTGGCCAACATGGTGAAACCCCATCTCTACTAAAAATACAAAAAAAGCCGGGCATGGTGGTAGGCACCTGTAATTCCAGCTACTTGGGAGGCTGAGGCACGAGAATCGCTTGAACCCGGGAGGCAGAGGTTGCAGTGAGCCGAGATCGTGCCATTGCACTCCAGCCTGGGCAAAAGGAGTGAAACTCTGTCTCAAAAAAAAAAAAAAAAATTTTGGTACCAGGGTTATGCTGGCCTCCTAAAAAGAGTGAAGTAATGTTTCCTCCTCCTTTGCTTTATCTTTGTGTAAGGTTGGTAGTAGTATTTAGTACTTGACATAATTTACTTAGTGAAATCATCTGGGCCTAGAGTTTTCTTTACGGGGACGTTTTTTGGTTTTTTGAGGCGGGGTCTTACAGTGATGCCCAGACTGGAGCGCAGTGACACGATCATGGCTCACTGCAGCCTTGACCTCCCCAGGCTCAGGTGATCCCCCGACCTCAGGCTCCTGAGTAGCTGGTACTACAGGCGTGACACCATGCCTGGCTAATTTGTATTTTTTTTGTAGAGCCAGAGTTTTGCCACGTGGCCTAGACTGGTATGGGGGATGTTTTTGATAACAGTTTCCTTTAGTAGATATAAGGCTATTTAGACTTTTACTTTCATTTTGATTTAGTTTTGGTAGGTTTTTTTTTTTTTCAAAAAATGTGTCCATTTTATCTAAATTGTCGATGTTTTTGGCATAATATTATTCACAACATTTCTGGCCAGGCGTTGTGGCTCATGCCTGTAATCCTAACACTTTGGGAGGCCGAGGCAGGAGGATCGTTTGAGCTCAGGAGTTCAAGACCAGTGTGGGCAACACAGTGAGACCTCATTCTTACAAAAAATCAAAAAATTAAGTTGGGCATGGTTGCTCACGCCTGTAATCCCAGCACTTTGGGAGGCCGAGGCAGGCAGATCATGAGGTCAAGAGATCGAGACCATCCTGGCCAACAGGGTGAAACCCCGTCTCTACTAAAAATGCGAAAATTAGCTGGGCATGGTGGTGTGCGCCTGTAGTCCCAGCTACTCGGGAGACTGAGGCAGGAGAATCTCCTGAACCCAGGAGGCAGAGGTTGCAGTGAGCCGGGATCTCGCCACTGCACTCCAGCCTGGTGATAGAGCCAGACTTTGTCTCAAAAAAAAGAAAAATTAGCCGGGCGTGGTGGCAGGTGCCAGTAATCCCAGCTACTGAGGAGGCTGAGGCAGGAGAATTGCTTGAGCCTGGGAAGCGGAGGTTGCAGTGAGCTGAGATCGTGCCACCACACTCCAGCCTGGGTGACAGAGTGAGACCCTGTATATAAAAAAAAAAATCGTAACATTTCCTTGTTATTCTTTTTTTTTTTTTTTGAGACAGGATCTTGCTCTGTCGCCCAGGCTGGAGTGTGGTGGTGAGATCTCGGCTCACTGCAACCTCTATCTCTTGATTCTGAGGTGATTCTCCTGCCTTACCCTCTGGAATAGCTGGGATTACAGGGGCACACCACCACACCCAACTAATTTTTTATTTTTAGTAGAGACGGGGGTCTTACCATGTTGGCCATGCTGGTCTCGAACTCCTGACCTCAAGTGATCTGCCCACCTTGGCCTCCCAACATGCTGGGATTACAGACATGAGTCACCGACCGCACCCAGCCAAGTCTCTTAATTTTTTTTTTTTAGACGGAGTCTCTGTTGCCCAGGCTGAGTGCAATGGCGTGATCTCGGCTCACTGCAACCTCTGCCTCCTGGGTTCAAGCGATTCTCCTGCCTCAGCCTCCTGAGTAGCTGGGATCACAGGTGCCCACCACCGCGCCTGGCTAATTTTTGTATTTTTAGTAGAGACGGGGTTTCGCCATGTTGGCCAGGCTGGTTTCGAACTCCTGACCTCAGGTGATCCACCCACCTCGGCCTCCCAAAGTGCTGCGATTACAAGTGTGAGCCACCGCGCCCGGCCAAATCTCTTAACTTTTAAGGTTCCACTTTCATCCTTTTCTTAATTTCTTACAATTTTCTTTTTGTTATTTATTTGTTTATTTGGAAACAGAGTCTTACTCTGACGTCCAGGCTGGAGAGCAGTGGCATGATCTTGACTCTCTGCAGTCTCTGCCTTCCAGGCTCAAGCCATCCTCCCACCTCAGCCACCCGAGTAGCTGGGACTACAGGTGCGTGCCACCATGCCTGGCTAATTTTTGTGGGATTTTTTTTTTTTTTTTTTTTTTTTTTGAGACAGAGCCTCACTCTGTCACCCAGGCTGGAGTGCAGTGGTGTGATCTTGGCTCACCGCAACCTCTGCCTCCCACGTTCGAGCGATTCTCCTGCCTCAGCCTCCTGAGTAGCTAGATTACAGGTGCATGCCACCATGCCTGCCTAATTTTTTTTTTTTTTTGTAGTTTTAGTAGAGACCGGGTTTTGCCGTGTTGGCCAGGCTAGTCTCAAACTCCTGACCTCAGGCAATCTGCCAGCCTTGACCTCCCAACGTGCTTGGATTACAGGCGTGAGCCACTGTGCCCAGCCTCTTAATTTCTTACAATTTGTTTGTTGAAGATTCTGGGCTATCTGACTTACAGAATTTACTGCAGTCTGGATTTTGCTGATTACATACTCATGATGCAGTTCTAAATGTTCTGTGTCCTTGCTATGTCCTGCAAATTAGTAGTTGGATCCAGAGGCTGGATTAAACTCTGATTTGATCACTTTGGCAAGACATTGGAAGGCATATGAATCAGTGGGGCACAGTGGCTCATACCTGTAATCCCAGCATTTTGGAAGGCCGAGGCAGGTGGATCACCTAAAGTCAGGAGTTCGAGACCAGGCTGCCAAACATGGCAAAACCCTGTCTCAAATAAAAATACAAAAATTAGCCAGGTGTGGCAGCAGGTTCCTGTAATCCTAGCTACTGGGGAGGCTGAGGCATGAGAATCGCTGAACCTGGGAGGTGGAGGTTGCAGTGAGCCAAGATCACACCATTGCACTTCAGCCTGGGTGACAGAGTGAGATTCCATCTCAAAAAAAAAAAAAAAAAAAAAGAAGGCATATAAATCTAGTTGTCTCTATGCTTGGGATTTTTTTCAAGTGTTGCGTGTATTTATTAATTCATTGGAGATTGCAAAATGGTGTTCTTAATTCTATAACTTTATTTTATTTTATCTTATTTATTTTGAGACAGGGCCTTGCTCTGTCACCCAGGCTTGAGTGCAGTGGTATGATCCCAGCTCACTGCAGCCTCTACCTCCAGGGCTCAGGCGATCCTCCTACCTCAGCCTCCTGAGTAGCTGGGACCACAGGCACGAGCCACCACACCCAGCTAATTTTTTTTTTCTTTTGTAGAGATGGGGTTTTGCCATGTTAGCCAGGCTGGTCTTGAACTCCTGAGCTCAAAGTGATCTTCCTGCCTCGGCCTCCCAAAGTGCTGGGATTACAGGCATGAGCCACCGCACCCAGCCCTAGTCTTCATTTCTACAATGCTTTTTTTCTTGTATTTCCAGTTCTTTCCTGATTCCTTTCAGAATTAGTTCTGTCATCTCATTTCTGAGTTTTTCTAGTTCTGATTTATGTTCTTTCATGAATATATTATATCATTTTTTTGGTGTCCTTTAGCTTGTTTGTATTTTGATATGTTTTGTTGCACATCTTTTTGGTGTACTTTCATTGTCTGTAGTAATGTTATTCTTCTGGTCATTTTATTTTTTAAGACAGGCTGGAGTACAGTGGCATGATCACAGCTCACTGCAGTCTCGACCTCCCGGGTTCAAGTGATCTTCCCACCTCAGCCTCTTGAGTAGCTGGACCACAGGCGTGTGTCACCACGCCCAGCTAATTTTTGTATTTTTAGTAGAGACAGGGTTTCACCACGCTGGCCAGGATGGTCTTGATCTCTTGACCTCGTGATCCACCCGACTCGGCCTCCCAAAGTGCTGAGATTACAGGGTGAGCCACCACGCCCAGCCTTTTTGTAGACAGTCTCACTCTGTTGCCCAGGCTGGAGTGCAGTGGCAAGATCTCAGTTCACTGCAACCTCTGCCTCCCGGGTTTAAGCGATTCTCCTGCCTCAGCCTCCCGAGTAGCTGGGACCCAAGTAGCCACCATGCCCGGCTAATTTTTGTATTTTTAGTAGAGACGGAATTTCACCATGTTGGCCAGGCTGGTCTCGAACTCCTGACCTCAAGTGATCCGCTCACCTAAGCCTCCCAAAGTGCTGGGATTACAGGCCTGAGCCACTGTGCCCAGCCTTGACTTTGTTACTTTTCTGTTGCTCATTTTATGTGAAATTATCTGAAGTGAAAGAATGAGGTGGGGTTCAGGAGAGTTTTTACAACATTGTAGAGCTCCCTTGTCTGTTGTTTCCTGTGGCAGCTTTCTGCAATTTCCTGGCTCTGTTCCCCTCCTCCATGTTGGTCTTTAGCTCCTCATTTTTCCTCTGTTGTCCTCATCCTACTACATATTGATTCCACTCAAAGCTATTGCTTTCTTTCTTTCTTTTATTTTTTGATACAGTGTCTCATTCTGTCACCCAGGCTGAAGTGCAAGTAGCACTATCTCTGCTCACTGCAGCCTCGACCTCCTGGGTTCAAGTGATCCTCTCACCTCAGCCTCCTGAGTAGCCGGGACCACAGGCGTGTGCCACCACACCCAGTTAGTTTTTTTAATTTTTGTAGAGACGGGGTCTTGCTATGTTGCCTGGGCTAGTCTCACACTACAGGGCTCAAGTGATCCTTCTGCCTTGGCCTCCCAAAGAGCTGGGATTACAGGCATGAGCCACTGTGCACATCCTCTCTCCCAGGAATTTATCCTCAGTGTGGGGCATGGTAATAGAAGGAAGCCCTCATGGGTCAGTTTTGACAGTTTATAGGGAACCAGACCTGCTCCTGCCCTTTAGTCCTTCTCACTGTGGGCTCCTTTCACTCACTTGCTATTTCATTTTATTTTATTTTTTATTTATTTTATTATTATTATTTTTTCATGATGGAGTCTTGCTCTGTCACCCAGGCTGGAGTGCAGTGGCCCGATCTTGGCTCACTGCAACCTCCGCCTCCCGGGTTCACACCATTCTCCTGCCTCCGCCTACTGACTAGCTGGGACTACAGTCGCCCGCCACCACGCCTGGCTAATTTTTAGTATTTTTAGTAGAGACGGGGTTTCACTGTGTTAGCCAGGATGATCTCGATCTCCTGACCTCGTGATCAAGCCCACCTTGGCCTCCCAAAGTGCTGGGATGACAGGCATGAGCCACCACGTCCAGCCTCATTTTATTTTTAAAATTAATTAATTAATTATTTTATTTTATTTTATTTTGGAGACAGAGTCTCACTCTGTTTCCCAGGCTGGAGTGCAATGGTGTGATCTCGGCTCACTGCAACTTCTGCCTCCTGGGTTCAAGCAATTCTCATGTCTCAGCCTCCCGAGTAGCTGAGATTACAGGGATGCACCACCAAACCTGGCTAATTTTTTTTATTTTTAGTAGGGATGGGGTTTTCATTCTGTTGACCAGACTGGTCTTAAACTCCTGACCTCAGGTGATCCGCCCACTTCAGCCTCCCAAAGTGCTGGGATTACAGGCATGAGCCACTGCACCTGGCCTATTGTTTTTTTTCTTAACTATACATTTGCTGTCTCTCAGTTTTTATTTGGGAATTCAAAGAGATTGAAAAGCTGCTAACATAGCCATCATCTTTCCAGTTCTCCTCCCTTTGTCCTTTGATGTCTGTCTATAGGATCTATAGTGGCATCCTCTCATTCCTGATATATACTTTATGCTTCTTCATTTTATTCTTGATTATCTTGCTAGAAGTGTATCTATTTTCTTTATCTTTTTAAAAGACCATCTATTGGCTTTGTTAATTTTCTTAGTGTTTCTCTCTTTTCCGTTTCATTGGATTTTACTTGATCTTTATTATTTCCTTCCTTCTACTTTGGTTTTTTTGTTGTTTTTGTTTTTGTTTTGTTTTGTTTTGAGGAAGGGTCTTACTCTGTCACCCAGGCTGGAGTTTAGTGGTGTAATCACAGCTGACTGCAGCCTCCACTTCTTGGGCTCAAGGGATCCTCTCACCTTAGCCTCCTTAGTAGCTCAGATTATAGGTATGCACCACCACTTCCAGCTAATTTTTTATTTTGTATGGACAGGGTCTTGCTATGTTGCCCAGGCTGGTCTCAAACTCCTGGCCTCAAGTGATCCTTCTGCCTCAGCCTCCCAAAGTGCTGGGATTACAGACGTGAGCCACCATGCCCAGCCTCCTTCCTTCTACTTTATATTTAATTTGCTCAGCTTCCTCCAGCTTCTGTTTTTTATTTTATTTTTATTTTTTTCACATTTATTTATTTATTTATTTATTTATTTTTGGGACAGAGTCTCACTCTGTCGCCCAGGCTACAGTGCAGTGGTGTGATCTCAGCTCACTGCAACCTCTGCCTCCTGGGTTCAAGTGATTCTCCTGCCTCAGCCTCCCTGAGTAGCTGGGACTACAGGCGTGCCCCACCACACCCAGCTAATTTTTGTATTTTTAGTAGAGATGGGGTCTCACCATGTTGGCCAACCTGGTCTTGAACTCTTGACCTCAAATGATCCACCCACCTCAGCCTCCCAAAGTGCTGGGATTACAGGTGTAAGGCACCATGCCCAGCTTATTTTATTTTATTTTTTGAGAGAGGGTCTCACTCTGTCACCCAGGCAGCGGTGTGATCTTGGCTCACTGCAACCTCCGCCTCCTGGGCTGATGCGATCCTCCCACCTCAGCCTCCTGAGTAGCTGGGACTACAGGCGCATGTCACCATGCCCAACTAATTTTTTTTTTTTTTTTTTTTTTTTGTAGAGACAGGGTTTTGCTATCTTGTCCAGGCTGGTCTTGAACTCCTGGATTCAAGTGATCCACCTGCCTCAGCCTCCCAAAGTGCCGGGATTACAGGAGTGAGCCACTATGCCTGGCCCTCCAGCTTCTTAAGGTAGAAACTTAGATCATTAGATAATTGATTTTAAGCCTCTATTCTCTTGTAAGCTATAAATTTATCTCTAAGCACTCTTTATCTACACTGTATACATTTTGACTATTGTATTTTATTATTGCTCAGATAAAAATGTCTTATGGCCAGGAGTGGTGTCTCATGCCTGTAATACCAGCACTTTGGGAGGCTGAGGCAGACGGCCACGAGTTCGAGACCAGCCTGGGCAACAAAGCAAGGCCTTGGCTCTACTAAAAAGTAATATTAAATTTAAAAAATTATTGGGCAGGAGCGGTGGCTCATGCCTGTAATCCCAGCACTTTGGGAGGCCGAGGTGGGCAGATCACAAGGTCAGGAGATCAAGACCTTCCTGGCTAACACAGTGAAACCCTGTCTCCACTAAAAATACAAAAAAAATTAGCTGGGCATGGTGGCGGACACCTGTAGTCCCAGCTACTCAGGAGGCTGAGGCAGGAGAATGGCATGAACCTGGGAGGCGGAACTTGCAGTGAGCCGAGATCGCACCACTGCACTCCAGCCTGGGAGACAGAGCAAGACTCCACCTCAAAAAAAAAAAAAAAAAATTATTAATAACAAAACATGGTGGTGCACACCTGTGGTCCCAACTATTCAGGAGGCTGAGGTGGGAGGATCACTTGAGTCCAGGAGTTGGAGGCTGCAGTAAGCCATGATCAAGCCACTGTACTCCACCCTGGGCAACAGAGCAAGACCCTGTCTCAATTTTTTTTTTTTTTTTTTTGAGACGGAGTTTTGCTCTTGTTGCCCAGGCTGGAGTGCAGTGGTGCAATCTCGGCTCACTACAACCTCAACCTCCCAGGTTCCAGTGATTATCCTGCTTCAGCCTCCCGAGTAGCTGGGATTACAGGCATGCGCCGCCATGCCCAGCTGATTTTTTTGTATTTAGTAGAGACGGGGTTTCATCATGTTGGCCAGGCTGGTCTCGAATTCCTGACCTCAGGTGATCCACCTGCCTTGGCCTCCCAAAGTGCTGGGATTACAGGCATGAGCCATCACACCCAGCCTCAAATTTTTAAAAAAACAAAAATAAAATAAAATTCTTATAATTTCCTTTGTTATTTCTTCTTTGTCTTGTGGGTTAATTAGAAGTCTTTTTTTCTTTTTTTTGAGTCAGGGTCTTGCTCCGTAGCCCAGAATGGTGTGCAGTGACATGATCACAGCTCACTGCAGCCTCAACCTCCTGGGCTCAAGTGATCCTCCCACTTCAGCCTCCTGAGTAGCTAGGACTACAGGCATGTGCCACCACTCCTAGCTAATTTTTTATTATTTGCAGAGACAGGGTCTCACCATGTTGCCCAGGCTGATCTCGAACTCCCAGACTCAAGAAATCCTCCTGCCTTGGCCTCCCAAAGTGCTGGGATTACAGACATGAGCCACTGCACCCAGCCTAGAAGTATATTGTTTAACTACCAAATATTTGAGACTTTTCTAGAAAGCCTATTCTTACTGATTTCTCATGTAATTCAGAGAACATATTCTGTAAGATTTTTAAAAATTTATTGAGACGTGTTTTATAGCCCAGAATGTGGCCCATCTGGGGAATGTTGCATACCCTCTTGAAAAGAACATCAATTCTTCGGTTGTTGGGTATTCTGTAAGTATCACTTTGATCAAATGTTTGATAGTATTGTTCAAGTCTTCTATGTATTTGCTGAATTTTTGTCTACTTGTTCTGTCAACAGATGAAACAAACAGAAAACAAGTAGCAAATGGAGCCTTAAATTTAAACATATCAATAATTACACTAAATGTAAGTGGACTAAACGCTACAGTTAAAAAACAGAGACTGTCAGACTGAAAAAAGAGCTAGATTCATGTGCTGTCTACAAGAGGGATTTTATTTTTAGTTTTAGTTTTTTGAGGCAGTGTCTCACTCTGTCACCCAGCCTGGAGTGCGATGGTGCAATGATGGCTTACTGCAACTTCGACCTCCTGGGCTCAAGTGATCCTCCTACATCAGACCCCCAAGTGGCTGGGACTACAGGTGCACACCATCACCTGGCTGATTTTTGTATTTTTTTATAGAGTTGAGGTTTCACCGTGTTGCCCCGACTGGTCTTGAAATCCTGGGCTAAAGCAATCCACCTGCCTTGGCCTTGCAAAGTGTTGGGATTACAGGGATAAGCCACCCTGCCTGGTCAAGAGATTAATTTTAAATACAAAAATACAAATAAATTGAAGGTAGATGGTTGGGGAAATATATCATGTAAACACTAATCAAAGAAATGTGGGAAATTAGTATCCAGGAAAATAAACTTCAAGACAAGGAGTATTACCAGAGAAAAAGAGGGACATTTTAAAATGATAAAAGGACCAATACATGAAAAATACTTAAAAATTTAAACTTTATGGGCTGGGTACAGTGGGACATGCCTGTAATCCCAGCACTTTGAGAGGCTGAGGCAGGTGAATCACCTGAGATCAGGAGTTCAAGACCAGCCTGACCAACATGGTGATACCCCATCTCTACTAAAAATACAAAATTAGGCCTGGCACAGAGGCTCACACCTGTAATCCCAGCACTTTGGGAGGCCAAGGTGGGCGGATCCCCTCAGGTCAGGAGTTCGAGACTAGCCTGGCCAACATGGTGAAGCCCTGTCTCTACTAAAAATACAAAAATTAGCTGGATATGGTGGTGGGCACCTGTAATCCCAGCTACTTGGGAGGCTGAGGCAGGAGAATTGTTTGAACCCAGGAGGCGGAGGTTGCAGTGAGCTGAGATCATGCCATTGCACTCTAGCCTGGGTGACAGGGCGAGACTCCATCTCAAAAAAAAAAAATTAGCTGGGTGTGGTGGTGCATCCCTGTAACCCCAGCTACTCAGGAGGCTGGGCTGAGGCAGAAGAATTGCTTGAATCGGGGAGGCGGAGGTTGCAGTGAGCTGAGATTGCACCATTGCACTGCAGCCTGGTTAACAAGAGCGAAACTCCGTCTCAAAAAAAAAAAAAAAAATTAGCCAGGCATGGTGGCACACACCTGTAATCCCAGCTACTCGGGAGGCTAAGGCAGGAGAATCGCTTGAACCAGGGAGGCAGAGGTTGCAGTGAGTGGAGTTGCACCACTGTACTCCAGCCTGGGTGACAGAGCAAGACTGTCTCAAAAAAAAAAAAAAAAAAAAAAAGTAATACACCCAGAGACTGGAGTTGGAGTTTTATTATTATTCAAATCAGTCTCCCTAAGCATTCGAGGATCAGAGTTTTTAAAGATAATTTGGTAGGTAGGGACTTGGGAAGTGGGGAGTGCTGATTGGTCAGGTTGGAGATGGAATTATAGGGGGTCAAAATGAGGTTTTCTTGCTGTGTTTTGCTTCTGGGTGGGATGGCAGAACTGGGTGAGCCAGATTACTGGTCTGGGTAGTGTCAGCTGATCCATCCAGTGCAGGGCCTGCAAAATATGTCAGGCACTGATCTTAGGTTTTACAATAGTGATGTTATCCCTAGGAACAATTTGAGGAGGTTCAGACTCTTGGAACCAGAAGTTGCACAATCCCTAAACCATAATTTCTAATCTGGTAGCTAATTTGTTAGTCCTGTGTATTACTCCATTTTCACACTACTTATAAAGACATACCCACGAATGGGAAATTTACAAAAGTAAGAGGTTTAATGGACTTACAGTTCCACATGGCTGGGGAGGCCTCACAATCATGGTGGAAGGCAAGGAGGAGTGAGTCATGTTTTACATGGATGGCAGCAGGCAAAGAGAGAGAGCTTGTGCAGGGAAATTCCCCCAGATAAAACCATCAGATCCCATGAGACTTATTCACTATCATGAGATCAGTATGGGAAAGATGCTGCTCTCATGATTCAGTTACCTCCCACTGGGTCCCTCCCATAACATGTGGGAATTCAAGATGAGATTTGGGTGGGAACATAGCCAAACCATATTACCCCTCAAAGGCAGACTTATCCCCAGGCATGAAGGGGGTCTTTTTGAGAAAGGGCTATTATCAATTTTGTTTCAGAGTCAAACCATGAACTGAATTCCTTCCCAAAGTTGGTTTGGCCAATGCCCAGGAATGAACAAGGACAGATTAAAGGTTAGAAGTGAGATGGAGTTGGTTAGGTCTGATATCTCTCACTGTCATAACTCCGTCAGTTATAATTTTTGCAAAGGCGGTTTCACTCTGGCCTAGTCCTTTGAGTTATTGCTCTCAGATGTACTACACCTACATATGTTATAAACACCAGAATATAGTTATAGTGTTTGTTTTAACATGTCATATGTCTTTTAAAAATAATTATTTTTTTAAGCCAGACTTTTATATTAACCAACAGATGTTTCCTATATCTGCTGTAACAAATTGACACAAATTAGTGGTGGAAAACAACACAAATGTATTTGAGTTTTGGAGGTCAGAGGTCTAAAATACGTCTTATTAGGGTAAAATCAAGATGCTGGCAGGGTTGTGTTCTTTTTTGGAGGCTCTAATGGATAATCCATTTCCTTTAATTTTCCAGGTGACACTGACTCCTCTGCCTCCCTCTTCCATTGATGAGGACCCTTGTGATTACAGTGGGCCCATCCAGATAACCCAGGATAATCTCCCCATCAAAAAGTCAGACAATTGGCTGGGTGTGGTGGCTCATGCCTGTAATCCCAGCACTTTAGGAAGCCAAGGCAGGTGGATCACCTGAGGTCAGGAGTTCGAGACCAGCCTGGCCAACATGATGAAACCCTGTCTCTACTAAAAATACAAAAATTAGCTGGGCATGGTGGCATGTGCCTGTAAGTCCAGCTACTAGCGGGGCTAAGGCAGGAGGATCGCTTGAACCTGGGAGGCAGAGGTTGCAGTGAGCCGAGATTGTACCACTGCACTCCAGCCTGGGCAACAGAGTGAGATTCCATCTCAAAAAAATAAAATAAAATAAAATAAAATGAAAGTCAGACAATTAGGGAGCCTGTCTGGCCATGGTGGCCGCGGCTGGTGGTTGGCGCGGCTGCGCTGCGGCCCGGGGCAGTGCGGAGCCAGGACAGTCGCGGCGCTGACGCCCGCGGGCCCCAGCTGCAGATATGAAGCGGAGCCGCTGCCGCGACCGACCGCAGCCGCCGCCGCCCGACCGCCGGGAGGATGGAGTTCAGCGGGCAGCGGAGCTGTCTCAGTCTTTGCCGCCGCGCCGGCGAGCGCCGCCCGGGAGGCAGCGGCTGGAGGAGCGGACGGGCCCCGCGGGGCCCGAGGGCAAGGAGCAGCCGCCTGCCTTGGCCTCCCAAAGTGCCGAGATTGCAGCCTCTGCCCGGCTGCCACCCCGTCTGGGAAGTGAGGAGTGTCTCTGCCTGGCCGCCCATCGTCTGGGATGTGAGGAGCCCCTCTGCCTGGCTGCCCAGTCTGGAAAGTGAGGAGCGTCTCCGCCCGGCCGCCATCCCATCTAGGAAGGGAGGAGCGCCTCTTCCCAGCCGCCATCACATCTAGGAAGTGAGGAGCGTCTCTGCCCGGCCGCCCATCGTCTGAGATGTGGGGAGCGCCTCTGCCCCGCCGCCCCATCTGGGATGTGAGGAGCGCCTCTGCCCGGCCGAGACCCCGTCTGGGAGGTGAGGAGCGTCTCTGCCCGGCCGCCCCGTCTGAGAAGTGAGGAGACCCTCTGCCTGGCAACCACCCCGTCTGAGAAGTGAGGAGCCCCTCCGCCCGGCAGCTGCCCCGTCTGAGAAGTGAGGAGCCTCTCCGCCCGGCAGCCGCCCCATCTGGGAAGTGAGGAGCGTCTCCGCCCGGCAGCCACCCCGTCCGGGAGGGAGGTGGGGGGGGGTCAGCCCCCGCCCGGCCAGCCGCCCCATCCGGGAGGGAGGTGGGGGTCAGCCCCCCCGCCCGGCCAGCCGTGCCATCCGGGAGGGAGGTGGGGGGGTCAGCCCCCCGCCTGGCCAGCCGTGCCATCCGGGAGGGAGGTGGGGGGGTCAGCCCCCCGCCCGGCCAGCCGCCCCGTCCGGGAGGTGAGGGGCGCCTCTGCCCGGCCGCCCCTACTGGGAAGTGAGGAGCCCCTCAGCCCGGCCAGCCACCCCGTCCGGGAGGGAGATGGGGGGGTCAGCCCCCCCACCCGGCCAGCCGCCCCGTCCGGTAGGGAGGTGGGGGGGTCAGCCCCCCGCCTGGCCAGCCGCCCCGTCCGGGAGGGAGGTGGGGGGGTCAGCCCTCCGCCCGGCCAGCCGCCCCGTCTGGGAGGTGAGGGGCGCCTCTGCCCAGCCGCCCCTACTGGGAAGTGAGGAGCCCCTCTGCCCGGCCAGCCGCCCCGTCCGGGAGGGAGGTGGGGGGGTCAGCCCCCCGCCCGGCCAGCCGCCCCGTCCGGGAGGGAGGTGGGGAGGTCAGCCCTCCGCCCGGCCAGCCGCCCCGTCTGGGAGGTGAGGGGCGCCTCTGCCCGGCCGCCCCTACTGGGAAGTGAGGAGCCCCTCTGCCCGGCCAGCCGCCCCGTCCGGGAGGGAGGTGGGGGGGTCGGCCCCCCTGCCCGGCCAGCCGCCCCGTCCGGGAGGTGAGGGGCGCCTCTGCCCGGCCGCCCCTACTGGGAAGTGAGGAGCCCCTCTGCCCGGCCAGCCGCCCCGTCCGGGAGGGAGGTGGGGGGGTCAGCCCCCCGCCCGGCCAGCCGCCCCGTCCGGGAGGGAGGTTGGGGGGGGTCAGCCCCCCCGCCCAGCCAGCCGCCCTGTCCGGGAGGTGAGGGGCGCCTCTGCCCGGCCGCCCCTACTGGGAAGTGAGGAGCCCCTCTGCCCGGCCAGCCGCCCCGTCCGGGAGGGAGGTGGGGGGGTCGGCCCCCCGCCCGGCCAGCCGCCCCGTCCGGGAGGGAGGTGGGGGGGTCGGCCCCCCGCCCGGCCAGCCGCCCTGTCCGGGAGGGAGGTGGGGGGGGTCGGCCCCCCTGCCCGGCCAGCCGCCCCGTCCGGGAGTTGAGGGGCGCCTCTGCCCGGCCGCCCCTACTGGGAAGTGAGGAGCCCCTCTGCCCGGCCAGCCGCCCCGTCCGGGAGGGAGGTGGGGGGGTCAGCCCCCCGCCCGGCCAGCCGCCCCGTCCAGGAGGGAGGTGGGGGGGGTCAGCCCCCCTGCCCGGCCAGCCGCCCCGTCCGGGAGGTGAGGGGCGCCTCTGCCTGGCCGCCCCTACTGGGAAGTGAGGAGCCCCTCTGCCCGGCCACCACCCCGTCTGGGAGGTGTGCCCAACAGCTCATTGAGAACGGGCCAGGATGACAATGGCGGCTTTGTGGAATAGAAAGGCGGGAAAGGTGGGGAAAAGATTGAGAAATCGGATGGTTGCCGTGTCTGTGTAGAAAGAAGTAGACATGGGAGACTTTTCATTTTGTTCTGCACTAAGAAAAATTCCTCTGCCTTGGGATCCTGTTGATCTGTGACCTTACCCCCAACCCTGTGCTCTCTGAAACATGTGCTGTGTCCACTCAGGGTTAAATGGATTAAGGGCGGTGCAAGATGTGCTTTGTTAAACAGATGCTTGAAGGCAGCATGCTCGTTAAGAGTCATCACCAATCCCTAATCTCAAGTAATCAGGGACACAAACACTGCGGAAGGCCGCAGGGTCCTCTGCCTAGGAAAACCAGAGACCTTTGTTCACTTGTTTATCTGCTGACCTTCCCTCCACTATTGTCCCATGACCCTGCCAAATCCCCCTCTGTGAGAAACACCCAAGAATTATCAATAAAAAAAAAAAAAAAAAAAAAAAGAAAGTCAGACAATTAACAACCTAATTCCATCTGCAGTCTTAATTCTTCTTTGCTAGGTAACCTATCATCTTCCAGATTCTGGAGATTGAGGCATGACTTTTTTTTTTTTTGAGACAGGATCTCTCTCTGTTGCCCAGGCTGGAGTGCAGTGGTGTGATCTTGGCTCACTGCAGGCTCAACCTCCGGGGCTCAAGAGATCCTCCTACTGTACCTCCCAAGCAGCTGGGACTACAGGAACAGCCCACACCACCACACTTGGATAACTTTTGTTCATTTTTTGTAGAGATGAGGTCTCACTATGTTGCCCAGGGTGGTCTTGAATTCCTGGACTCATGCAATTCTCCTGCCTGGCCTCCTAAAGTGCTGGGATTACAGGTGTGAGCCACCCAGCCTATGAATGTCTTTTAGATGCTGTTATTCTGTCTACCACATTCACATATTTACCATTTTTGGTGATCCTCATTCCTTCCTATAGATTGTTGGGTGTCATTTATTTTTATTTTTATGTATTTATTTATTTTTTTAGATGGAGTCTCACTCTGTCACCCATGCTGGAGTGCAATGGGGTGGTCTCTGCTCACTGCAATCTCCACCTCCTGGGTTCAAGTGATTCTACCACCTCAGCCTCCCAAGTAGCTGGGACTACAGGTGCGCGCCACCATGCCCGGCTAATTTTTGTATTTTTAGTAGAGACGGGGTTTCACTATGTTGGCCAGGCTGGTCTTGAACTCCTGACCTTGTGATCCACCCGCCTTGGCCTCTCAAAGTGCTGGGATTACGGGTGTGATCCACCACGCCCGGCCTATTTTTATTTTTTGGCACAGGGTCTCACTCTGTCACCTAGGCTGGAGTACAGTGGTACAATCACAGCTCACTGCAGCTTCAACCTCCTGGGCTCATTGATCCTCCTTACCTCAGCCTCCTGAATAGCTGGGACTACAGGCACACACCACCACGCCCAGCTAATTTTTTTTTTTTTTTAAGACAGGATCTTGCTCTGTCACCCAGGTTGGAGTACAAGAGCATGATCTCAGCTCACTGCAACCTCCACTTCCTGGGGTCAAGCAATCCTCCCACCTCAGCCTCCCTAGTAGGTGGGACTACAGGCACACCCACCATGCCTGGCTATTTTTTGTATTTTTTGTAGAGACGGGGTTTCACCATGTTACCCAGGCTGCTCCTGGGTTCAAGCGATCTGCCCACCTCTGCCTCCCAAAGTGCTGGAATCATAGGGATGAGCCACCAAGCCTAGTCTGTTATTTTCTTTAGTGTGAAGAATTTTCCTTAGTATTTCAAGTTTGGTGGGGATGAATCTACTGTTTTTGTTGATTTTAAATTGTATTTTGTTGTCATTTTTTTTTTTTTTAATTAAAGGCTGGGCACAGTGGCTGACCCCTATAATCCCAGCACTTTGGGAGGCTAAGGTGGGAGGATTGCTTAAGCCCAGGAGTTTGAGACCACCCTGGGTAACATACTGAGACCTTGTCTCTACAAACAATCAAAAAATTAACTGGGCATGGTGGTGCATGCTCGTGGTCCCAGCTACTTGGGAAGCTGAGGTGGGAGGCTTGCTTGAGCCCAGGAGGTCAAGGCTACAGTGAGCTGTGATGGCACCACTGCACTCCAGCCTGGATGACAGAGCAAGATCCTGTTTGAAAAAAAAAAAAAAAAAAAGACCTACTGTAATGCCACATCATCTCAATGTAACCCATCATCTCAATATATAGAATGTTTTCATCCCAGGTTGGGCATGGTGGCTAATTCCTATAATCCCAGCACTTCGGGAGGCTGAGGCAGAAAGATTAGCTCAGGAGTTTGAAACCATCCTGGGCAACATAGTGAGACCCCCAACTCTACAAATAATTCACAAAATTAGTCGGGAATGGTGGCACATGCCTATGGTTCCAGCTACTTGAGAGGCTGAGGTGGGAGACTGAGCCTGGGAGGTCAAGGCTGCAGTGAGCTGTGATAGTGCCACTGAACTCCAGGCTGGACAACACAGTGAGACTCTGTCTCAAAAATTTTTTCTTATGCCCTTTGCAGAATTTTTCTCTGAAGAACAGCTTTTGTTCTGGCAGGCAGCTAATTTGGCTAGATTTTTAATTCCAAATCAATCATCTCCAGCAGAGGGCAGAAGCCAAAATCTTCACCCAGTTCTACCTTCTAGCTGCTGCTTTTTTTTTTTTTTCTTTTTTTGCTGGGTTTCTTGTTACCCCTACACATGTATACGTAAGCAGTCAACCAAGGAATTGGGAGGACTTGTCTTACCCAAATGTTGGGGCTCACCCCCTCTGCAATACTCTCCTTTTTAGGATTTCTCCTGTAACTTTTTGGTTGCTCTGCCTGCCTCAAACTCTGTTCCCTGACCTGCCTCAAACTCTGTTTCCTGACACCTCAAGGTAGTAAAGCTGTGTCTTCCCACCAGAGTTCCCACACAGGTAGTAACTCTGTGTCACCCAAGAGTTCCTTGCAGATTGGGGAATGCCCTAAGTAAGAGGCCACAGCTTTTCTAATCTCACCAGTTGCAGTTGTTCTTTAAGGGTAGGTAGACTTCCTTCTGGAGCCTGCTTAAATTTGGCCACTGTCCAGTGCCCTGGAATAATTGGTTTTTCAAAATATTTTTTTCCCTAGAGTTTGTAATTGTTATTTGTGGGAGGGTTAATCTGACTACATTTATTTGCTATTACTGGAAACTAGAACCAGAAATATTTATTTATTATTTTTGAAATGGAGTCTCGCTCTGTCGTTCCGGCTGGAGTGCAGTGGTGCGATCTCGGCTCACTGCAACCTCCCCTCCTGAGTTCAAGCGACTCTCCTGCCTCAGCCTCATGAGTAGCTGGGATTACAGGCGCCTGCCACCACGCCCGTCTAATTTTTGTGCTTTTAGTAGAGACGGGGTTTCACCATGTTGGCCAGGCTGTTCTCGAACTCCTGACCTAAAGTGATCCGCTGGCCACAGCCTCCCAACCGATTAATACTTAATTAAAACGATATTTCTCTCCAGAATTCTTTTTTTTTTTTTTTGGGACGGAGTCTCGCTCTATCGCCCAGGCTGGAGTGCAGTGGCACGATCTTAGCTCACTGCAAGCTCCGCCTCCCGGGTTCACGCCATTCTCCTGCCTCAGCCTCCCGAGTAGCTGGGACTACAGGCGCCCGCCAACGCTCCCGGCTAATTTTTTGTATTTTTAGTAGAGACGGGGTTTCACGTGTTAGCCAGGATGGTCTCGATCTCCTGACCTTGTGATCCGCCCGTCTCGGCCTCCCAAAGTGCTGGGATTACAGGCGTAAGCCACCGCGCCCGGCCCAGAATTCTTTGTTTTGAGATAGGGTCTTGCTCTGTCGTCCAGGTTGGAGTGCAGTGGCGCGATCTTGGCTCACTGCAGCTTGACCTTCCAGGCTCAAGCGATGCTTCCAAGCTCAGCGTCTGCAATAGCTAGGACTACAGCTGTGCACCACCATGCCTGGCTAATTTTTTTGTAGATATGGGGTTTCTCCGTGTTGCCCAGGCTGATCTGGAAGTCCTGGGCTCAAGCAATCCTCCTGCCTCGGCCTCCCAAAGTGCTGGAATTACAGGTGTGAGCCACCATGCCTGACCTCAGAATTCTTGATAACCCTGTGAGGATGGCTTAAGCTATACTCAGGTGTGTGACCTTGTACAAGTTACTAGCCTATCTAGGCCTGTTTCCTCACTTACAAAATGGGGACAAAAATAAACCTACCTCATAGTCATGAGCATTACATGAACTGTTATATCTTAGAAGCTCAGAAATGCCTGGTGGTAAATGCTATAAATACACCCTTATCATTATTAGTGAGTACCTAGGTTGTGCATGCCACTGTTGGGTGCTTTACGCACATTAATTTACTTGTCAGAATAGCCATGGGGGGGAGGTACTATTATAATGCCACTTTAGATATGAAGAAACTGACGTTTTGAGAGATTGGATGATTAAATCTCTGACTCCAAACACAACGCTTCCTCCAACGCGGTTTGGCCTTGGAGAGGAAGGCAGCTTCTTTCAAGACACCCCTGAGCGAGAAAGTCGCGTCATCCGGGGGCTCCCATTGCCCGAGCCCGCCACGTGGCAGTCTGGGCCGAATGCCTCTCCCCACTTTCTGGGTGGGCGAGGCCTGACTCCAACCCCGGCCCTCCGCTCTAGACCTGGTACCACTGTAGATTCAATCCAAACTCCCAGAAATGTGCCGCCTTTCATAATCCCCAGCTGTCCACTACAGGTGGTAACTCCCCTGCTGCTCAATGTGGCGTAAATCTTCCCTTCCATAGCTGCGGGACCACAGCTCACCGACCTGGGACAAACACCCGAGACGGGCCGAATTCCAGCTCGCAGGTAGTAATTCCGCCCCTCCCCTCCCCGCTCCGTCGCGTCCAGTCCAGCTCTTCTAGCCCTGCCCCGCTCCTCTAGCCCAACCGCTCCCCACTGTTGGCCCCGCCCCTCCCCGCCCCGTCCAGCTCTTCTCGCCCCGCCCCGCTCTTCTCGCCCAACTGCTCCTCGCTGTTGGCCCCGCCCCTCCCCCGCCACCCCCGCCCCCGCCCCGCCCCTCTCTTCTCGCCCAACCGCCCACCTCTGTTGGCCCCGCCCTCCCATCTAAGTCACGCCTCCTAGTAGGTCAATTTAGCTTCTCCAGCTCCAGAGCCCAGACTCCTCATTGGGCGCAGCACTATTCCCGCCTCTTCCTTGGGTCGCGAGCGCCGAACTCATCGAACGCAGCCAATGGGTGATACGACGGCAGCGCGGCGGGAGGTTCGATTGACCCGGTCTTGGCGGGTCGGTGAGTCTTGGCGGCTGTTAACGCGCGCTTTGGGAACAGGAAGGTTGAGAGAGAGGTGCTGGGGTCTGCGTCTATCTCTGTCGCTCTTTTCAGCCCCTCCTGGTATTCCCCTCCTAACCTGGGTTTTTTACACGCCCGCGTGGCTTCCTGCTCGACCTCCCTGAGTCTGATCCTGGTTTCCACCTCCAGCCCTGGGAAATTTCCTTTCTCCAGACTCGCCCTCCCCACCCGGGCCTCGGACTTTCACCCCAGCTTCTCTCTCCTGGCCAGTGATTACCCACCCCCAATCCCACCCCGCCCCGCCGCGCAACTACCTCCTCCCTTCACCCGGACTGGGACCATCATCCCCACTCCACTCCGCCCAGTCTGGGACTCCACCTGCCTCCTCCCCAATCCCACACTAATCTCTGCTTGGTCTCTTCCTCTTTGGCCTAATCTCTCGTCTCGGCTTATTGGGGACGGCCACTCTCACAGTTTGGTTCCAAACACCAGTTCCTGGATGGATTCCCGCCATCCATGCCCCCTCTTTAATTAGCCGGTCCTCTCAATAATGTAGCAGCCCCCTCTACAGATTAGACCCTGGTCCTACACTCTTAGCCGCTGCCTGCTTTTGACCTTTGGCTCATGGGTACTTGACGTTTTAAACTCCTAGGCCCAGGATGGTAAGTGTGGGCCTAGGGGAGACTGGGAATAGCCCTGGGTCAGGGTCTAGTAGGCCTAGGCTGCAGGATCCTTGCAGGCACTGTTTCTGTTCTCCCTTTACAGAGGAGGAGCTTGGCTCCCAGCCAGCTGGCCAAGAGAAAACCTGAAGGCAGGTCCTGTGATGATGAAGACTGGCAACCTGGCCTAGTGGTGAGCACTCAAGGGGACAGGGAAGGTGGGTAGAGCTGTTTGGACAGAAAAGAAGCCAGGATTTGGTTTCTAGGGTTACATAGCCAATTCCAGATGCCTCTTTTGTATGTTCAATAAACTTTTAGTGAGTACTTACTATGTGCCAGGCATTGAACAAGATTAGTAAAATCTTTATCCTCAGGGTAGTCACTAGAAGCTAATATAGCCTCAGTTTTCCTGGTGGGAAAAGATAAGCAAAAGAGCCAGTTGGATTGGACCTTTTGACTCTGCTTGGAAAAAAGGGCTACACAACAGCAATTAGCAGCTGGCTCTTTTGCTCTTTGTCCCCTGCCCAGTGTCACAGAACAGTAGAGTGTTCTGGGCCTACCTTGGAGTCCTGGGCTCACTTGGGCCTAGATCTGACAGGTTGTGTCCTTCCAGTCCTTGCTCATACTCAAGTACAGTATATTCTACTTTAGGTTGGGCCCTGGGCTCTGCTTCCTGTTTTGGAGGCTTGTTGGGGCTGGCTGTGGGCAGGACCTATGTAAACCAAAATAAATAGGACAGTGCAGCATGGACTTCAGAGAATAAGAGCAGTTCAAGAAGTGGGGGCTTGGCCACTGGAACTTTGAAGGAAGGGATCAGCTACGCAAGGACTAGAAGGCACTTTTTGGCAGGAGCAGTGTGTGAATAAGGTGTGGGGTAGGGGTGCTGGTGTTTGTTTCAGGTGTGTCTTACAGGATCACTGAGGCTTCAAATATCCTGGCAAGCTGGTACAAGTGTGTTCTTGCCTAATGGCTTGATGGGGCTTGCTCAATAGTTGTACCGTGGTGTGCAAGGGGCTTCTCTACCTGTGAAGGAGGCACATTGGCTGACCCTTGCCATGTACATGGGTCTCAGACTTGAACTTGGGGCAGCATTCTCTGCATCTGGGTCTGCTGTCAGTTGCTGGTTGCTTCTGAAGATGCTTTTAGTGCCAGTGTCCTCACAGCCATGGGTGGCCTGAGTGGGGAGTGGCCTCAGTGGCCTGGGAGTTGAAGGCAGCTGTATTCTTGCCTCTTGG
The DNA here is from genome assembly GCF_000001405.40 of Homo sapiens. Lineage (NCBI taxonomy): Eukaryota > Metazoa > Chordata > Mammalia > Primates > Hominidae > Homo > Homo sapiens. The sequence goes on from NC_000001.11 coordinate 46,249,641, forward strand.
AAACTCAGCGAAATGTTTGGTTGCTCCATCATTCCATGGAGCTTTTGGAGTGAAGCTTTGGGCCACCAGGACTCCATGCTGTTGGTAGACTTGCTCTTCAGAGGCCCATTTTATTTACCTCTTCCATTGCCCCGCTCAGTTTAGGCAGGTTATTTAATCTCATTAAGCTCTAGTTTTCTCACCTCTTAAATAAGGATAATAACTCTACATAATAGAGTTGCTATGAAGATGATACACTATGACATGTGTGAAGAATTTAGCACAGTGCCTGGCACTTAATAAGCACTTCAAGTGTTAGTTGCCATTATGGTGATTTCTGTGGTCTTCTAGACTTCACCTTTCCCAATTCTCTCTCCTAGACTCCTAGGAAACGGAAATCCAGCAGTGAGACCCAGATCCAGGAGTGTTTCCTGTCTCCTTTTCGGAAACCTTTGAGTCAGCTAACCAATCAACCACCTTGTCTGGACAGCAGTCAGCATGTAAGCCAGAACTGCAACCTGCATGTGTATGTCTGTGCCCAGTCACTCAGCCTAGGTAGACTCCTGTCCCTGTACACTCCCTCAGTGCTTTCTAGAGTGGCCAGAAGACACACATCTGTAGGGGCTTTGGACCTGCCCACAGCTGCTGGGGCCTGCTTAGAGAGGTGTGCCTGACTTGTGCCTGGTTTATAGTAGCTACATGGGCACCAGATATCAGATGGTTCAGATTCCTGAGGAAAGGAGGGTAAAGGAACTAGGATCCTCATGTCAGCTCAGACTCTGACTCTGTATATGACTTTAAGGTGTACCAGAGTCATGTATTTCCTCTAGTAAAGTCAAACTTAATCACCACCATGGCAGGTTCTGTGCATTGCCTCATGTAATTCTCACGTTTTAAGATGAGAAAACAGTCTCAGAAGGGTTAAGTAATTTGCTCAGAGTGGGTGGAGCAGATCTGTCTATCTCCAAAGCTTTTCCACTAAGCTTTATGAGGAATGTTTTGAAGGAAAAGTAGGAATACATAATGGAGATTAGTCATTTGTGCATTCAGCAAACATTTAAAAACGGTTTTGTGGCCGGGTCGGGTGGTTCACGCCTGTAATCACAGCACTTTGGAAGGCTGAGATGGGTGGATCAACTGAGGTTAGGAGTTTGAGACCAGCCTGGCCAACATGGTGAAACCCCGTCTCTACTAAAAATACAAAAATTAACTGGGCATGGTGTCATACCCCTGTAGTCCCAGCTACTCAAGTGAGGCATGAGAATCACTTGAACCCGGGAGGCCGAGGTTGCAGTGAGTCAAGATCACGCCACTGCACTCCAGCCTGGGCAAGAGTGAGACTCGGTCTCAAAAAAAAAAAACAAAAAACAAAAAACAAAACAAAACAACTAAATGAAAACAGTTTTGGGCCAGGCGCAGTGGCTCACGCCTGTAATCCCAACACTTTGGGAGGCCGAGGTGGATGGATCACCTGAGGTCAGGAGTTCAAGACCAGCCTGGCCAACATGGTGAAATCCCGTCTCTATTAAAAATACAGAGAAAATTAGCCAGGCATGGTGGTGCATGCCTGTAATCCCAGCTACTTGGGAGGCTGAGGCAGGAGAATCACTTGAACCCGGGAGGCAGCGGTTGCAGTGAGCCGAGATCATGCCATTGCACTCCAGCCTGGGCGACAAGAGTGAAAATCCGTCCCCAAAACAACAACAAAAAAACAACAGTTTTGTGTAATACTTGATAAATATAGATATATTACATAAGTTATAAAACACAAACACCCGTGAACCCATCATCCAGGACTAGAACATTGTCAAACCCATAATCCCTTTTCCCATCCCCAGAGGTAATCACTATCTTGAATTTTATCCATCATCTTTTGCTTTTATGATAGTTTTAGCATACATATAAAAATCACTAATACAGCCTTGGCAACAGAGTGAGACCACCTCAAAAAAAAAATCACTAATACATTGTTTAATTGGTTCTTTGAACTTTAAAAAATGGTGTTGGGTGGGCATGTTGGTTCATGCCTGTAATCCCAGCATTCTGGGAGGCCAAGGTAGGCGGATAGCTTGAGCTCAGGAGTTTGAGACCAACCCAGGCAACATGGTGAAACCCCATCTCTACCAAAAATACAAAAAAAATTAGCTGGGCATGGTGGCGTGTGCCTGTTGTCCCAGCTACTTGGGAGGCTGACATGGGAGGATCACTTGAGCTTAGGAGGTGGAGGTTGCAGTGAGCTGAGATTGGCACCATTGCACTCCAGCCTGGGTGACAGAGCGAGACCCCGTCTCAAAAGAAAGAAAATGGTGTTAAAATGGTGTGTAATCCTCTGGGACTGTTTCATTCAGGATTTGTTCAAAGTTGTCCTGTGTAACTACATGGCATAAGTGCAGTTGTGGGAGTGCACAACAGGAGACCTATGGGTCTGGAGATTGGGGAAGACCTGCCTCTGAGAGATGTGCTGTTAAGTCCTGAAAGATATGAGGGGTTAGACAGGTGAAGGGAGTGGAAAACATTCTAATAGAAGGAACAGCTTATTGGAAAGACTGGCAGCAATAGAGGCAGGTACTGAAAAGAGAGTGTGGGGAGTTGGGGGATGGTGGTGAGAGATGAGAGTTGGAGAGCTGTGCAGTGGCTAAGAGTGGAAGGCCTTTCAGAAGCCATGCTAGGAGAGTCTGGACTAAGGTCACTGAAGAGCTTTAGAAGTGTTTTAAGTGGGGGTAGGAGGTAACAGCAGTATAGAATATTTGTTGGATGGGGAGAGACTGGAGGTAGGGAAACTAGTGAGAAAGCTATTGCAGGTGGCCAAGCAAGAGAGGATTATGGCCTGGACATGGGTTTTAGGGGAATGGGGAATGGGAAGAAGTGGGTGGATTTTGAGAGATACTTAAAAATTACAAGTGGAAAAACTTGGGATTGATTACATGTGGGGAGAGGGAAAATTGAGGATGAAGTTGGGATTTTAGGCTTTGGCAAGGTAGATGGATGGTGGTGTCATTTGCTGAGATAGGGAACACAGAAGAAGAATGGCATTTGGTGGGAGGGAGATGGCAGGCACTGTAATCAGGAGGCCCATGAAGTTCAATGTATTATACAAGAGCTATTCTCTTTTAATAGCAAAGTTACAGGAATAGAACAGAAGATAGACAACATTAAAAATGTACTTGCAGGCCAGGTGTGGTGGCTCACACCTGTAATCCCAGCACTTTGGGAGGCTGAGGCAGGAGGATCACTTGAGCCCAGGAGTTTGAGACCAACTTGAACAACATAGTGAGACCCTATTTCTAAAAAACAATAAATAAATTGGCTGGATGTGGTTGCACGTGACTGTAGTCCCAGCTACTCTGGAGGCTGAGGTGGGAGGATCGTTTGAGCTGAGGAGGTCAAGGGTGCAGTGACCCGTGATACTGTCAGTGCACTCCACCCTGGGTGACAGAGACCCTGTCTCAAAAGGAAAAAAAATACTTGCGTATAGGAAAATTCAGAAAAGTATAGTTAATGGGTAGAATCTGCTGTATGATAAGAATGCTACTAACACTGTTTAGTTGCTGTCAATAAGAAATTGTATTTTAAAAAATCCATTGTCCAGAAGATATGAACAGGTTTGTTTATGGTTGTTATAAAATTGAAGTGCTGAAACTTGTTCACTGAAACATTTTGACTTGTATTAATGCTTTACATCCCTACATTTATATTAAGAATTCACACAAAAGGCCGGGCACGTTGGCTCACGCCTATAATCCCAACACTTTGGGAGGCCTAGGCGGGCGGATCACAAGGTCAGGAGATCGGAGATTGAGACCATCCTGGCTAACATGGTGAAACTCCATCTCTAGTAAAAAGTACAAAAAATTAGCTGGGTGTGGTGGCGGGCGCCTGTAGTCCTAGCTACTCGAGAGGCTGAGGAATGGCATGAACCCGGGAGGTGGAGCTTGCAGTGAGCCAAGATTGTGCCACTGCGCTCCAGCCTGGTGACAGAGCGAGACTCTGTCTAAAAAAAAAAAAGAATTCACACAAAAAATGAAAATGGAAAAACTGCAAACTGCAATACCGGATTTCTGTCCCCTATTTTTCTACTCACAGTGATATACTTAGGTACTCTTTTTTTTTTTTTTTTTTTTTGAGACAGAGTCTTGTGTTCTCACCCAGGCTGGAGTGCTGCAGTGGTGCTGTCTTGGCTCACCTGCTTACTTATCTCCATTCTCCTTCAGCTGGAGCTTGGTGAGCTAACACTGCACTTAGAGAGCGATGGTGATCTTTAATTCCTTTTGAAATCAGAAGAAAAAAAATACATAGTAATCCAGCCTGATTATATTATTATAGTTATCTTTATACCAATGCAGTCTTTTTTGTTTTTGTTTTTTCTTTTTTTTGATAGGGAGTCTTGCTCTGTCGCTCAGAATGGAGTGCGGTGGCGTGATCTTGGCGCACTGCAACCTCTGCCTCCCAGGTTCAGGCGATTCTCCTGCCTCAGCTTCCTGAGTAGCTGGGATTACAGGCACCCGCCACCATACCTGGCACATTTTTGTGTTTTTAGTAGAGACATGGTTTTACCATGTAGGCCAGGCTGGTCTTGAACTCTTGACCTTGAGTGATCTGCCTGCCTCAGCCTCCCAAAATGCTGGTATTACAGGTGTGAGCTGCTGCATCTGGCCTCTTTTTTTTTCTTTTTTTTTTCTTTTTTTAATGGAGGAAGGGGTCCCAAAGGCAAAAGTGCCTGGGGCCCACAAGAGTCATAGTGTGGCCTTGGAGATGAGGACTTCAGCCTTAGACATGATGATTTTGAAGTCCCTGCAGGAGATCTAGGTCTGGAGTCAGTTGTAAATGTGGATGTGGAGTAAGGTATAACTAGAAATACACCTGGGACTCATTAGCATAGATAAATTTTATACCTGGTAAGTGGATTGGTGAATGGGTAGTCAGAAGATCTGAGGGCTAAACCCTGAGCCCTGGGGAGCACTGACTTTTTTTTTTTTTTTTTTTTCCTGAGACAGGGTCTTGCTGTGTCACCCAGGCTGGAATGCACTGGTGCGATCACGGCTCACTGCAGCCTCAATCTTAGGCTCGGGTATTGCTGCCACCTCAGCCTCTGGAGTAGCTAGGACCACAGGCGTGTGCCACCAAACCTGGCTAATTTTTAAATGATATGTAGAGACCAGGTCTCACTGTGTTGCCCAGGCAGGTTTCAAACTCCTGGGTTCTAGCAATCCTCCTGTCTTGGCCTCCCAGAGTGCTGGGATTACAGACGTGAGTCACTGCAGCCGGTTGGGAGCATTGAGCTCTGGGGGTGGGTTGAGGGTTAAAAGGCAGAGGGAAAAGAGCTCATTAGGGGACTGAAGATGAGATCCCAGAAAGGTGGAGAGTAGTGTCATGGAAATCAAAGGCAGAAAATATTTGAGGAGTGGTCAGCTTCGTCAAGTAAGATACATGTCCATTGGAATTAGGGTCATGTAGGCCATTCGTGATCTTGGCCAGAGTGGAAGGGGCAGAAGACAGGAAGAGTGGGAGGAAAGAAGGGGAGCTATATAACTTACTAGAAGTTTGCCTGTGGAGAGGAGAGATAAGCAATCAAATGAATATTTGTTTTTAAGATAGGAGATAATTAAGTCCATTTTAAATGCTGGTAAGAGCTAGTAGAGAGGGAGAGGTTGAGATACAAGAGTGATCAGTCATAACAGAGTGATTCTCTGCAGAAATGGGAAGCTTTAGCCTTGGTGGGGAGGAGGGATGCTGTCTCTCATCTATCAGAAGGAAAGATTGGTATGAATTATCAGTAACTAAATGAACAGAGAATAAGAGCATGCTCCCTCCCCTGCCCCCTGCTATAGAGACTGGTGAGTCACCAAACCAGATCCCTGAAGGTTGGCCATTCCTTTTTTTTTTTTTTTTTTTTTTTTGAGACATAGTCTTGCTCTGTGACCCAGGCTGGAGTGCAGTGGCGCGATCTCGGCTCACTGCAGCCTCTGCCTCCCAGGTTCAAGTGATTCTTGTGCCTCAGCCTCCCAAGTAGCTGGAATTATAGGTGCCCGCCCCCACACCCAGCTCAGTTTTTTGTACTTTTAGCAGAGACGGGGTTTCACCATGTTGGCAAGGCAGATCTCGAACACCTGACCTCAGGTGACCTGCCCGCCTTGGCCTCCCAAAGTGCTGGGATTACAGGCGTGCACTGTGCCCAGCAGGCCATTCCATTTTGCAGGCTGAGCCCTCAGACATTTTTGGCCAGGGGTCTCCACATTCTTCCTTACCAGTTATGCAAGCCTGTAGTTCTCCCTGCAGAACCTATGGTTCCTGTGTTCTATTGAAAGTCTTTTTAAATTTAGGGCATAAATTCTTGGCTACTCAGAGCCTCAAATCTAGCCTTCTATACTGATAATTTTGAAAATATTTCTGTTTTAGAATTGATGCCAAATTAAAAAGAAAATTAGGGTCCATCTCCTTTTCCTCTCATTTGACTTAAGAGTAGCTTTTTTTTTTCCTTTGAGGCAGGTCTTGCTGTCACCCAGGCTGGAGTGCAGTGGTGTAGTTGTAGCTCACTGCAGCCTTGAACTCCTAGGCCAAGTGATCTTCCTGCCTCAGCCTTCTGAGTAGCTGGGACCATGTGCCACAGTGCCTGGGTAATTTTTAAATTTTGTGTACGGGGTGTGTGGGGGGGTCTCACTACGTTGCCTAGGGTGGTCTCAAAATCCTGGGCTTAAGCGGTCCTCCCACCTCAGCCTCCCAAAGCACTGGGGTTATAGGCATGAGCCACTGCACTGGCCAAGGGTCCTTTTTGTTAGCATTTTTCATAATGATTATCATTGCTATTCATAGTTACAGTCATGCTAATTAAAAATAGTAAAGGCTGGGCATAATGGCTCATGCCTATAATCCCAGCACTTTGGGAGGCCAAGGTGAGAAAGATCCCTTGAGCCAGGACTTAGAGAAAGATCCCTTGAGCCAGGACTTAGAGACTGCAGTGAGGTATGATCACCACTACTGTACTCCAGCCTGGGCGACAAAATGAGACCCTGTCTTTTAAAAAAAAAAAAAGTCAATAAAAGATTTTATTCAGATGCAAAGAAATTTGCAAATAAACAAAAGCATTTGAGTTTTTTGCCAACTTTGCCTTTATGTTATGTTATTTAGTGTGATGTTGTCATGTTATTTAGTGTGATAAGGAAGTTCATTTCTACATACTTGTTTTCTGTCTTCTAATATCACAAAAAAAATTCATTACTTTTTTTAAATTTAAAGTACATTTGAGGCCAGGTGTGATGGCTCATGCCTATAATCCCAGCACTTTGGGAGGCCAAGGTGGACGGATCACTTGAGGGCAGGAGTTCAAGACCAGCCTGGCCAACATGGTGAAACCCTGTTTCTACTAAAAATATCAAAATTAGCTAGGTGTGGTGGCGTGTGCCTGTAGTCCCAGCTACTTGGGAGGCTGAGGCAGGAGAATTGCTTGAACCTGGGAGGTGGAGGTTGCAGTGAGCTGAGATTGTGCCATTGCACTCCAGCCTGGGCAACAGAGCAAGACTCCATCTCAAAAAAAAAAAAAAAAAAAACCCCAAAAAACAAATAAAGTACATTTGAATTTCTAGACATTGATGATGTGTGAAGAAATGAGTCAGAAAACAAAGGTAAAAATATCACGGCAGGCTTGCTTTTTTTCCTATTAGACTATGTTTTTTGCTAGAAGGGACATTTTTTCATTACTGCTTTTTCCACTAATATATTCCCATTAAAACTACCTTCAGGGTCTCTGCTCTTTATTTCTCTGCTCTCTTGGCTTCCACCTCTGGTTTTGTTGAGGTTCACAGGCTATCACAGTTCCGCAAAGGGCTCAGGTGTGTGTGGACCAGAACTTCCATGGGAGCTGTCAGAGTTAGCTCAGTGTTAATTTTTCTGCCTTCTCTGCCCCTGCCCCAGCCCCATAGCCCATGGAATAATGCTGGTTCAAGGCAGAAGTGCTTGTACAGAGGCTTCTTGCCTTTAGGTGGAGGAGTCACCAGTGCTACCTCTCTAGGACCCACATATGTCTACCTGCTGTCACCCTTGTCCCACTTGCTTTTTCTTAGTGTTGGGCTTAGCTTCTCTCTCATGTCCCTTTCTCATGTTCCTTCTCTTGTGCTTTACATGGCAGGAAGCTGCTGGGTCTGGGCTGATCTGCATGGCTGTACTCAGAGTGGGTGAGAGGCCACGTTGCCTACTGAGTACAAGTAAGGACCCTAGAACCAGGAAAGTCCTGCATTTGTAATGGCTTTGTGACTTGAGAAAGTGACTTAATCACTCTGAGCCTCAGTTTGCTCATTTGTAAAATGGAAACACCAGTAATATATGGACCTCATACAGCTGTTAGGATTAAATGGTAACATGAATGCAAGAGGCTTAGCTCTGTGTCTAGCATACATTGGTAGCCATCATTATTTTTATTTATATTTTTAAATATATATTTTTAAAATAGAGATGGGGTCTTGCTATATTGCCCAGGCTGGTCTCGAACTCCCAGACCTAAGTGATCCTCCTGCCTTGGCCTCCCAAAGTGTTAGGATTACAGGTGTGAGCCACCATGCCCGGCCTGGTGTTGTTAATATTATTTTATTAATACGATGGCTCCCATTTCTCCATCACTACTCTTTGATGAGCTGTTTAGTTCCCAAGGAGGCTGATGTGAGTATTAGATATATTAGACATAACTGATGTAGCCAAAAAAAAAAAAAAAAGAATTGTGAGGTGTGCTTGGGAAGGTGTAACCCTATATGACAGTGGTTAAACCCAGACATTAGAATTATCCATTATTACTCAGGTTGGCTAAGTCTGTGGTATTTGCTTTCCAAGGTGCTATACCCTAGGGAAGAGCTAGGTATGCTCACTGGCATGGTTTTTAATGAGTGAATGGTTTCCTGGGTTCTAAGCCTCGTGGTTGACTGAGGCTGGGCCCTTCTGCTATCCCTGGATATTTGTAGAACCTTACATAAAGCCTCGAAGATGGATGCTGTTGTACAAAACCTAATGTGAAGCATATCATGATATTGTCCCATAACATCTCCAGTCAGTCCTGAATCCTTGTTTCTCCTTTCTTTTTAGGAAGCATTTATTCGAAGCATTTTGTCAAAGCCTTTCAAAGTCCCCATTCCAAATTATCAAGGTAAAATGGAGGTTTTTCTGTTTTTGAAATCAGTCATATGTACGTGTGCCTGAATAAATTAAAAACCTGCTTTTGTAAATACAAGCTTAGCTGGGAATTGAAGGTGCCAGTCCAGCGGTGGCTGTGTTTGGGGTGACCCTCCTGAGGCCTGCATGAAAACTGTGTTAGCCTCAGTAAGGGCTGCCAAGACTAACTGCCCCTCATCTTCTTGGTAGAGGTGTCCCGGTGCTCAGAAAGCTCCTGGTGGGCCAAGATGGCTGATGGACCTGGGCTTCATTCAATCCAAGTGCATTCAGTAGCATCCCTTTTATGAGGCTGACTGTGTGGGAGGCCTGGATTCTATAAGGTTTTTCCCTGTCTTATGTAGGGTACAGCATTATGCTAAAACTGGGGCTTGGAGGAATAGGGAGGCCAGCTTTCTCTCTCTCTCTTTTTTTTTTTTTAATTTAATAGAGATAGGATTTCACTATGTTGGCCAGGCTGATCTCGAACTCCTGGGCTCAAGCGATCCTCCCACCTCGACCTCTCAAAAAGTGTTGGGACTACAGGCTTGAGATACTACGCTTGGCTGTGGCCAGCTCTCAGGAGCTCTCAGAAAGCTCCATGAAAGTGCCCTTTAGAATTTCAGGCCTTCCCAGGATTGTCTTGAGTTGAAATGAACCAGATCTGGCACCTCAGAAGTTTGTAATTGAATGGGAGAAATAAAACGGGAAAAGCTCTGATTCAAAGCAGAAAAATTCTGGGGGCTGGGCATCGTGGCTCACGCCTGTAATACCAGCACTTTGGGAGGCCAAGGCGGGCAGATCACCAGAGGTCAGGAGTTCAAGACCAGCCTGGACAACATGGTGAAACCCTGTCTCTACTAAAAAAAATACAAAAATTAGCTGGGTGTGGTGGTGGGAGCCTATAATCCCAGCTTCTTGGGAGGCTGAGGCAGGAGAATTGCTTGAACCTGGGAGGCAGAGGTTGCAGTGAGCCGAGATTGTGCCACTGCACTCCAGCCTGGGCAACAAAGTGAGACTCCATCTCAAAAAAAAAAAAAAGCTGAATGGGATAATGGTCATATAGAGATGCCCAAACTGAGTTTGGAGGCATTCTCAGAGAGAGAGGGTCATATGGGAGCTCGGGAAAGGTTATGTGAAGGACAAGTATTTGAGCTGGGCTTGCTGGAGCTCCTAAACATAGATTCAGGTGACGGAATGATTATTGGTTTGTAGGTCCTCTGGGCTCTCGAGCATTGGGCCTGAAAAGGGCTGGGGTCCGCCGGGCCCTCCATGACCCCCTGGAAAAAGATGCCTTGGTTCTGTATGAGCCTCCCCCGCTGAGCGCTCATGACCAGCTGAAGCTTGACAAGTATGTGCACTGGTATTTCATAAGCAGTTTTGGTTCTCTGTATATGCACGCATACTTGGGAGGGCAGAGGGTATTTTGGTGTGATTTCTTTTTAGGATTGACATATGTTTTCAGAGAGTAGATGATTGGGGAAGGAGACTGCCTGGGGAAGAGCCTGTGGTCATGTCCAGTGAGTGGGCATTCCTCATCCCCTCCTGCCTTCCCAGGATGCTCACTCAGGAGGAGGAGTGATTGAGGTGATGACACAGGGAACCCATCCCTCTCTGAGCTAACTTTCTAACTCCTAAAGTAGGAACTTGCTATGGTTTTACGATTTATCAGCCAAGAAGGTCTTCTTTTAGGCAGCTGCCTCTGTTGCCTCCGGATCAGCAGGACACAGCTTCCTGAGGGTGCTCCCTTGCCCATGTCTGAGCACGCTGTTTTCTTTGCTGTGTTTTCTCAGGGAGAAACTCCCTGTCCATGTGGTTGTTGACCCTATTCTCAGTAAGGTTTTGCGGCCTCATCAGAGAGAGGTAAATGAGGGTGAGGGGAACGAGGTATGGGCTATGGGCTGAGCCTGGGAGACTACCATCCCTGGGACAGCAGCAGCGTAGGTGCCAAAGTGGACTGAAGGCTGTTATTCTCTAGGGAGTGAAATTCCTGTGGGAGTGTGTCACCAGTCGGCGCATCCCTGGCAGCCATGGCTGCATCATGGCTGATGAGATGGGCCTAGGAAAGACGCTGCAGTGCATCACATTGATGTGGACACTTTTACGCCAGAGTCCAGAGTGCAAGCCAGAAATTGACAAGGCAGTGGTGGTGTCGCCTTCCAGCCTGGTGAAGAACTGGTACAATGAGGTTGGGAAATGGCTCGGAGGGAGGATCCAACCTCTGGCCATCGATGGAGGATCTAAGGATGAAATAGACCAAAAGCTGGGTACGGAGCCCTAACAAAGATGGCTGCACTCTCCTGCACAGCCTGCTGCTTTCTTACGTGTATGCTCATTTATGGCCAGGGTGGAGGGCAATGCAGGGGTAGAAGAAAAGAGAATTTCCATTGAAAATAGTTGAAGTGGAGTCAGTTGTTTCCAGGCTAAATTAAAGAACTGTCTAATTGTTTTTTTTGTTTTTTTTTTTTTCAAAAGATTCTGAATTGTTCCCTTTACACCTTTTCTGTTGTAGAAGGATTCATGAACCAGCGTGGAGCCAGGGTGTCTTCTCCCATCCTCATCATTTCCTATGAGACCTTCCGCCTTCATGTTGGAGTCCTCCAGAAAGGAAGTGTTGGTCTGGTCATATGTGACGAGGTACTTGACTCTCAGCAGTCTGGGTGGTAGGAGAAAATCTGTCAAAATCTCTTCACTGAGTATTGCCTTCCAAGGGCTGTGCTAGTCACTGGGGAATGCTGAAGACAGGATGCTGCCTTGGAGACAAGTGACAGGGAGAGCCTGTGATACCAAAATACAAGATACTGTCTGCCAAAAGAGGGCTGAAACAATGCTTAGAACCCTGAGGAGAGTGAGATACTGGGGGCTGATTGGCTTTGTTGCCTCCGGATAGTATTCCTAGACTAAAGAAGGACCTTGAAGGGTGGGTGGCAATGTTTAGAGGATATAAATCAGAAAGTGTCTGAGACAAGTCTCAATTTAGAGATTTATTTTGCCAAGGTTGAGGATGCTCTGGGGAAAAAGAGACACAAGCCAAAGTAGGATCTGTAGCCTGTACTTTTTCCAAAGAGGTTTTTGAGGACTTCAATATTTAAAGGGGGGCTGGCCACGATGATTCACGCCTGTAATCCCAGCACTTTTTGAGAGGCTGAGGTGAGTGGATCACTTGAGCCCAGGAGTTTGGGACCAGCCTGGGCAATATGGTGAAACCCCACCTCTACTTAAAAAAGATAAAAATAGTCAGGTTTGGTGGTGCACCTGTAGTCCCAGCTACTCAGGAGGCTGAGGTGGGAGAATCAGCTGAGCCCGGGAAGTAAGCTGAGATTGCGCCACTGCACTCCATCCTGGGTGATGGGGTGTGAAACCCTGTCTCAAAACACACATATGACCGGGCGCGGTGGCTCACACCTGTAATCCCAGCACTTTGGGAGGCTGAGGCGGGCGGATCATGCGGTCAGGAGTTTGAGACCAGCCAAGATGGTGAAACCGTGTCTCTACTAAAACTACAAAAATTAGCCGAGCGTGGTGGTGGGTGCCTGTAATCCCAGCTACTCAGGAGGCTGAGGCAGGAGAATCTCTTGAACCCGGGAGGTGGAGGTTGCAATGAGCCTAGATAATGCCACTGCACTCTAGCCTGGGTGACAGAGCAAGACTCTGTCTCAAAAAAACAAAATAAAAACCAAAAAACACACATATACACAGACACACATGACCCTTTCTCAAAAAACAACACCACACAAATATGCATAAAGGGGCAAGAGCAGGCAGGAGGGAAAGAGGAGCCATCAGTTATGCATTCAGCTCAATAAATCTGATTTTACATACAGTTAAGTAAATAAAGAGTAGAGGAAGAAGTCAAATACACATTTGTCTGGGAGGGAGGATTTCTAGTCTTGTCTTTGTCCCCTGCTTGTAAAGATGAGCTGTTTTTTTACATTGTCAGGGTGAGGGAGGCCACCTGGGGAGAGGCATGGCGTTCTATCTGCAGCTATCTGTTTAGGAACAAAAGGAAAGACATTTTTTTGCTTGACTAGTTCCCAAGCTTAGCTTTTCCCTTTGGCATAGTTTGGGGTCCTGAGATTTTGTTTTCCTTTCACAGGGAACAGGTTCTAGAGTTAGAGACCTTTATTTGTATCCTGGCTCTGCCACTGACCAGCAGTGTGACCTTCAACAAGTTACTTTATCAGCTGAACCTCTGTTTCTACATCAGTAAAATGGGGTGATAATATCTGCCTCATAGGATTATTGTGAGGATTAAATGAAATTATTAAGAAAAAGCTCTTATCGCAGTGCCTGGTATGTCATAAGGCCTTGGCAAACGTAAGCTCTTGGTGGTTATTCCAGGCTGGGGGTACTTGCAAGAACAAAAGCAGAGATAAGAAAGTCCATACACCTTGTAGTAGTAGTTTGTGTTGACTTCTTGTTTCTTGTTTCTGGAACTAAGGGAATATGGCCGTAGTTACTTCCTGGCCTTTTCCAGTATGTGTGAATGGCAATAGAGAGGCTAGTACTTAGGAAGCAGTGAGGGTGGCTGGGAGCTTCCTACTATAGAGAATTTCCCAGGACTTCCCAGTGGGCTTGGCGACCCTGAGGCTATAGTCATTGTTTGCAACTTCTTGGGAGAGTTAACCTCCTTTGTATACCCCAGAGGTTCTAGTGGAGAGGTGGCTGAAAGACTTGGCCCTATCTGTCAACCAGTTGTCAGGCTAGGCTCAGCTCTGGGTACTGTAGATTAGCCCAGTTGTCTGAGGAACTTCAGAGAGGGGACAGAGGGAAAAAGCTTGCTTTTGGGTACCATGCTTTCTAGTTGTGAGCTATTTTCTGGTCAGTCATTGGCGGGTCTTCAAACTCCCAACTTCCTGGTAGGAGTAGGGAACTTACCAGGTTGAGGTGAGGTATGCATGTTACTGCCCTGTGGTTCAAGGCCCTGACATCTGCTTCATCACTGTGGAGGGGGACTATGCCAGGAGCCAGGTCCAAAGCATTGTGGGAGAGGAAGGCAGGCTGTAGCTGTTGAGCCTTTGAGGATTAGGGAGCATCTAAATTTTTTTCTACTTTTTGTTTTTTTTTGAGACAAGGGTCTTGTTCTGTTGTCCAGATGGAGTGCAGTGACGTGATCTTGGCTCACCGCAACCTCTGCCTCCCATATTTAAGTAATTCTCCTGCCTCAGCCACCCGAGTAGCTGATATTACAGGCGTGCACCACCACTCTGGCTAATTTTTGTATTTTTAGTAGAGATGGGGTTTCACCATGTTGGCCAGGCTAGTCTCGAACTCCTGGCCCCAAATAATCTGCGGCCTTGGCCTCCCAAAGTGCTGGGATTACAGGTTTGAGCCACCGTGCCCAGCCTTTTTCTACTCCTTAGTGTTTTTTTCTTCCCCACTCTGTCCTGTTTTATGAGCTGACTCTGTGCAGGGCACAAGGGATGAGGCTGCCTCTTATCACACTGCAGCCCCTTGGCTGTTTACCTTTCTACTTGTTTACCTTTTATTTTGTCAACTGTCAGAGATCTGAGGAACCAAAAGTCCTGAAAAGATGGTCACCTTACTCCAGGGAAGGAGAGGGTTTGTCCTGTTCAGACCCTGGAAAGGGAAGGTGCCATTTCAGGCTTTCATGTTCTCAGCTCCCACAGCATCTTCCTCCCAGTAACGCTTTTCTCTGGAACACAGTTTTTCATAATAACTTCTATGTACAAAATCTTTGATCCTCAATCAAAAGACACGGGATCAGCTCTGGCTTTGCCACTTACAAGCGTGACTTTCCACAGATGAGACTGCTCTGAGATTGTTTCTTCATCTGTAGAGTGGATGGCACATGGGCTACTTGAAAGGGATATGATACAGATCAAGAGAGGATATATGGGAGCACTTTGTACAAGTGTATAAATAGCAGAGGGATTGACGTCATCGTCATCTCAATCTTAAAGATTAGGAGACAAACTCAGGGAAGTGCGTAGTGACTTGCCCAGGTTCTCCTAGCGAGTACATAGTAAGCTGGAATGTGAATGCAGGTGTGAGATTCCAAGTCGTGGCTCTTTTTCCTATCCCTCTCTGCCTTGGATGCTTGGTGCAGGAAGAAGCTTGCCTTGGGTATGGAAGGGTTGTCCCTGTGCTCCTCATTGAGACCCATGTGGATCCTTAGTGACTGGTCCAATAGGGAGCTGGGGTTGGCTTTCTCTTTTGCAGAGACAGGATAGTGTGGCAGCCCATTTCATTCGCTGGGTTATTTATTAAGTGCCTTTTATGTGTCAAGCCCTGGAGATCTCACAATGCTGTCCCTCAGGGAGCTTCAGTTTAGAAGATCTAATTGTTGGTGCCCATTTCCCCTGGACCTGTTGGGTAATTTCCTCTGACTTTCAAGTCTCATTTCCCTCTTCAGTTCAGAAGTCTAAGGCTTTTTTTAGGGCTAGTACTTGGAGCCTCTAATAATTTTTTTTTTCTTAATTAAATTTCTAGGCCAAATGCGGTGGCTTACACCTGTAATCCCAGGACTTTGAAAGGCTGAGATGGGCGGATCACTTGAGGTCAGGATTTCAAGACTAGCCTGGCCAACATGGTGAAACCCTGTTTCTACTAAAAATACAAAAGTTAGCCCGGCATAGTAACACATGCCTGTAATACCAGCAACTCAGGAAGCTGAGGCACAAGAATTGCTTGAACTGGGGAGGCAGGCACATGCCACCACACCCAGCTAATTTTTGTATTTTTAGTAGAGACAGGGTTTCACCATGTTGGCCAGGCTGGACGCAAACTCCTGACCTCAGGTGATCCACTTGCCTTAACCTCCCAAAGTGCTAGGATTACAGGCATGAGCCACCATGCCCCGTTGGTTTATTTAATCTTTAATAGCAACATTGGTCATTATTTCATTCTTTCATTCAACTAATATTCACTGAGCTTTGTCCTATACACTGAAATTATACAGGCGAATCTGACATAGTCTCTGCCTTAAGAAATCCTAGTCTCTGCCTAGTTGAGAAGATAAAGTACAGTAGAGTGTGATTAGTACTCTAGTATATATATTATGGATGAGGGCAGAGTGGTACAGTGTCCAGACTCAGAGTCATACAGACCTGAGTTCAAATCCCAGCTCTGCTACTTTCTACCGGCATGATTTTGGATAACTGTTTACCTCTCTGAATCTTAGTTTCTTCATCTCTAAAATGGATAATACAATTTCCATTCGTGTGGATTACAGAACAGAATACAGGTAAAGTGTTTAGTTAGTACCATGCCTACCACATTAAACGGGTTCACTAAATAGTAGCAGCCATTACGTATATAGTGCCACAGGAGCACAGAGTTGAGAGAGACAAGCAGCCTGGAGTCACTGAGGAAGGCTTTGCATAGGAGGTGACATCTGAGGAACTTGCCTGTGGAAAAGAGCTCTAGGCAGAGGGGTGGCATGGGCAAAGAGACATAAGGAAAGCCAGCATTAGGAGTGACAAGGTCAGGATTCCTGGACCGTGACAAGCTTGGAGAGTGTCAGAGAAGTTCACTGGGGCCTCATTGAGAAGGGCTTTGAATGCTAAGCTAGTGAGCTTAAAGAGCTTGGACTTGATGCTATAGATGGAAGAGTCAGTGAAGGGTCTGCATTTAATTGCGTTGTCAAAGCCTGACCCAAGGGAGCAAGACTGATTGCTGATTCTTGGTTGAGTGGTTGAGTTTTGTGTGCCTTCCCCAGTATGGGGCTGGATGTAGAAAAGGTATGGGCCTAATCTTGCCCATGTAGTTCTTGGAGAAAGAGGGAAGGTTGTCCTTTATGATTTTCTTGAAAAAGGCTTAAAAGAAGTAGTAGAGGTGTGGAGAGAATGGGAGGACAGGACAGGGAGAATAGAGATTGGGGAAGAGATGTGAAGGGAAGCAGAGGGAAGCTCTTTAGCTCTACTAGCTGTGAGGATTCTGGTGGGACATGGAGCCTGGTCCAAGTCCCTTTAACACTGATGGCCCAGACAAGGCCTGGAGTCTAATACAGAAGGCGTCTGGCTCAGAAGGTTCTGAGTTGGGTAGGCTGATGTGGAGGGGAGGACTCCCTGAAAGCATGGGTTTGTCATATGTCCACATGATCTCTGAAGAGTATAGGTGGGCTGCCAAGGCTCTGGAGGTGGGGCAGGGAAAGGGATGGAAAGGAACAGAGGGAATCTTTGCTTTATGGGTATAGCACTGGTCTGGAAACAGGAAGTCTGTCTTTTGAGCCTAATATTCTCCATAGTTAAGTGGGTGAACCCTCTCTCATGCTGCCCCCTGCCTAGTTCCCAAGGCCCTAGAACCTGTAATGTTTTTGTTTTTTGTTGAGACAGTTTCTCACTATGTCACTATAGTGGTGGCATATGCCTGTAGTCCCAGCTACTCAGGAGACTGAGGTGGGAGGATTGCAGTGCACTCACGGCTCACTGAAGCCTCGACCTCCTGGACTCAAGCGATCTTCCCATCTCAGCCTCCCAAGTAGCTGGGGCTATGGGTGTAAGCTACTATGCCCAGCTAATTTTTGTATGTTTTGTAGAGATGGGGTTTCACCACACTGGCCAGGCTGGTCTGGAACTCCTGGGCTCAAGTGATCCACCTGTCTCGGCCTCCCAAAGTGCTGGGATTACAGGCATGAGCCACGGCGCCCGGCCTGGAATGTTTTTGACTCCTCTTTTCCTGTCTACATGAGACTTTGCTACCGTATAGGGAATGCCACATTGCGCTCTGAATAAGGATTCTCTTGCAGGGACACAGGCTCAAGAACTCTGAGAATCAGACTTACCAAGCCCTGGACAGCTTGAACACCAGCCGGCGGGTGCTCATCTCCGGAACTCCCATCCAGAATGATCTGCTTGAGTATTTCAGCTTGGTACATTTTGTTAATTCCGGCATCCTAGGTAAGAATCTAGCCTTGTTTGCCACATCAGAGAGGAGCCCTGCCTTGTCTTTGGGAGTATAACTCCAGCTGAGGAGAGAAAGAAGAGAATGCTAGTTATATGTGGGTCACTAGGCATTCTTGTAGGAAGGCTTCTCTTGTCAGGGAGTAGCAAAGCCATTGGGAGGCCTTGGATCTGCTGAGCAACTCAGCAAAGCCCATGTTGGCCATTTTTCCATTGCAGAGGTGGCAGGGGCTATACAGGGAATGGTGTCATGATGAGCTGAGGGTGGAATTATTATTTTTGTTCCTCAGATCCTAGCTCCCTTAGAAGAGTTTTGGCCTCAGAGCAAGCTCTGTCTTGGGCAGACGTGTGTGTTTTAAAAATCATTTTAACCATTTTTAAATGTAACAATTCAGTGGTATTAAGTACATTCACTTTGTGCAACCATCACCATCATCCATCTTCAGATTTTTTTTTTCTATTTGCTAAACTTAAAATCTACCCAATAACTCCTCTACCCTCCCCTCCCAGTGCTTTGAGAGGCTGGGGTGGGAAGATCACTTGAGGCCAGTTCAAGACCAGCCTGGGCAACATAGTGAGACCTTGTCTCTACAAAATAAGAAAATTAGCTGGGTGTGGTGGTGTGTGCTGGTGGTCCTAGCTATTCAGGAGGCTGTGATCATGCCACTGCACTCTAGCCTGGGCAACAGAGCAAGGCCCTGTCTCTAAAATAGTAATAATAATCAAAACTCCTCATTCCTCCCTCCCCTAATCCCTGGCAACCACACATATATTTGTGAAAGGGTGTGTTAGTGTCACCCCAACTTGCCAGTGCTCAAGAGTAGGCAGAGAACCTGCTGAGTGGCAAGATTATGACCAAGTGAACACATTTGTGTAACCACCATCAGATGAATTACTAACACTCTCTCAGCAGCCCCTTTTCTAATCACTATCCTCTCCTTTTGTCCCGGCAGCAAACTCCTTCCTGACACTATAGGTTGGTTTTGCCTATTTTTGAATTTATGTTAATGAAATCATATAGTATGTATTCCTTTACATCTGGTTTCTTTTGTTCAACATGTTTATAAAGTTTATCCACATTATGTGTAGCAGTAGTTTGTTCATTTTCATAATTGCATACTATTGCATGTTATGAGTACACTACAATTTATTCTACTGGTTTGGTTTTGTTTGTTGAGACAGAGTCTCTGTTGCCCAGGCTGGAGTACAGCGTTGCAGTCATAGCTCACTGTACCCTCAACTTCCTGGGCTCAAGCAATCCTCCCACTTTGGCCTCCTGAGTAGCTGGGACTACAGGCATATGCCACCACTATTGGCTAACTTTTAAATTTTTTATAGAGATGGGGTCTCATATGTTGCTCAGGCTGGTCTTGAATTCCTGGGTTCAAATGATTCTCTTGTATCAGCCTCCCAAACTGCTGGAATTATGGGCATGAGCCCCTATGCCTGGCTTCCATCTTTTTCTGTTTGGATATCTGGTTCACCCTACATCATATATTGAAAAAACCGTTCTTTCCCCCATTGCTTTGCAGTGCTACCTTCTTCATAAATCAAATGTTCATATATGTGTTGCTCTATTTATGGACTCTATTCTGTTCCTCTGGTCCGTTTGTCTCCTTGTGTCAGTACTTCTCTGCTTTATTTACTGTGGCCTAATAAGTCTTGATATCCATTAGTGTGAATATTCCAACTATAGTCTTTTTTTTTTTTTTTTGACACAGGGTCTCGCTTTGTCACCCAGGCTGGAATGCAGTGGTGAGATCATGGCTCACTGCAGCCTTAACTTCCGGGCTCTAGTGATCCTCCTGCCTCAGCCTCCTGAGTAGCTGGGACAACAGGCACACACCATCATGCCTGGCTAATTTTTGTATTTTGGGTAGAGGTGGGGTTTTGCCATGTTGCCCAGGCTGGTCTTGAACTCTTGAGCTCAAGCAATCTGCTCAGCCTCCAACTATATTCTTACTCCTTAACATTGTCCTAGATATTCTTGGCCCTTTGCATTCCCATGTAAATTTTAGAATCAACTTGTCAATTTATACACCTACTGCCTGCCATACCCACCAAAAAACTCTAACTGGATTTTAATTGGGCTGTATTGAAACAGATAAATTCTGAAAGATCTTTCATTTTTATAATACGGAACCTTCCAATATATTAATATGATCTGTCTCTCAACTTGTTTAGGTCATCTTTAATTTCTCTCAATGTGGCCAGGTGTGGTGGCTCACAACTGTAATCCCAGCACTTTGGGAGACCAAGGCGGGAGGGTACCTTGAGCCCAGGAGTTCAAGACCAGCCTGGGCAACATGGCAAAATCCCATCTCTACAAAAAAAATACAAAAGTTAGCTGAGTGTGGTGGCATGTGCCTGTAGTCCCAGCTACTTGGGAGGTTGAGGCTGTGGTGAGCCATGATTGCCCCATTGCATTCCAGCCTGGGCGACAGGGAGAGAACCTGTCTCAAAAAAAAAAAAATTGGCCGGGCACGGTGGCTCATGCCTGTAATCCCAGCACTTTGGGAGGCTGAGGCGGGCAGATCGCGAGATCAGGAGTTCGAGACCAGCGTGGCCAACATGGTGAAACCCCGTCTCTACTAGAAATACAAAAATTACCTGGGCACGGAGAAGGGGTGCCTGTAATCCCAACTACTCGGGAGGCTGAGGCAGGAGAATTGCCTGAACCTGGGAGGCAGAGGTTGCAGTGAGCCGAGATTGCACTCCAGCCTGGGTGACAGAGCAAGACTCCATTGCAGGAAAAAAAAAAAATCCACTCTGGCCATGTTTGTCTTTTTAGTGGACTATTCAATCCATTTACATTTACTCTAAGTAATTATATATTTGGATTTTAACCTATCATCTCACTTTTGGCCTTTCAAGTCTTCACTGCTTTGATACCTCTCTGATCTGTTAAACAGAAATTGGCCTATATTTTGTTTAGCCTTGTTCTTGGTAGGAAGGCTGGTTTGTGAGAAGGTAGTCTGCCATCACTAGCTGTGGGAAAATCATTCCTTTTCCACATTCTTCTGTTTTCCTTCTCTCCTGTGTTTAGGGACTGCCCATGAATTCAAGAAGCATTTTGAATTGCCAATTTTGAAGGGTCGAGACGCTGCTGCTAGTGAGGCAGACAGGCAGCTAGGAGAGGAGCGGCTGCGGGAGCTCACCAGCATTGTGAATAGGTAATGACCTTAAGCGAAGTCATTAGAATTGCCTCCCAAACCATCCATGGCCAATCCTTTGGGGGCTTTGCCTCTCTAGAGCCCTCAAAGGCTGGGATTCTAGGAAGGGAGTGGGTTCTGTGTCCTAACTATGGCCACTGAATAAACAAGGGAGTCTTGGAGGTGAAGTGCCTGCTTTCTTTCTGGCTTGGGCTCTGTGGTCTGGTTTTGGTCTGTTTATCAGCCTGCTGAGGAAGCTTTTCTCTGATGCTGCTGGACTTCTTGAGCAAAGTATACCTTGGAGCATTACTAGTATTTCAGAAGCTTCCTGTCAGTTGGTCTCAGACCCGAAACATTAGGCTTCTCTTCCCAGGCCCCATAGTCATTCTGTGACAGGTAGGAGAAGATCTGAAAGGTGGTTGTGGCTCCCAGGCTAAGGGGACTGACTTTTTCATGGGAGTTACATAACCCAGAGGGTAGGCACATTCTGGACTCCTTTGTCCAGAGGTGGTATGCACACTTGATAGGTTACATTCTAAAGAGTCCTCCTGCCCTTCCCAACAACTGCCTGGCTACCTGGCTACCTCTCCCTACCAATTTTAGATGGCAGGACGGGCATGGTGGCTCACGCCTATAATCCCACCACTTTGGGAAGCTGAGGCGAGTGGATCACTTGAGGTAAGGAGTTCGAGACCAGCCTGGCCAACATGGGGAAACTCCCATCTCTACTAAATATACAGAAATTAGCTGGGTGTGGTTGGGGTGCACCTGTAGTCCCGGTTACTCTGGAGGGAGAGGCTGGAGAATCGCTTGAACTCGAGAGGCAGAGGTTGGAGTGAGCTGAGCTGCGCCACTGCACCCCAGCCTGGGTGACAGAGCAAGACTCCGTCTCAAAAAAAAAAAATTAGATGGCAGGAAGAAGAATTGGTGTTTTCTTAAGATCTGCTTCTTAGGTGCCTGATACCTATCCTTCATAGTCTTCCCAGGAGGTCTATGCTTAATTTCATTTAGCCTGGGGCCATGTAGCAGCGGGCATTTGGACAAATGCAAGCAGAAACTCCCCTAAGGACTTAGTAATTTACAACTTGCTTTTCCTGTTAGAGCTCCTGTATCAATGGGAAGCCTCAGTCTTCTCTTGAAGACTAGGCAACCTATTGAAGGGGAAGAGAAAGTGCTGCCTGTCTAAGCTAGCATGTTTGGAAGGTCTCTGTTCCCACAATTGAGACCCTGATACAGATGTGTTTGACATAGGTCTGATGACTTTTTTTTTTTTTTTTTTTTTTTTTTTTTTTTTTGAGATGGAGTCTTGCTCTTGTTGCCCAAGCTGGAATGCAATGGGGCGATCTCGGCTCACTGCAACCTCCACCTCCTGGGTTCAAGTGATTCTCCTGCCTCAGCTTCCCGAGTAGCTGGGTTTACAGGTGCCTGCCACCACACTTGGCTAATTTTCGTATTTTTAGTAGAGATGGGGTTTCTCCATTTTGGCCAGGCTGGTCTTGAACTCCTGACCACAGGTGATCCGCCCGCCTCAGCTTCCCAAAGTGCTGGGATTACTGGCGTGAGCCACTGCGCCTGGCCGAGTCTCTGACATTTAATACTGTAAAAGAGGGCTAGTCTTGGTCCTTTGGGTGGTAGCTTTTATTCCAGTAGTTAGCATGGCAATTTTACCAGCCTCTTGCCTTTTTATCCTGTTTTCTCTAGATGCCTGATACGGAGGACTTCTGATATCCTTTCTAAATATCTGCCTGTGAAGATTGAGCAGGTCGTTTGTTGTAGGTACTGAACTCAACTGAAAGATGTGGAGTGGGTCAAAGCCTAGCTCCTGAAGCATGGCTGGGCTCTCAAGGTGTTCTCAGAGGGCAGGAGGGTGGTCTAGCTTTTTCCACTGACCCAGCTGCCTTTTTTAGGCTGACACCCCTTCAGACTGAGTTATACAAGAGGTTTCTGAGACAAGCCAAACCGGCAGAAGAATTGCTTGAGGGCAAGATGAGTGTGTCTTCCCTTTCTTCCATCACCTCGCTAAAGAAGCTTTGTAATCGTGAGTTGGGCTTGTGTCCTGGTGTCCTCTGTGAGAGTGAGCAAGGGAGGGTAGGTTCCTGTAGTGGCCTGGCAACCCTCACTAAAACTCGTCCAGAGTCATCCTCATAGAGGCCACATGTGATTCCAACCCTACCCAAGGCATGAACCCTGCATTGTGGAGTCTGTTTACCAGACCCTTTGCTTTGGAAAATTGAACTCATCTTCTGTCCAGCCCATGCTTGATGACCTGGGATGTGTCGACTGTTTGTGAGTGCTTGCATGTACACACGCTCATATACAATGTTGGGCAGGAGGAAAAATAACAAAGAAACCTTGCCTGCTCTGTTATAGCTCCCTTCTTGTTGGGAGAACACATTAGTGAGTGAGATTGTCCATCCATCGTCCCAGATGGCACCGACTATATCCTGTTGGAATTTGGTAGGATGAAGATCAAGCAAGTCTGATGTTGAGGAAGGCCTTTTGGGCTAGGCTTCTAGAGGGAGTTCTAGTGAACACTGAAGTGGAAACTTCAGAAAGCAAAGTATCTGGGTTTTGTTTTGTTTTCTCCCAGATCCAGCTCTAATCTATGATAAGTGTGTGGAAGAGGAGGATGGCTTTGTGGGTGCCTTGGACCTCTTCCCTCCTGGTTACAGCTCTAAGGCCCTGGAGCCCCAGCTGTCAGGTGACCCTTTTCCTACCAGTATTTGGGCTTCTCTAGGAGGAGGGTGGGAGATTTTTTTTTGTGCTAGGGCTGTCCTGTTTCAAGGCAGGATATCAAGAGTAAGAAGCCTGGGCCATTGGGACAGCCAGTAGGGGACTGCTGGTTGCTGCTCTTCCCAGGTAAGATGCTGGTCCTGGATTATATTCTGGCGGTGACCCGAAGCCGTAGCAGTGACAAAGTAGTGCTGGTGTCGAATTACACCCAGACTTTGGATCTCTTTGAGAAGCTGTGCCGTGCCCGAAGGTAGGGAAGATCCTAACCAGGATGCCAAAGGGGGATATACCCCTCCCCTACTGTCTGTCTAGTTCTGATTTGTGGATGTGGGCCAAGATCTGGGCACATAAGGGCTTTCCCTGGAGATATCTTCCCTTATTGCTATGATGGCCTCAGCTCTATCTCCAAGTAGAAGATCCCCTAGTCCTTCAGGTACTCCCTTAGGAAAGAGTCTTGGCCTCTAGCTCCCTGCCCCTGCCTTTGGGAGCTTAGGGCCTCAAGCATGGTTATTTCAGTCCCTTCAGTGGCTCTCCAAGGGACTCTGCTTTCTTGGGTCTTTTTAAAAAAATTTTTATTTTTAATTTTTTTTCCCCCTAATCATTGAAGCTTTATTTTCTTGGGTCTCGAATCCCCCTTCAGGTACTTATACGTCCGCCTGGATGGCACGATGTCCATTAAGAAGCGAGCCAAGGTTGTAGAACGCTTCAATAGTCCATCGGTAAATGCACATCCCCGTCCCCACACCACCAATGCAGTATCATCAGAATTAAGGAATGATAGAGAAGCTATAAGGGGTTACCTTGATTTTTTTTTTTTTTAATTCCCCTAGTGGATATAGTAGGATTTGTCTGGTTGGTGATGGCTGGGCTGGAAACTGACTGTGTGTGTTGGGATTGGCTGGCTGGTGAGCAGATAAACTGGTGGTTTTCACAATTGGTACTGAGTAGTATAGAGGCATGAGGGAGGAGCTGGTTGGGCTGAGCAGGATCCCAGTTTAGGCTATAAGAGGTTCCTTTTCTCCTGTTTCTTCTCTTTCCAGAGCCCTGACTTTGTCTTCATGCTGAGCAGCAAAGCTGGGGGCTGTGGCCTCAATCTCATTGGGGCTAACCGGCTGGTCATGTTTGACCCTGACTGGAACCCAGCCAATGATGAACAAGCCATGGCCCGGGTCTGGCGAGATGGTCAAAAGAAGACTTGCTATATCTACCGCCTGCTGTCTGTAAGGATGGTGATAGTAGTCATAGTAGGGGTGGGTCATGGAACGAGATCTTCAGGACCATCTTGTTCCTTAGTGCCTCTCTTTGGCCTTTCTGCCTCTAGCAGTAGCCAAGCTATGGGCCCAGAAGTGAGTCTTTTATTCTTCTGTTCTCCCTCCCCTTCTCTCCACCCCATTCCCTCAAACCATTCTTACTGTGCCATCTGGACACCTGTTCAGTACATCCTTTTCACAGGACACCTGCTTCCCTCATACATGATTTCTGCTGTGTCACTGGCCTTGTAGTCTTCTCTCATCCCCTGTCCTATTTGCATTCTCCAAGTTATAAATTATCACCTTCAGACCATCCGTCCCATAGTTCCTTTCTTGCAGCTTATGTCGTTGGACTTGACTACACTCTTTTCTTCCTTGCTGCAGTCCTCTATCCTCTGCTATATTCCTAATTCATTGATGACTTTGGACATTAGCTCAGCCTTCATTTCTTTCCCAAATCCAGCAATCATACTGGCTGACGTTGAGGACCATGTGGTTATCCAGCACTCTGGCCTTCATGTTTCCTTGACCTCATCTCAACCCCGCTTCGTCTAATTATTCCTAAGATCACACCGTGGAACTTGTTAGAACCCAGAACCTTAATAACTGTCATTCTACTTTCACTTCTTGTCCTCCTAGCTTTCACATACCTGCTGTATCTGCTTCAGCCTAATGTTCCTGTAGCCTCTCCCCTTCCCACCCTCCCACTCATCTGGCTTGACTTCCTTGTTTATTTAGCCCAGTCTTCACTGTGCATCCTTTCAGCTACTCTTTTCCCAATACCCATTCCAATTGGATTATTTGAGCTGTTTTCAGCTTCTACACCAGCTACATTGCATTTACATGTTGGTACTACCACAAATTCATGTTCTCTTTTTGAGGTGGGCCATATCTCATTTCCTTCAACCATTTCAAGCATCTACCATTTCTCTCAAATTTCCTACCTAACTCATCTTCTTTCTACTCACTCATCAGACTCCTTATACCACTGAACCTACCTTCAAATATACTACTGAATTCCTAATTGCCAAAACAGGAGACTATGAATTTTTCCTCTTCGTGTATCTCACACTGTTGACTACTAATCCCTTAAAAAATGCTCTTCTAGGCTGGGTGCTGGAGGATCACTTGAGGCTAAGAGTTCGAGGCTATAGTGAGCTAGGATTGTGCCACTCTAGCCTGGGTGACAGAACAGGATCCCGTCTTAAAAAAAAAAAAAATTTTTTTTCTCGTCTTTGGAAACTCCACTCTGGTTCTTCTACCTCTCTGATTACTCATTATACTGACAAATCTCTAACTATAAAATTTTAGCCCAGATCTCTTACCTGAGCTCTAAATCCCTATTTCTACCACTTAATCTACATTTCCACTTAGATTTCTAATGAGCACTTTAGAAGTATCATGACTAAACTCATTCCCCTTCCTTCTGATTGATTAACTGATTGATTTTGAGACACTTTCTTTCTGTTGCCTAAGCTGGAGTATAGTGGCACGATCATGGACCACTGCAGCTTCAACCTCCCACCTCAACCCCCTGAAGTAGCTGGGGCTACAGGTGTGTGCCACCACACCCGGATAACTTTTTTTCTTTATTTTTTGTAGAGAAGGGGTCTTGCTATGTTGCCTAGGCTGGTCTCGAACATCTGGACTCAAGCGATCCACCTTGGCCTTCCCAAGTGCTGGGATTAACGGCATGAGCCACCACACCTGGCTCCCCTTCTGAATGTTGTTCTTAATGGCTCCATTATCCACCCAACCCAAAACTGGGAATAATCTTACTGGACTATTCTTTTCTCCTAATAACCAGATTCCCACCAGTTTTCACTGATTTTTACCTTCTTGAAATTTCCTTAATCTAACCTTGCTCTCCAAGCCCTCCTGAGGTCATGGTCATCTGTCACTTGGATATTGCAGCAGCTTCCTAATTGTTTACTTCTGTCTTATCCCAACCCATTGTTCACATACTGCTTCCAGAAGGAGCTTTCCAAAAATTCAGATTTTATTTTTCGTCTCTTCGAAGACAAGATTAAGGCCTTCAGCATGGCATCCAAGGTTTGTTTTTTGTTTTTTGAGATGGAGTCTTGCTCTTGCTGCCCAGGCTGGAGTGCAATGGCACCATCTCAGCTCACTGCAACCTCTGCTTCCCGGGTTCAAGCGATTCTCCTGCTTCTCCTGAGTAGCTGGGATTACAGGTGCCCACCACTACCCCTGGCTAATTTTTGTATTTTTAGTAGAGACAGGGTTTTGCCATGTTGGTCAGGCTGGTCTCGAACTCCTGACTTTGTGATCTGCCTGCCTCGGCCTCCAAAATTGCAGGGATTACAGGCGTGAGCCACCGTGCCTGTCCCCAAGGTTCTTTAATGTGGCCTCTGCTGACTTCCCAGTCTCAGCTCTTACTATACTCCCACCAACCTCCAGTTAGCCTGAACTACTCACAGTCCTCCAATAGGCCAGTAGTATTCCTTTGTTCCTATGCTGGGAATACCTTTCTTTGTGTCTTTTCTTACAAACCATCTACTCATTTTCAAGATTGAGCTCAAGGATAGAGTTTCAAGTTTTCAATACTGTTCTACTCTACCATCCTTATGGACTCGCAGTTACCCTGTATAGATTTCTATCATTGTATCAACTGTTTAAATGTTTGTCTAGGAGCTAAAGGATAGGGGATATATATGATTCTTTTTTGTATGCTAATGTCAGCACAGGGTCTGGAATAGAATAGATACCTAAATGATATTTATTGAATGAGTTAGAGTTGGGCTTGGTGCAGAAATCTGAAGCTGCAGCAGACAAACCTCAGTTCACCCTGACGGGATTTAGCCAGGCCCTGGGACCCTTCATTAGTATAGAAAGTAGCCTGGGTGGGCAGACTATTCATGTCATGTTCTCAGGAGACAGACTGGGAAAATGGACCTCAGCTGAGTAGAGATAATGTTCTGGGACTCATACTTTTTATTCATCTCCTCTTCTCGGGTAGCTGTAGTTTCAACCCTTTGGTTTTCCTGCTCCCTTTTTATGAGGATGGCTAAGCGCTGTATCTTTTGACATTCCCCACCTCCTCTTCCCCAGGCAGGGACCATTGAGGAGAAGATCTTCCAGCGTCAGAGCCACAAGAAGGCACTGAGCAGCTGTGTGGTGGATGAGGAGCAGGATGTAGAGCGCCACTTCTCTCTGGGCGAGTTGAAGGAGCTGTTTATCCTGGATGAAGCTAGCCTCAGTGACACACATGACAGGTGGGGAAGTGCCCTAACCATTATCTCTAAGCTACCCACACAGTAGGGAGATGGGATCTGTAGTGACTTCAGCTGTGCCTTCTGTCCCTAGGTTGCACTGCCGACGTTGTGTCAACAGCCGTCAGATCCGGCCACCCCCTGATGGTTCTGACTGCACTTCAGACCTGGCAGGGTGGAACCACTGCACTGATAAGTGGGGGCTCCGGGATGAGGTACTCCAGGCTGCCTGGGATGCTGCCTCCACTGCCATCACCTTCGTCTTCCACCAGCGTTCTCATGAGGAGCAGCGGGGCCTCCGCTGATAACCAGCTGGTCTGGGTGTAGCTCTTAGAGGAAGGAGATAGGGAAAAGGGGCTCCTTGCTCCACAGGGCCCTGTTGAATTTTGTTCTCTGGGAGAAAATCATCAAGAAGGGCTGCATGATGTTTGCCCAAAATTTATTTTATAAGAAAAACTTTTTTGGTTAAAAAAAAGAATAAAGGTATGAAAGGGTTTGAGGCCTGAGAGCAGTGTGGTAAGCCCAGCAGGGAAGAAGCCCCCTATACTTCTCTAAAGCCTGGGTGCCTGCTTGAGGAGGGAAGGCAGGAACCCAGGGGCAGGGGAGGGGATCTCTTCAGCAATTATGATGACCACTGTAACCTCCTGGCCCAGGGTTCCCAGGATACTGAGTAAGGGGCCCAAAGACTATAAACCCAGCTGTGAGAATGCCTGTTTGCTGGGCCTCATCAAGGCCTCCAGGACCTCAGTGCAAGGGAAGAAGGAAAAAAGAGAAAAAAGGTGACAGAAAGAGAAAGATAGAACTGGTGGTTGGGGTTCTGGGCAGCCCATGCTTCAGCCCCTGCAAGCTGATGGTACCGAGCATGAGACTGTGAGGTACGGGCCCCATCACATGGTGCTAACATAATCTGCGAAGGCCTGGGATGAGTCCCATGAGTCGCTAACCACATGGCAGGTAGCCCGGAGCCGCCGGATGGCTTCCCTGGCTGTGACTGCATCCTGGTCCAGCCAGTTTTGGAAGAGGCGCAGGTGACCAAAGGCTCCACGGCCCCAGCGCTCCAGCCGCTTGGCGAACTCCAGAAGCCCATCTGGCTTGATGCAGTTGGAACTGGTAGGGTGAGATGGATTAGATATCCAGGAAGCAGTGAATTCCTGGTCTATATCTCTGTAGCCCCATCCCTTGTCTTGCCCCTCCCCTCATGTACCTGATGTCCAGCTGACAGAGAGAGGAGGATGAATCCTCTGAGAAAACATCTGCCAAGGCCAGCAGGCCAGCATTCCCTGGAGAGAAGGGGAGAACGCCTATCACCTCCACCCAAGAACAGGGGACAAGGGTATCCCAACCCAACTATGGCTGGCAGAACCAGCCCTGCTGGTTCCTGAAGCCCCAGCACAGAAATATCTGTATTCCAACTCCCACGTTCCCAGTGGAGAGGTCTTTGCCTTTATCCAGTGAGTTTTTAGGTCAAAGGCCTAGCTCCTTTCCCCTCTCCCTCCCCAGGGTCTGGCCCCCACCCAGGCGGTTCCCTGGCAGCCGGAGGCCCTTCAGTGTGGAGTTGCCCTTCATAGCAGCAACCATCTCAGGCAGAAATTGGGCTGGGCGCTTCTCAAACAGACGGCAGAAGGAGAAGGTAATCTCTGTCAAGAAAAATTATAGTAAATTCTGATGGCTGCATTAGGACTGGTGCTGCCCCTCCTGCCCCAGTTGGCCCTAGCAAGGGGTATTAACATTATAGAGGCCCAAAAAGAGGAAGGAATTTGTCTAGACTCCAAGCAAGGCTGGAACTAAATCAGAATCCAAACTAAAGACTGAACCTAAATGTTCCCTATAAGAAGGTTCTCTGCATGGACAATTCTCCATTCACTTCCTTCTTTCCCTAACACTGGCCACCCTCTATGCGGGGGTGGGGATCAGAGAAAAGTCTATGAGGGGAGCCTGGCACAGTACATTTATTTTGCCCCACCACCACCATTTTGTCCACCTCTGAAAGGTAAGAGCAACTTTTGGGTGAAGCACTCTAAAAGAGCGATTTCTCATGTTTAGTAGAGGAGGAATTGAGGTTGGGGCTTTTAGAAGGAAAATCATGCAGGTTCTATATCCATTTTATAGCTGAGGACACAAGGCCAAGAAAGGAACAGTGGTTTGCTCACTCAGATTATGGCAGAACCATAGTGAAGACCCAGGAAATGTCCAGGTTCTGAATAAGGAACTTACCTTGCAGAGTCAGATTCTGTAGCAAAAAGAGCACCTCGCTCTGACAGTCAGCGAGATTCATGTCATGGAAGCTCAGTCTTTTCAGGGCTAGGTTGTACTCTGGATAGGAGGCAGAGACCATGGACCATGGACCTTAGCTTTCCTAGAGAACAGTGCTAGGTCCCCACCTACTCCTCTCCCTTCACCATTCTGGCTGGGTCCTACCTTTGAGTGTTTGCAAAACAAGCCCAAAATCCTGGGGAGAGGCAAAGGTGGCACTATCCAGGGACAGCTGCTGCAGAGAACCCGAGGCCTTCAGAACGGAGCACAGCAGTGGGGCTGGCTGGGCTCCCCGTGGAAATCCCATCTCCAACTGCTCCAGGCAGTTTTCTGGATATGGTGGGGAAAGAAGATTCCAGCTGGCCATCTCTACCTCACTCCCATAGCAGGTCCCATCCTGTTCTTAAGGGATTCATCTAAAAAATTATTTATTCATTCACTTGTCGTTGAGTGCCTACCATATGTCAGCACTGTGCTAGATTCTAGGAATTGAGCACTAAATATGAGATTTAGTCCTTGCCCTTGTAGAAATTTTAGACCAGGAAGACAGGCTACCCAGACACAAGCAAATAAAGTATGCAGAGTGGTGGGATAGGAGACATACAAGAACTAAGGGAACATACAGCAGGGGAACTAATCCAGTCTAAAGATCAGTTCTTTTCCTTTTCTGGAGACCAAGCTGCCTTGGTCACTCTCTGCTGGTCTTATGGTGGTTTAGGCCCTGTCTAGCTCAAGAGTATCTTAGTGGTAGGCTCTAAAGGGGGGATAGGTTCCAGATAAGCCAGGAATGAGTGATAGAAGAGGTCCTTCCCCTTTCCCCATACGAATGCATCTGCACCTTTGTGTGGGGATACACGTGCGTGCACACACACAAACACACACACAGTGCTTCACCTGGTATCTCCTCATCGCCTATTATGTGGCTAGGGGGCCCTGCATTCCCTGGCACACCAGGGTTGTCCCGCTGGCTTGGGTGGTCAACACGAATAGAGAGGACCCGTAGCAGGGGCAGTGCTCGCACGATAGCACGTGTCAGCTCCAGGATGGGCAGTGGTGAGAACAGGTCACTGAGATGCAGGGCACGGAGGCGACATCCAGCCTGGCCTGACAGGGCCCGCAGGCTGTCTAGCAGGCGGAAGATGTTAGAGCCCAGGCCTATGGCAAGAAAGAGATTAAGTCAGAACCATGTGGGAGTGTCAGCAGGGGTAATATATTCAAATACAACTCCAAATACTTTTGGTTACTAGCAAATCTCTTGGGCTTTGGCTCAGCTTATTTAAACCCATTTGTCTTAACTACTCATCCATGTCTTGCTTTTTCCTTAGGTAACCAGCAAACTGAGGTCTGCTGTTTTGGGTTATGCCCACAAGAAGCACCAGTCAGGGCAGAGTCACAAAATTGAGAAGATACAATATGGTGAGGCAGCATGTGGCTACTAGCTGAATGACAGGCACAGACAGTAGCAGTTCTCTGGATTTCTGGGTTCTGAGTAGTTTTCTGAAGAAACTGGCCTTGAAGGAAGGAAGTTTTGGATAGAGGGAGAAGACATAGTCAAGAGTCCCAGCTAGCCGGGAGCGGTGGCTCACGCCTGTAATCCCAGCACTTTGGGAGGCCAAGGTGGGCAGATCACTTGAGGCCAGGAGTTCCAGACCAGCCTGGCCAACATGGTGAAACCCTGTCTCTACTAAAAATACAGAAATTAGCTGGGCTGGGTGGCACATGCCTGTAGTCCCAGCTACTCGGGAGGCTGAGGCAGGAGAATCACTTGAACCCAGGAGACGGAGGTTGCAGTGAGCTGAGATCACGCCACTGCACTCCGGCTTAGGTGAAAAAGCAAGACTGTCTCAAAAAAAAAAAAAAAATCACAGCTAGGAGAGTGCAAGGCATGAATGAGACGCTTGCTTGTTTGGCTACATGAGGCTCAGGAAACAGCTCTAGAGGGCAGGGCACTGGAGGCCACATTATGGAAAGGCAAAGGGATGGTTTAACCTAGACGCAATAGGGAGCACCTAAAAACTATGGAGAGTGACAGTGACCCAACTGGGATACTTAAAAGAATCAATGGGTGGGAATGGGGCAGGAAAAGATAACCAAATCCCACAGCATGGACTAGGATCCAGGAAGGTTGGTTGCTTAATGCCACAGGCAAATAATTCCTTGGACTATGCAGGCTCCTGTTCATTCATTCAACTACCCAGTGCCTACTAAATATCAAGTTTTTTGCTAGACACTAGTGAGCAGCACATTGCTTTTTTTTCTTACATAGCTTGATAATGCGATGGGAACTGGGGGAATAAAGTACTATGAAATTACAAAGGATGAGTACCTAGTCCAGCTTACATCAGTAAAGGCACTCCAGCTAAGTCCTAAAGAACATAAAGGGGACAGGCTAAAATTTAGGAAGAATGATTGTGGCAGAGGCAACTTGGCATATGTAGAGGCCTGAAGGAGAACAAAAAAATTTCATAATGGCTGGTGTGAGAGTGTGAAGGGGGGAAGCATTCAAGATACAACTATAGGCCAGGTGTGGTGGCTCACACCTATATAATCCCAGCACTTTGGGAGGCTGAGGTAGGCAGATCACCTGAGGTCGGGAGCCCAAGACCAGCCTGGCCAACATAGTGAAACCCCGTCTCTACTAAAAATACAAAAATTAGCTGGGCATGGTGGCATGTGCCTGTAATCCCAGCTACTGAGTCAGTAGAATTGCTTGGACCCGAGAGGCGGAGGTTGCAGTAAGCCAAGATTGCACCATTGCACTCCAGCCTGGGTGACAACAGAGACTCCCTGTCAAAAAAAAAAAAAAAAAAGATACAACTATAGAGATAACCAGGAGTAAGAATATGAATGACCACTAAGTAAAATTAAGCCATTGAAGGGTGTTTGCATAAATGAATGACAGGGTCATTTTTGACTGATTTTTTTAAAGAATCAAGACTGCATTTTTCAAAGGATGCTTGGGCTGCAGTGCAGATAATGGATTTGTATGGCAAGAGTAAGGAGTCCGGAGGAACTACTGAAATTAGTTCAGGTAGTGGGTAATGGTAGCTTGAATTAAGGATGTGGAGATAGAGAAATAAATGTATTTAACAAATTGTAAAGATAGGGCTGGGCTTAATGGCTCATGACTATAATCTCAGCACTGTAGGAGGCCGAGGTTGGTGGATCACTTGAGGCCAAGAGTTCGAGACCAGCCCGGCCTATATGGGGAAACCCTGTCCTTACTAAAAATATAAAAATGCATTCAAGTTGGATGTAATGAGTTGGGTGGGGTATTGTGGGTTATGAAGTTGTCATGTCTACTAGCTGGATAAATGGGTCTGGAAGTTCAAGAGAAAGATCTGGGGTAATGTCACATAATGGGGAGTCTTTAGCATAGTTGGCCTTTGAAACCACAGGAATGGATGAAATTGTCCAAGAAGCGTGCATAAAGTGGGAAAGCTCTGAGGAACTCTGAATAAACAGAGGAGGAGAAAACTTTTTTTTTTTTTTTGAGATGGAGTCTCACTCTGTTGCCCAGGTTAAAGTGCAGTAGTGCAGTGGCACGATCTCCAGTCACTGAGTAGCTGGGATTACAGGCGCCCACCATCACGCCTGGCTAATTTTTGTATTTTTAGTAGAGATGGGGTTTCACCATCTTGGCCAGGCTGGTCTTGAACTCCTGACCTCGTGATCCACCCACCTTGACCTCCCAAAGTGCTGGGATTACGGGCGTGAGCCACTGCGCCCGGCCAAGAAAACATTTTTTAAGGTAGTGAAAAAAAATTTAATGAACAGCAGTAAATCCTGCCAAGAAGAGTTACTGAAAAGTATACATTGGATCTAGTAACAAGGAGGACCCTGATGACATAGGTCCTTGCCAGTGCAGTGGTAGGGGTATAAGAGGCTGGAAGGGGCTGTGAGTAAGAGAAGTGGAAACAGTACAGATAACTAAGGTTGTGAAGAACAGGAGATAACAGTTTATTAATATGGCATAGAGGGAGGTGGTGGTGGCAGTTTTTGATGGAGACCTGTTAAAATGCTGATAGGAGAGAGACGGTGGAAAGGAGAGTAGCATAGTTGTTTGAAAGCATGAATCTGCAGTCTGGTTGCCTGGGTTTTGAATCCTAGCTCTATAATTGCTAGGTTATCCTGAGGAAGTCACTTGCCCTCATAGGGTTGTGAGGATTGTTAGATCAAATTATCAAGAATACTTAAAATATGCCAGACACATACTAAGCAGTATATAAAAATTAGTTTGAGAAACAAGCTTCCCTAAGAAGGTAGAATGCTTGTTTCTCAAACTGGTAATTTTTATATACTTTGTTGTGAAGCTCTATGCATCTAGAGCACAGGTGGGAGAATTAGCCTTAGAAAGGATGGTGGTCTCTTCTATTCTGGTAAAGAAGGATGAGTGCAGATGGAGAGTTTATAGGCTGCTTAGCAAGCTAAAGAAACTCATGTGTGATGGCTTCTATTTTCTCTGTGAAGTAGGTGAGGTCATCCCTGAGAAGGGAAAAGGAGAGTTTGGAAGTGGTAGGAATGGGAGCTGATGTTGCAAGCACAGTGAAGGTTCATACGAGGTTAGTGATCATATAGTAACACTGATTTGCATAGTTGTATGATTTGTCTCTAGCAGTGCTCAGCAACCTA
The DNA here is from genome assembly GCF_000001405.40 of Homo sapiens. Lineage (NCBI taxonomy): Eukaryota > Metazoa > Chordata > Mammalia > Primates > Hominidae > Homo > Homo sapiens. Next base: position 46,284,863 of record NC_000001.11, read on the forward strand.
GGCGGATTGCTGGATTTAGCCAGAGTTGAGGTTTTGCTAGCTGGTCACAAGCAGGAGGGAAATGAGGACTGAGGACTGCTTTGCAGGTTGTTGGTCTGATAAGAAATTGTGTCCCACACCTTGTCTGGACAGCTACTCTGATATGACTGGTGAGGTGGTGAGGTCAAACTCTAGCCCTGCCTGAGCATGCATATACTATACTGCTCCCACCTGCCCTTGGACTGCCTTCCATATCTAAAATGTATTCATTCTTCAGATTCCAGCTGGCTTGTCTCACTGCCCCTCAGGAACCCCTGCTTTCAACAACTAATCAAGTGTATAGACTTTATGTTCCTCTCTTCTAGCAATGACAGTCTCCCCTGCTATGAGGCATACAAGCCTTCCTCTCTAACCTCCTGATCATACCCCCAATTTGCCCCTCCCACCTCCCTAGAATTAGGCACACAGCTGGTGCTGCTAGGCAATCTAAGCCCAATCCCTGCCACTCCAGGGTGCTCACCATTGTAGGAGAGTGTGAGGCTCTCCAGTGACACCCAGGAGCTCAGCAGGTGGCATAGTGTCAGGGCTGCCTCTGTGGAGAGTGGAACTGTGAATAGCTCCAAGGTGGAGATGCTGCGGAATCTTTGTGAAGCTTCCAGTGCTGGAAGCCCCAGGCAGCTGGGATCTGATCCATCCAAAGCTCCACAAGCCACTTCCCCAATCTCCATCTCTTCGCCATCCTCCTTCTCGCCAGCCACAATAAAAACGAAGTCATACAGGTCTTCAGACTCTGCACCAGGCCCCTGACGGGTGCGAGCACCCTTCTTCCCTGCAGCTCGCTTGAAACGCTTTAGGGGCTTAGGCTGTGGGGCTGAGCTAGCTGGTGCCCGTTTGTATGAGGATGTAGAAGAAGAGGCAGAGGAGGTGGCTGCTGGAGCAGAAGGTGACCGCTTGGTGCCAGGAGCCTCATGGGAGGTGGCTGGGGGGTGCAGCTCCCTCTTAAGGTCTGTTCCGCCTGCTGTCAGGCTCTCCTGTGTGCTCCGGCGTGTTACCCGAGTGGCAGGTGCAGCTCTGGGCATCTGCTTGGCTTCACTCTTACGCCGGCTGGCCATCAGGGCTGCAGCACATCGCTCAGCAGCATCCCGGCGGGGCCGACGTGAGCCCAATAAGAGGGACCCTTCATCTCGGGATGGGGCCCGGCCTCGGGAGGCCTCTCCACAGAGGCGGCAGGGTGGGCCACCAGGCCCTGGTTGCCAGAAGCCAGCACTCATGGTGAGAATAAGGATGAAAAGGGCTGACTCAGGCACAGGCCAGGAGTATAGCGACACTTGACTGACAGCCCCATGGTGAATGAGCTGATGCAACAGCTGCCGAAGTGACTGCTGAGCAGCCACATCAGAGAACAGCAGGTGGCGGAACTTGAGAGTGTGCAGGGAGCTGGCCAGGGTCTCCAGAACCCTGCGGTTGGGCTCAGCCACCAGCTCGGTTGCACCCTGCAGCATGTTACAGATGGTGAGCTGTCGGACATGGCGGGAGCTGTGCAGAAGAGGTGAGAACCGCTGATCACAAAGACGCCTGTCAGAAGACACATCAATGGTCCCACGTAGAACATGGGAAAAAAAGGCCTCCATAAACTTGGCTCGCCAACATGTCACACTCTGAAACGCAGAAAACATGCCAGACAGCCATGATATATCCATGAAACTGTCCAAATTTCCCTCTCTTCCAATAGCACACTATTTACTGAGTCAGGCAACACTACAAATTCATTTAATCTTCACATCTCTGAGGTATGTATTATTATTAGCCCTATTTTACAGGTAAAACCGAGGCACAAAGAGGTGGCCACACAGGTAAGTGGTTGGATTATTTGAACCCTGGAAATCTGGTTCCAGAGACCATGCTTTTATTATAGTGTCTCCACTGAAACACTCACCCCTGTAAGTTCTTCCATGTTTGTTTCTAGAACCTTATCCCAATTTTTTTTTTCTTTTTAAGATAGAGTCTCACTTTGTAGCCTAGGCTGGAGTGCAGTGGTGTGATCTCAGCTCACTGCAACCTCTGCCTCCCAGGTTCAAGTGATTCTCGTGCCTCAGCCTCCAGAGAAGCTGGGATTACAGGCGCCCGCCACCACACCTGGCTAATTTTTGTATGTTTCATCATATTGACCAGGCTGGTCTTGAACTCTAGACCTCAAGTGTTCCGTCCGCCTTGGCCTCCCAAAGTGCTAGGATTACAGGTGTGAGTCACCGCACCTAGCCCCTTATCCCAACTTCATTTTTTTTTAGACGGAGTCTCACTCTGTCGCCCAGGCTGGAGTCCAGTGGCGTGATCTCGGCACACTGCAAGCTCTGCCGCCCGGGTTCACACCATTCACCTGCCTCAGCCTCCCGAGTAGCTGGGACTACAGGCACCCGCCACCACGCCAGGCTAATTTTTTGTATTTTTAGTAGAGATGGGGTTTCACCCTGTTAGCCAGGATGGTCTCGATCTCCTGACCTCATGATCCGCCCGCCTCGGCCTCCCAAAGTGCTGGGATTACAGGCGTGAGCCACCACGCCTGGCCTCCAACTTCTGATTCTTACCACCACCAGCCCCTTATCACCTCACACCTGACCACTAGCTTCCTGATTGCTTTCCCTGTCCCCAAAGTAGTGTTGTAAAACACTAATTACATCATACTGCTTTAAAACCCTAATGTCTCCCTACTGCCCTTCCACCCTCTGCCTGAGAAGCTTTATTTCCCACATCTTGCTTATGAGAATGCTTTGCTCTAGCCAAGCTGGTCACCCCACGGACTTGAACCTGCCTATGTCCTTTCCTACATCTACCAGAAATGTCTCCATTGCTGAATTAGACTTCCTGAAAGAACTTAGAAACATGTCATTTGAGATTCTTGTTGGGACTCCTCTGACACTCTGACTACTCAAGACTAAGAGGCTGGTATGTTGTCTCATGGTGTTGAGTCCCTTTGCCTGTGTACATGTCTTATCCCAGCCAGATTAGAAATTCTTAGAAAGCAGAAACCAAATCTTGATTTGTTTCTTCCAAGGCAACAGTTATTTATTTTGACGGATAGGAAATCTCATCAGACTATTCTGCACTTGATCTTAGCCAAAAGGCCGAGAAGCGATTCATCAGACTATTCTGATGTGTTTAATACAACTCTGAATGCAAGTGATTCTCAGCCTTTGGTGCACATCAGAATTCCCTGTGGAGCTTTTCTTCCCCAAAATTCATATACCAGACACCCAGACTTGGTGATTCTATGTTACATCTGAGGTAAGGTCAAGACATCTTTATTGTTTGAACCATCCCAGATGTTTCTGATGTATATCAGAGGTTAGGAATTACTGCTGATCCAGAAGGGCACACCAAGACAAAGACAGGTACCAGACCCCAAAGTTTCTAATTTAAGATGATCCCTAAGTCATCTCAGGGGCAGTAGAAAGTCAGGTCCCAGCTCTTTCACTATACTCTGGACTTCTCTGAACCTCTTCCCTCATCTGCAAAATGTAGATAACCTGCTTCACAGGATTGTTGTGAAGATCAAAATGAAGTAGTACAAATTAAAGCACTTTGTAAACTGTAAGATATAAAAAATGTTACTGCTGCCACTGCTATTAGCCTAGCTGGGATATGAAATGGAGGCAGAGCCTGTTAAGCATGGTGCTCATTCAGACTAAAGCCAAGGCTGTGGGGGCCTGAGGTTCCCCAAGACTAAAACATTTCTTTGATCCTTACCCTGCCTCCATGCATTCCTCCATACTGGAGTGACTCTCAGTTCCTATTTGAGGTTCTTAGAAGGAACTAGGCCTCTGCTGTCCTCAAGCAAAAGTGTCATTCCTGTTGCCTTAGCTATTTCCCCAGACTCCACTTACTGTGGTAATAGTTAGGAATGACTTCCTGCTTGAAATAACTGCATAGCAGCAACACAGAAAGGCCTTGCTCATCAGCAGCAGGACATTAAGAGCAGGAAAAACAATACCTGGCAACCAAATCTCTGCTCAACTTTGAGTGAAGGCAAAGAAGGTATCCTTCGGTCCTACCTCACACTAGCACTTTTCCTACAGATTTGCTGGCCCACACCCAGTCTTGAAAAACACTTGCAGGTAACCTTAGCAAGGCTTCAGCTTTATAAGTGAGTGAGTCAGATGGTTATTACAATATCTGTGCCTAAAATATGGACAAAGATGGTGAGTCAAGATATTGTGGCTGTTTCTGGCTATAAGAGGCACAGGGGAAATATAGGTTAGATAGGTAAATACTGGACTTTTTCAGACATGTTAATGGTTGATGAAGACAATGGGAGACAGAATATTTGGAACACCCCAGACACAACTGCAGTGAGCAGCATGACACAGTGATCAGGAACATGCACTCCAGAAGCAGACTGCTTCAACCTGAATCTGGGTCTGCCATTCACTAACTGTAATTTAGGCAAGTCATTTCACCTCTTTCTGCCTTAGTTTCATCATCTATAAAGTGGAAGATCACTATACTGACATCACAGCATTTTTGTGACAGTTAAATGAGTAAAGTTATGACAGCTCTCAGTGGCTTCTTTCTCACAAATTAACGTACGAGCAGACAAGAGATCATGAAGTTTTATTCCATCACCACTCTTAAGAATCTATGGGCCGGGCGCGGTGGCTCACACCTGTAATCCCAGCACTTTGGGAGGCCGAGGCGGGGGGGATCACAAGGTCAGGAGATCGAGGCCATCCTGGCTAACACGGTGAAACCCTGTCTCTACTAAAATACAAAAAATTCGCCGGGCGAGGTGGCGGGTGCCTGTAGTCCTGGCTACTCAGGAGGCTGAGGCAGGAGAATGGCGTGAACCCGGGAGGCGGAGCTTGCAGTGAGCTGAGATCGCGCCACTGCACTCCAGCCTGGGCGATAGAGCAAGACTCCGTCTCCAAAAAAAAAAGGAGTCTATGCTAAAATTCGAAGCTGAGAGATGCTTGAGATCTAGTCCAGACCACTCATTTTATGGACTCGTATGCTATCACGATGCAAAGTGATTTAGTACTTTGTTTTCTGTGAGGGTAAGGGAAATGAGGCATGATCAATGAGGTGAAGTGATGTTTGCCCAACAACACAATCCTTGGCCCATCCTCAGTGGGCTGGTAGGGGAAGAGGAAGTATTTGTACAAACTAGGGAGGGCTAAACATCTTGTGCTAACTTGTTAGAGCCAACAATATTCAGAAACTATATTTTGTTCATTATTTTGCTGATACCAGAAATACTGTGTGTGGATAGAGAAGCAAATGAAAAATCATGGACGAGGCATGGTGACTCATGCATGTAATCGCAGTACTTGGGGATGCCAAGGTGGGCAGATTGCTTGAGTCCATGAGTTTGTGATCAGCCTGGGCAATGTGACAAAACCCTATCTCTACTAAAAATAGAAAAAATGTAGCTGGGCATAGTGGTGCATGCCTGTAATCCAGCTACTTGGGAGGCTGAGGTGGGAGGATCGCCTGAGCCTGGGAGGTTGAGGCTGCAGTGAGCTAAGATCGTGCCACTGCACTTCAGCCTGGGCAACTGGAGTGAGACCGTCTCAAAAGTGTAAACTAACTCTGGAGTATTTACATATATGAGAGTACCTATATATATTTGTTTTTACAACATTGAGACAATTCTGAACAGTTTCAAATGCTGGGCTTTTAAAACATACCATGTATTCAAATATTTTTAGAATATTTTATTTTGAAAATGTGTACCATATGTAATAATACTTGCTGTATTTAATATTTCCATTGTTTCTAGCTTTTTTTTTTTTTTTTCCTCTGTCGCCCTGGTCTGGGCTGGAGTGCAGTGGTACAATATTAGCTCACTGAAACCTCTGCCTCCCGGGTTCAAGCAATTCTTGTGCCTCAGCCTTCCAAGTAGCTGAGACTACAGGCACACAACACCATGTCCAGCTAATTTTTTGGTATTTTTTAGTAGACAGGGTTTCGCCATGTTGGCCAGGCTGGTCTCAAACTCCTGAGCTCAGGTGATCCACCTGCCTTGGCCTCCCAAAGTGTTGGGATTACAGGCGTAAGCCACCATGCCCGGCCTGTTTCTAGTTTTTTTTTTTTTTTTTTTTTTTTTTTTAAGACATTCCTGCTCTGTTGCCCAGGCTGGAGTACAGTGGCACGATCTCGGCTCACTGCAACCTCCATCTCCCAGGTTCAAGCTATTCTCCTGCCTCAGTCTCCCAAGTAGCTGGGATTACAGGCACGTGCCACCACACCCAAATAAATTTTGTATTTTTGGTAGAGATGGGGTTTCGCCATGTTGGCCAGGCTGGTCTTGAACTCCTGACCTCAAGTGATCCGCCGCCTTGGCCTCCCAAAGTGCTGGGATTACAGGTATGAGCCACAGTGCCTGACCCTGTTACTAGCTTTTTTATATTAAACTCTTCTGTAATAAACATCTGGAAATAAATCTTCATGAGTATCTCAATTTTTATATACTATAAATTCTAAGGAGTAGAACTTATAGCCAAATTATTTTTTTAAGAGACAGGGTCTTGTCCCATCACCCAGGGCTGCAGTGCAGTGGTGAGATCATAGCTCACTGTAGCCTTGAATCCTGGGGCTCATGCAATCTTCCTGCCTTAGCCTCCCAAGTAGTAGGGACTATAGACGCATGCCACTATGCACAGCTAATTTTTAAATTTTTTCTGTAGAGATAAGGTCTCACTGTGTTGCCCCAGCTGGTTTTTTTTTTTTTTTTTTTTTTTTTGAGATGGAGTCTTGCTCTGTCGCCCAGGCTGGAGTGCAATGGCACAATCTTGGCTCACTGCAACCTCCACCTCCCAGGCTCAAGTGATTCTCCTGCCTCAGCCTCTTGAGTAGCTGGGACTACAGGCATGCGCCACCACGCCCGGCTAATTTTTGTATTTTTAGTAGAGACGGGGTTTCACCATATTGGCCAGGCTGGTCTTGAACTCCTGACCTCAGGTGATCCACCTGCCTCGGCCTCTCAAAGTGCTGGGATTACAGGTGGGAGCCACCACGCCCAGCCTAAATTTTCTGGGGAGGAGAGGGTCTCTGTCAGCCAGGCTGGAGTGCAGTGGTGCTATTATAGTTCACTGCAGCCTCAACCTCCTGGGCTCAAGTGATCCTCCCACCTTAGCTTACCAATTAGCTGGGAGGTACATGCCAACACGCCCAGCTAATTTTTAAAAATTATTGCAGGCCGGCCACAGTGGCTTATACCTATAATCCCAGCACTTTGGGAGGCCAAGGTGGGTGGATCACTTGATGTCAGGAGTTCGAGACCAGCCTGGCCAATGTGGTGAAACCTTGTCTCTACTAAAAATACAAAAAGTAGCCGAGCTGATGGGCGCCTGTAATCTCAGCTACTTGGGCCAAGATCATACCACTGCACTCCAGCCTGGGTGACAGAGAGAGACTCTGTCTCAAAAAAAAAAAAAAATTATTGTAGAGATGGGGTTTCCCTGTGTTGCCCAGACTGGTCTCGAATTCATGGGCTCAAGTGATCCTCTTGCCTTGGTGTTCTAAAGTCTGGAATTACAGGTAAGAGCCACCACATCCAGCCAGCCTAGATATTTTAAAGTCTGAACAAATATTACCAGATTGCCTACCAAGAAAGTTACAACAATTTCTGTTCCCTCCAATAGCATAGTAAAATGCAAATTTCGCCATGGCCAAACCTAGGCATTACCTTTGCGATGAAAACCAAATCAAAACAAGACTTTACTAAACTAAGAGGTGAAATAGGGATTTTACTTTCTCACTTTTATCATGAGACAACATTTTTCACTTTACTGGGGATTTTTGTGTATTTCATGATGTGTCCAAATCCTTACTCATTTTATTTTACTGGGATATTTGTCTTTTTATTTTGTGTCCCTTTGTTTTGCAAATATTGTTGCAAATGTTCTTTCCCAGTGTATTTACCTTTTAAAATTTGGTTATGGTGTTGGCATTTTCATTTTTTTAATTTAATCAATACAAAGTCCTGAAGATAGTGTTAGCATTTTATGTGGTTAAATATGTCTGTATTTTCTTTCTTGGTTCTGTGCATTTAATAATTAGCACTCTCGGCTGGGCACGGTGGCTCACGCCTATAATCCCAGCACTTTGGGAGACCGAGGCGGGTGGATCACGAGGTCAAGAGATGGAGACCATCCTGGCCAACATGGTGAAACCTCATCTCTACTAAAAATGCAAAAATTAGCTGGGCATGGTGGCACGCACTTGTAGTCCCAGCTACTCGGGAGGCTGAGGCAGGAGAATCACTTGAACCCGGGAGGCAGAGGTTGCAGTGAGCTGAGATCGCACCACTGCACTCCAGCCTGGCGACAGAGCGAGATTTCGTCTCAAAAAAAAAAAAAAATTAGTACTCTCTCCATCCTGAGATTAGGATGGTCACTTTTATTATTTCTTTAGTTGTTTTGTGCTCTTTTTTAAGACAGGTTATGACACTGGAGTGCAGTGTCATTATCATTGCTCACTGCAGCCTTGACCCCTGACGCTCAATTGATCCTCCTGCCTCAGCCTCCCTAATAGCTGGGACTAGAGGCGCACACCAGCACCCCCAGCTAACTTTTGTATTTTTTGTAGAGACAAGGTGTCGTCATGTTGCCCAGGCTGTTCTTGAACTCCTGGGCTCAAGCAATCTGACCACCTTGGCATCCCAACGTTTTTCTGGGATTGTAGGCATGAGCCATCACACCCGGCCTGATTTGTGCTTTTACTTTTTTTTGTTTATTGGTTTTATTATTTTTGGAGACAGAGTCTCACTCTCACCCAGGCTGGAGTGCAATGGAGCGATCTAGTCTTACTGCAACCTCTGCCTCTTGGGTTCAAGTGATTCTCATGCCTCAGCCTCCCAAGGAGCTTGGATTACAGGTGTGTGCCACCACGCCCGGCTAATTTTTGTATTTTTATTTTGTTTTGTTGTTGTTGTTGTTGTTTTCTGAGTCAGAGTCTCACTATGTCACCGAGGCTGGAGTGCAGTGGTGCCATCTCGGCTCATTTTAACCTCTGCCTCCTGGGTTCAAGCAATTCTGCCTCAGCCTCCCAAGTAGTAATCCCAGAGTAGCTGGGATTACAGGCATGCACTACCATGCCTGATTTTCAGTAGAGACAGGGTTTCACCATATGCACCAGGCTGGTCTCAACTCCTGACCTCAAGTATCTGCCCACCTCAGCCTCCCAAAGTGCTGGGATTACAGGTGTGAGCCACCACACCTGCCTGTTGGTTTTATTCTTTTTTAAATTATTTTTTTCTATTCTTTGGTGTTGAAACTTTTTTGTTGTTTTTGTTTTAAGACAAGTTCTGGCTCTATTGCCCAGGCTGGAGTGCGATGGTGTGATCTCGGCTCAGTGCAACCTCTGTCTCCTGGGCTCCCTCCCACCTCAGCCTCCTGAGTAGCTGGGACTACAGGTGCACAACACCACAACAGGATAATTTTTCTATTTTTTGTAGAGACGGGGTTTCTCCATGTTGCCCAGGTTGGTCTCAAACTCGTAAGCTCAAGCAATCCACCCACCTTGGCCTCCCAAAGTGCTGGGATTACAGGTGTGAGCTACCGCGCCCAGCCCTTTCTTTCTTTTTTTAAGAGACGTGGTTTTGCACTGTCCCCCAGGCTGGAATGTAGTGGCATGATCACAGCCTCCAACTCCTAGGCTCAAGCTATTCCTCTCACTTCAGCCTCTGGAGTAGCTGGGATTATAGATGTCAGTCACTGTACCCGACTCTTGTGCCTTTACTTTTTACAACTAATTCTTTTTTTTTTTTTTTTTTTTGAGTCGGAGTCTTGCTCTGTTGCCCAGGCTGGAGTGCAGTGATGTGATCTTGGCTCACTGCAACCTCTGCCTCCTGGGTTCAAGCAATTCTCCTGCCTCAGCCTCTTGAGTAGCTGGAACTAAAGGCACGTGCCACCACGCCCAGCTAATTTTTGTATTTTCAGTAGAGACAGGGTTTCACCATGTTGGCCAGGCTGGTCTTGAACTCCTGATTTCGTGATCCACCCGCGTTGGCCTCTCAAAGTGCTGGCATTATAGGTGTGAGCCACTGTGCCCGGCCACAATTTATTGTTTATACAAAAGTCATTAGAGTATACTGTAAAGTGAGGCTCTAACTTAACTTTTTCCAAATAGCTAACCAATTGCTAGAGAATAATTTATTGGGTAAATCTTAATTTATTCATTGCTTTTTCTCCAGAGTATCTATTCTATTATACAGATCTTTTTTTATTTGTTAGTTTTTTGAGACAGGGTCTCTCTCCTGTTGCCCAGGCTGGAGTACAGTGGTGCGATCTTGGCTCACTGCAGCCTCGACTTCCCAGGCTCAGGTGATCCTCCTACCTTGGTCTCCCGAGTATCTGGGACTACAGGCATGTGCCACCATGCCCAGCCAGTTCTTTGTATTTTTAGTAGAGACAAAGTCTTGCCATGTTGCCCAGGCTGGCCTTGAGCTCCTGGGTTCAAGTGATCCACCTGCCTCAGCCTCCCAAAGTGCTAAGATTACAGGTGTGAGCCACCGTGCCTGACCTTACAGATCTCTTTATATACCCCAGTACTACACAGTTTGAAATACTATTGCTTTATAAGCATTCTATATTTATCTTGTTCACCATTGTATCCCTGGAACCTAGCATAATGCATGGAACTGAGCAGGCACTGAATAACTGTTTGTGACTTATGAGCTGAAGGCTATTGTCATGCAAAAGTGGGAAGCGGAAAGACACCCTCTGGAATGGACATGCTCCAAGTTAGGACCTCTGCCTAACTGACTGTTGGGCCACCAAGCCTGGGGCCTCTAAATGCTCTGAAATGCTTTGAGCCAAGAAGACAGAAAGCTTTCTCCAAGAGAAAAATATAATCTTTATCACTTGCTGGTCAACTCTAGTGCTTGTGAAATACTGGAACAAAGTGAATCTGATGTTTCCTTAAAGATAGCAAAAAGCAGTTACTGTTTTCTAATATTCTTGAGTCTGCTTCTCTTCCTCATAAGGTCTGTTGTCCTCATTCTGAACGCCAAGGGTTGCAGTCCAGATTTGGAAGTGAATAAGCCGAAGGAGATGGGGTTCAATGTTACTGAACCCAGTGCATCCCCAGAAATTAAATCTCCAATTCCTGACATTAGCTTTTTTTCCACCTGTTATTTGGCCTCATTCACCATAGAAGGCCCAGTTCAAATACTACTTCCTAGGAAAGACTTTCTTATTCTCTTCTCTCTCAACCTTCTTACTATCCTCTATTACACCACTTATCCTATCATATGTGATCTATTTGTAGATTTCCCTATTAAACTGGTAGGTCCTTGCCGGGCGAGGTGGCTCACGCCTGTAATCCCAGCACTTTTGGAGGCCGAGGTGGGTGGATCAACTGAGGTCAGGAGTTCGAGACCAGCCTGACCAACATGGAGAAACCCTGTCTCTATTAAAAATACAAAAAAATTAGCTGGGTGTGGTGGCGCATGCCTGTAATCCCAGCTACTTGGGAGGCTGAGGCAGGAGAATTGCTTGAACCCGGGAGGCAGAGGTTGCAGTGAGCCAAGATTGCGCCATTGCACTCCGGCGTGGACAACAAGGGCAAAACTCCGTCTCAAACAAAACAAAACAAAACAAAACAAAACAAAACTGTTAGGTCTTTAAGATTAGAGGCTGCATCTATTCTTCCAATATCTAGTGTAAGATCTGGTACCTGGTTAAGTTTCAGTAAATGTTTATTGAATTAAATCTACCCCATCACCTAGTTATGGGGCAGCAAAAGAAACTGCTTAAATGAGAGCTCCAGTGATTTATATCTGTATCAGTGAATAATAGAATCTCAGGTCTAAAAGGAGCTCTAAAAGTCATCTTGTGCAACCCCTTTTACAATGCTGAATCCCCTGCAGAACACCCTAGTGTCAAGGAGTTACACAGACTCCATTTGAACTTAGTGATGGGAAGTTTATTACCTCTAGAATTAGCTTGTTTCATAAGCTCAGGGTTTAAGCTTTACGTAAACTTCAGGTTAGCAAAAATGTATCTTCCATTAGCTTCCATCCAGAACAAGTCTATTAATCCCTCCTTCATGTGACAGCCATTCATATATTTCAAGATGGGTCATGTTTCCCAAGTCTTCTCTTTTTCAGGAAAAACATCTCCAGTTGTCCCAATGTGACTCACATAATGTGGCTTTGACTTTCTCCAATCTCCACGGGTAGCCTGACCATTGCAGAGCTAGGCAGGACTGTTGTCCACCTTGTCCTTCAGCCTATACTATATTTACATTAGTTCACACAGCTCAAGGTATAGTCGTTATAAGTGGCTTCAACACATTGTTGACTAAACTCCCTTAATCTTTTTTATACAAGCTGTTACTAATCATACTCCTTTATCCCTCATCCCGATACCATGCAATTGGAACTTTTAAAACTCATTGAAGTATTGGTGTATTCTATTAAATTTCATTTTGTTAGATTTGACCACTGCACCAACACCATCAAGAACTCTAGGAATCCTGGCTCTGCCATCCATTGTGATCACTAACTTTCCCTGTTTTGTGTCCCCTGCAAATACAGTGAGCAAGCAATTCAGTGACAAATGCCAAATGGACCAAAACCTTGTGACAAGCCATCAGAGCCCTCCTCCCAAATCCATTCCATCATTGCCTCTGCACTTTATCAGTACCCAGCTTGTGTTTGTGTGCTATTCCTGCTTTTACCATGCAAAATCAGGCTAGCATTCTACCTGATACCTTAACTTACTTCCAAACTGGAAGGCCTTGTCTTCATCAGTTCATCCCAGAGTCGGCGCCAGATGGCCTGAGTTGAGAGGCCTGTAAGGAGAAATATCACACTTGGCTGCTTACTGGCCACCATGAGTAAAGTACATCAACCTTTCATGTTGTCTTCTGGGTTCACAGGAGCAATATGGCAGAGTGATTAAGGGCACTGGCTCTAAAGACAGATTGCCTGGGTGTGAATATCAGCAAACTACACTCCAGCTATGTGACTTTGCGCAAGTTACTTAATTTCTCTGTGGTTCAGTCTCCTCATCTGTAAAATGTTAATAACAGCTATTTCATAGGGTTGTTGAAAGGATTAGGGTAAATGAGTTTCTGTGGGTAAAGTGCCTAGGACAATGCTTGACACATTAGGGTTAAATGTTACCTGTTAACAGATGTGTCTAATGAGGGGAGGAAGCTTGGTAAAATAGAGAAACTAAGATTCACAAGATATGGGTTGTTGTTCTGGCTTTGCTATTAATTGTGGTGTGCCTGTGTCTCACTTTTATCAGTATAATAAAGATCATATACTTGGCTTTGTGTTTCATAGGACACTGAGGAATGAGGAAGAAAAATAGGTGTGAAGGTACTTTTTGAAAAGCACGAAGTTCTAGCAGGTATCAGGGGTAATATTTACCGGAAGAACATTATGGTGCCTTGCTCATAATCATTGACTGAGAAAGAGACAGAAAGATACTCACCTTTCTTGAGGGCAGTTTCCTCAATCCTCTCCAAGTAATATATATTGAGCAGAGGTAGGATGCTTTGAAGTATTGGGCCTGGGAGGGCTACAAAAATCAAAACAAAAGTTTACTTTTCCTCCCCTCCCCCTCCCACCCAAGAGGTTTCCAAGCATTATTTATTCTACTGGAAAGGAAAATGGAAGGGTAGACTTCTCATTTGACAAATGGAACCTCTAGAAGCTAATCTAGATCTGTTCCAAACTCTAGTCCACTTATCTTCAGCCACTCAGTTGGAAGCTGGAATTTCAGGGGCAAGGGTGAGATCATCCCACAAAACAAGCTGACATGCTAAATGAGCTTGACATGCTTATTTAGGAGCTGGTCAGTTCACTTCTGCCCAAGCAAAATGAACCATTTGGCATTGAAAAGGACCTACTGAATATGTGTGATAAAAGGTCTTTCATAATCTGCCCTGCTAGTATCAGCTCCCTGCTTTGCCTCCTACATTTCAGCCACACTTAACTACTTTTTCATTTACCTAACATATTATGCCGCTTTCTGCCCCTGTACCTTTGTCATGCTGTTCTTTCCAATAGGAATGTCCTTTGTCATGCTGTTCTAATAGGAATGTCGTTGCCACTTTCAGTATATCAACTACTCATCTTTCAAGTATCACATGCCCTTTATTAAGTCTTTCCTGAATTCCTTTTCCATTTTTCCAGATTAACCACTACCATCCTTTGGGCTACTGCTATATTCTGAACTAGTACTTTCCTATGAAGAATAGAAACAATTCGTGTCTCTAAAGTCAATATATCTTAAAAACAAAACCTGCTCTTGCCAACTTCTCTAGTTCTAAGAGCTGTTATAGTATAGTGTCTAAAGGGTTTGGCCTCTAGAGTAGGACAAATCTGAGTGCAATCCTAACTACTTAGTTAAATGTGAATCCTTGGACAAATTATTTAAGCCTCTTTAAGCCTTAGTTTCTTCAACTGGAAAAAAATGGAGGCTGGGCACAGTGGTTCACACCTGTAATCCCAGCACTTTGGGAGGCTAAGAGGATCGCTTAAGCCCAGGAGTTCGAGGCTACAGTGAGCTATGATCACACCACTGTACTTGAGCCCAGGTGACACAGTGAGAACCCTATCTCAAAACAAAACAAAAATTAGCAGAGTGTGATGGTGTGCACCTGTGGTCACAGCTACTTGGGAGGCTAAGGTGGGAGGATGGCTGGAGCCCAGGAGGTTGAGGCTGAAGTGAGCTGTGCTTAGACCACTGCACTCCAGCCTGGATGACAGAGCAAGACCCTGCCTCAAAAAATAAAAAATAGGTGGGATGCAATGGTTCACACCTGTAATACCAGCACTTTGGGAGGCCAAGGCGGGCAGATCACTTGAGGTCAGGAGTTTGAGACCAGCCTGACCAACATGGTGAAACCCCATCTCTACTAAAAATACAAAAATTAGCCAGGTGTAATGATGCACGCCTGTAATCCCAGCTACTTGGGAGGCTGAGGCACAAGAATCACTTGAACTCAGGAGGTAGAGACTGCAGTGAGCCGAGATGGCGCCACTGCACTTCAGCCTGGGCGACAGAGCAAGACTCTGTCTCACAAATAAAATAAAATAAAATAAAATAAAATGGAGATAACAGTAATTAACTCATGACATTGTTGTGAAGATCATGCTTATAATCTGTTTAAAACAATGCCCAGCCATAATAAGCTCGCTAAATGTTGGTGGTTATTTTTATCCTGTCAATGGCATCTCTGTCCAATCAAGAACAAGTCAAACTCACACCTGTAATTCCTGTAATCTTTGGAGGTCAGAGGTAGGGGGCATTGCTTAAGTCCAGGAGTTTGAGACTAGCCTGGGCAACATGGCAAAACCCCATCTCTACCAAAAATACAAAAAAAAATTAGCTGGGTGTTGTGGGGCACGCCTGTGGTCCCAGCTACTCGAGAGGCTGAGATGGGAGAATTGCTTGAGCCCAGAAGACAGAGGTGGCAGTGAGCTGATATCATGCCACTGCACTGCAGCCTGGGTGACAGAGTGAGACCCCATCTCAAAGAAAAAGAACAAGTCTAAGATCTTGGAGTATACCAAAACTTCCGCTCCAGGGTCTCTTTTTATCTTTACTTACAGAATAACTGAATCTTGACATCCAAGAATCTAGTATAATTATTTGTACATAGTAGGTCCTCGATGTACGGGCTGAATGAAAGTGTTAATTCCCTATGCTTTTACACGAATGTAGTCCACATCACCTTTCATCTGGTCTATTACAACAGCCTAACTGCTCTCCTTCACTTCAGTCTCCATCCAGTCCCTCTTCATCCTGCTCTTGGTGATGACACTACCCTCTTCAAAACCCTTGGAGGTCTCTCTGCTGCATTCATGATAAAGTCCAAACTCCATATCCTGGTATTCAAGGTATAATATACCTTATTTTAAAGTTTCCTCATTGTACCCTTTCCTGCTGCCTCTATACACCCGCTGCCCCAACTCCTTACACAAAGCGATGCTAGTCCACTACCTCCAGGAAGCCTTTCCTGGCTGTTAGCCCACACAGACCTTCCTCTAAAATAGCAATGCTTAGCAGGCCTCTTCCTTGGCTATTCTCCTAAAAGGCCTCACTTGATTCAGCTTTTTCTGGTCTAGGCCCACAGGAGCTCTTCCTCCCCTGTCTCCTCTCAACTTGGCTGGGGGCTCAGCCAGTAATGGGATGGTGGTATGTACAGCAGTGGTAGGGGAGGGAGAAGGGGAAAGGGAGATTCAGTAAACTGTCAATTGTTTTAGGGGGAAGAGGCCACACGGGAAGAAGTTCCTCCAGAGCCTTACCCCTTTTCCCTCCAACCTGCTCCCCTCTAGTTAGCCATCTCTTCTTGCAGCCACAGGAATTCTCATCCCCAGTTACCCACAAACTCCTCTCTTCCTTTCTCCATTCTTCTTAAGCCGGGATTTTCCTTGCTTCTTTCTAGCCTGCACCTTTAATGCTGCTGCTTCCCAACCTGGGCCTCCGCACCCAGTCATCTTCCTTTTTAGCCAGTCTTAGCATCCCAGAAGCTCCAGGCGGAAAAGCCAGACCCTCTCTGCCTTCTTCCCCATGCCCTAGGACTTTTCTGAGCTCCCTGCTCAGCTCTACGGAGCCTTTCCTCCTGTTCCCCATGGGTCGGCCTGCCCCTTGTCTTCTCAGCCGCTGGCTGGCCTGGGGCCTCCACTGTCCCCTCCGCACACCGGCCGACTTCTAAAAGCCTCTTCCACCACCACTATGCAGGACACTCAGGCCTCATGGTACTGGGCTCCACTCCCACAGCCAAGGGCCTCCCCGACCACCCTCCAGCTTATCCCGGAGCTTCAGTCCCCCCAAACTCCAGGGCCTTTTCCCCACACCCCCTCCTCATGGCATAACTCAAACTCCGCGCCCTGCAACCTCGAGTCCTCAAAGTCCTCACTCCTGTCCTGACCAGGGCCTTCCTCCTGCAAAGACGCCACGGCCACCCGCAAGGCCTCCTGGTGGAACCTCCCCCGCGCCGCTTCCAGGCCCGGGGCCTGCTCTCCTGCCCCCCTCCCCAGCAGGCCTCGGCCGGGCCTGCCACCTCTTCGCCCAACTCCAACCCCGGCCTCCCGACCCCACCCTCACAGAGCCAGCAGCCTCTCAGGCCCGAGGCCTCCCCTGTCCCCAGCGCGGCTAGGCCTGCTTGGCAGAGCCTCACTTTCCCCTCTTTCACTTGCCCCACGTCGGACCCAAGTTTCCCTCGTCAGCGGCCAGGCCGCGGCCAGCGGTCCCCAACCCACAGCCCCGCCTCCCAGCCCAACTGGCCGGTTCGCCCTCCCCGGCCGTTCATCCCGGCGCCCCAGGCCGCCCTCCATCCAGGCCCGGCCCTTTGGTCCCGGCCGCCTTCAGGCCTGGGGCCCCCGTTCACTCCCATTCAGCCCAAGGCCTCTTGGCGGCGCCGCGCCCCCTGCCACGGCAGCCCGGCAGTCCGGGATCCCCGGGCCGTCGCCCCGCTTGGGGCCTCCTTGGCCCTTCCCGCCTGTCCGTCATTCGAGCCTCCCTCGCTTGTTTAAGCCGCTCCGGGCCCCCCTCCACTCGCTCTCCGGTCCCTCCTCGCCGCTCGAGCCGATCCGAGTGGCCTCCGGCGCTCCCTGTCCTGCGGGTCGCACGGTCGCTCGGTCGCTTAGTCAGTTTGGCACCCGAGACCCCGGTTGTCGGTTCGCTCCCGTCAGCCCTGGGCCGTCAGACAGGCCGCGGCGCCCCGACCCTTTCGTTCGGCCTCTCCCCCTGCCCCATTCCCTCGCTCTCCAATCTGCTGTCCTCCCCTCCGCCCATCGGCTTGGCCTCCGGAATCTCGACCCCCGTGGCGTGTCAGGCAGATGCTGGAGCCCCGGGGCCATCAGTCAGGTTCGGTGGCCCCGGGCCTGGCCTGGCCTTGCCTTAGGCCGGGCCTCCTAACCTCGGCCCCTGCCCTAGGGCAGCCGGGCCATCGCTGCCCACCGGTTCGACATCCGAGACTCTCCTGCCCGGCCCAGCCGAGTGTCAGTTCGCGCGGCCCACAGCCGCAATCCAGCCTCAGTCGCCCGGGCCCAGCCTGCTTCGCTCCAGACCGGGCCTCCTGGCCTCGCCCCCCGCGCCCCCGAGCCAGGCCGCGGTGCGGGTCAGCCTGCCCATTTAGGTCTCCGTCTTTACTCTGTCCAGCCCTGTCAGTCACAAAATTCATTCTCCGATCCTACGAGCTGGCTTTCAGCGCCCCAGGCTGGGCCTTGCCCCGGGCCTCCCGGCCTCGCCCCCCGCGCCCCCCGGCCGCTGGGCCGCCCCTTGCTCTTAGCCAGAGGTAGCCCCTCACCCCGCGACTTACCCCACACCCCGCTCTCCAGAACCCCCATATGGGCGCTCACCGCCCGCCCGCACAGCTCGAACAGGGCGGGGGGAGCGTTGGGGCCCGAGGCCGAGCTCTTCGCTGGCGCCGCCTCCCGGGACGTGGCCTCCATGGTCGTTGCCGCCGCTACCTCACAGAACCAGCAACTCCGGGCGCGCCAGGCCTCGGGCGCCGCCATCTTGGGGAGGTGCGCGAGCCCGAGAGTGTCGCCCGCGGACCGCCATCTTGAAAAGGTCAGCAGTTAGGACGGCTCCATAAGCGATATGGGGAAGAATGTGAATTATTCTAAAGAAATTTCGAAGAAATTAGCACACTTTCCAAGTCTCTTAGGAGCTACTATTTTAGATAAACTCCTAGATCAATTATACTTGGGTGTGGTATGACTAAGGGGATGTTTCTTAGCAAAGCCTCCTCGGGTGCAAACATCAGCTACCCCTAACCTCTGCCTGCGGCTGGTAGTACATGCCAATCTGAGCATGTGTTCGCGACCACGATGAGTGTGCCGCACTTCCGGCCAGATCGCCGGATTTCCGCTGAGTGACCCTTACAAGTCCTTCTTGATCCTGAACTGGGTTAGGTGCCGCTGTTGCTGCTCGTGTTGAATCTAGAACCGTAGCCAGACATGGGACTGGAGGACGAGCAAAAGATGCTTACCGAATCCGGAGATCCTGAGGAGGTAAGGCAAGGCGATCCACTCGGCCCTCTTCTCTGCCCTGAAGCCCAGGACCTAGCCCGCCAAAACACGCACGGGGCCCTCTTAGCCCCCAGTTTACCCTCTAGGGTTTGCATAGTCGGGAGCTCTAGTTCCCTCGACCTTTCCCCAGAATTCGTCCGGTGACTTTGGACAGATAGATGACTAGTTTTTCTCTGGGCCTCGGCTTCTGCATTCTGTGAATGTAGTGAAGGTTTGAGAGCGAAAATGTTTTGTGGACTAAAGTCTTGTAAAAATATGACCTATGTTTGCAGTCAGTCAGATGTTCTGAAGCCCGCGTTTCACAGATTTGGGGAGCAAACAGACCGCCTTGCCCCAGCTCAGGTTAGGAATCCCTACCACATCTTCTATGGAGGTTCGGAAGACCTGGCCTTGTGTTCCTTTTCTTTGAGGAAGGTGTGTGTCTTTGGGGACAATGAAAGAATGTACGATGTGATTCTGTGATGGAAGAGGGAGCTCTTTCCCAGAGAAAGAGTGCTGCTATAATTATTGACTGCTTGCTATTCCAAGTGCTTTATATGCACTAATTAATTTTTTTTTTTTTTTTGAGATGGAATCTCGCTCTGTCGCCCAGGCTGGAGTGCAGTGGCGTGGTCTCGGCTCGCTGCAACCTCCGCCTCCTGGGTTCAAGCGATTCTCCTGCCTCAGCCTCCCAGGTAGCTGGGACTACAGGTGTCCGCCACCACGCCTGGCTAATTTTTGTGTTTTTAGTAGCGACGGGGGTTTCACTCTGTTGGCCAGGCTGATCTCGAACTCCTGACCTAGTGATCCGCCCACCCCGGCCTCCCAAAGTCCTGGGATTACAGGCGTGAGCCACCGCGCCCGGCCCTAATTCATTTCATCTACACACTATTCCTATGAAGTAAGTGTTGGGTACTATTAGTGCCATTTTTACAGATGAGGAAACAAGCATAGAGGTTAAATATCTTTTCTAAGGTCATGCAGCTACCAAATTGGTGCAGCCAGGAATTGCGGCCAAGCAGCGCGGTTCTAGAACCAGGACTCTTATCAATTTTGCGACACAGCTACTAGTTGTTTCTAATCTCATTTCCTGTCCGTCTGTTCTCTGGTCACTTGGGGGCAGCCATTCTGGGCTGTGGGTTCAGAATAATTGGAGACTTATTTATCCCTTAATTTTTCTAGTCTTATTATTTCTAAAAAGAAATAGAACCTGAGGCCGGGCGCAGTGGCTCACGCCTGTAATCCCAACACTTTAGGAGGACGGCCGAGGCAGACAGGTAGCATGAGTCCAGGAGTTGGACCAGCCTGGGCAACGTGGCGAAACCCCGTCTCTACAAAAAATATAAAAATTAGCCGGGCATGGTGGTGAACGCCTGTGGTCTCAACTGCTCGGGAGTTTGAGCCCAGGAAGTCCAGGCTGCAGTGAGCCGTGATCGTGTCACTGCACTCCAGCCGAGGCAACCCGAGTGAGACCCTGTCTCAAAAAAAAAAAAAAAAAAAAAAACTAAAGAAAGAAATGGAGCCTGCCTCAGAAAGGTCAGCAAGATCCACCGCTGCAATAGATGAGAAAAAGCAAGTAATTAAGCAGTCAGTTTTAAACTAGGGTATTCTGGCCGGGCGCGGTGGCTCATGCCTGTAATCCCAGCACTTTGGGAGGCCGAGGCGGGTGGATCGGGAGGCCGAGGCGGGTGGATCGGGAGGCCGAGGCGGGTGGATCAGGAGGTCAGGAGATCCAAACCATCCTGGCTAACATGGTGAAACCCCTTCTCTACTGAAAATACAAAAAATTAGCCGGGCGTGGCGGCGGGCGCCTGTAGTCCCAGCTACTCGAGAGGCTGAGGCAGAATGGCGTCAACCCGAGAGGCGAAGCTTGCAGTGAGCCAAGGTCGCGCCACTGCACTCCAGCCTGGGCGACAGAGCGAGACTCCGTCTCAAAATAAATAAATAAATAAATAAAATAAAATAAACTATGGTATTCTATGAGGAACCCATAATTTTTTTTTTTTGAGACGGAATCTTGCTCTGTCTCCCAGGCTGGAGTGCAGTGGCGTGATCCGGCTCACTGCAACCTCCGCTCCCGGGTTCAAGCGATTCTCTTTTGCCTCAGCCTCCTGAGTAGCTGAAATTACAGGCGCACGCCACCTAATTTTTGTATTTTTAGTAGAGACAGGGTTTCACCGTGTTAGCCAGGATGGTCTGGATCTGACCTCCTGATCCGCCCTCCTCGGCCTCCCAAAGTGCTGGGATTACAGGCCTGAGCCACCGCGCCCGGCTGAGGAACGCAAAATTATTGAGGATTAAATCTTTTTATCTGGTGTGATCTTGGTTTTTCTCAGTGACTGGAAATTTTACATGTAGCAATCCATATTCAAACATATTTGGATTTATTTTTTCAAAACCTGCCATGTTATTTTTGACACAAAATTATCAGTGACACAGAATTACCAGTGTTGTAGCATTGCTAATAGGGAAATGATATAAGGGTCTTGTATCTACGGTCCTAATTTCTGTTTTCTAACTCGGGCAGAATGTAATTTTAGTTTTTTTGGGAAAACTTTTTCAGTTTTTTTTTTTTTTTTTTTGTGACGGAGTCTCGCTCTTGCCTGGCTGGAGTACAGTGGCGCGATCTCACTGCAACCTCTGCCTCCTGGGTTCAGGCAATGCTCCTGCCTCAGTCTCCCGAGTAGCTGGGACTACAGGCGTGTGCCATCACGCCCAGCTAATTTTTGTAATTTTAGTAGAGATGGGGTTTCACCATGTTGGCCAGGATGGTCTCAATCTCTTGACCTCGTGATCCTCCTGCCTTGGCCTCCCAAAGTGCTGGGATTACAGACATGAGCCACTGCACCCGGCTTTCAGTATGTTTTTTAAAAGAGCAGCATTAAGAAACCTTGTTAATGAAAAACTAGAATTTACATCCTAAATAGCATCTTCATATTTAGAAGAAACCTTTGCCAATTGTGAGAATAAATAGCCTGGATTCCAAATTGAACCTTTCCTACCCCTCACTCCCAGCTTGTATGAGCTTTGGTGGCTTCACTGAATGGCATGGTAGAGGATGAAACATGTATTAGGACTTTTTTTGGAGACGGGGTCTCACTCTTGTCACCCAGACTGGGGTGCAGTGGTACAGTCATAGCTCACTGCAGCCTCAAACCCCTGGGCTCAAGGGATCCTCCCACCTCGGCCTTCTGAGTAGCCATGACCACAGACGTGCGCCACCATGCCCGGCTAATTTATTTATTTTTGAGACGGAGTCTCTCTGTCGCCCAGGCTGGAGTGCAGGGGTAGGATCTTGGCTCCTGCAACCTCTGCCTCCTGGTTTCAGGTGATTCTCCTGCCTCAGCCTCCTGAGTAGCTGGGATTTCAGGCGCGTGCCACCATGCCCAGGTAATTTTTGTATTTTTAGTAGAGACGGGGTTTCACCATGGTGGCCGGGCTGATTGAGAACTCCTGACCTCAGGTGATCTGGCCACCTCAGCCTCCCAAAGTGCTGGGATTACAGGTGTGAACCACTATGCCCAGCCTGTTTTTAATTTTTTTAGAGATGGGGTCTTGTCATGTTGCCCAGGCTGGTCTCAAGCAGTCCTCTCACCTGGCCCTGTATTGGAGTTCTGAAAACATGATTCCTGAGCTAGTTCTTTTTATTTCCCTAGATACCTTTTCTTTCCTTGCCCCCAAATGTGGGTATCTGCATGCACAGGCAGGCAAACACCTTATTTCTGAGGTCAGATTTTACTATATCCCAAATTTAGGCCTAAACTGTTGCTCCCATGGGCAGTTTTTTACACTACTATCCTTGAAGAAGAAGGAAACTAAGTTTGAGGTTGTGCATTTGAATCAGAAGTGAATAGGTGGGGTCTGTTCTGTATTTCCAAGCTCATGAGTGGAGTTGTGCACTTTTATTTGATATACTTAGTCTACTAGGGGTTCTGGGAGTTCAGCAAGCCAAAAAGCAGTGACTAACCATCCTTAGTTAAGCTCTGACCAAACAAGGGTTTTTAGGTTTAGCAGTTTTCATATTCCTAATTCAAGTTCACAGTCTAGAAAAAAATGGGTTTTCCTCCTAACTTGGTTTGGGATGTAAGGACTAAATTTTGCTATTTGTAGCAATACTGGGACAAATACTTTAGATTATGTAGGCCCCATGTGAACATCTGGCAGCTTGAATCTGTATCAGAAAATGTCTAATTACTGTTTATTATCTCTAAACTGGGATTACCTCCTTAAGGGACTGTTGTGATTAATTAAATCATAAGAGATATGAAGGTGCTTTATAAACTGGAGAGTATTAAGCACACTTAGGTTCTTGTTAATGAAAGTGAGATGGTGTCTCTGTCTTGAAATATACCTGGGATTCGTTTTAACCAAGTATGGTAAGGTGACAGACCTGGAGACAACCGCCTTTGAAAGAAGAGTTTATTATTACTTAAATTTCCTGAAAGAGAGGGATATGCCACACAAAAAAATGCAGAGCTATATGGGGAAGTGTCTGAGCTCGTCAGGAGGCAGAAGGTATGAGGGGAAGGAAGCATGGCTCAGCACCTTGGTTTCTATGGGAAGGAATTGGTGGGCAGCGTAGGTACACTTGCTCAAATTTAGGATTGGATAGTTTGAATAATTTCGTTGGGCTCTAGCTTATAGGGCTGGTTCCTAGTTGTCCTATATTTGTCCCTGGGGTGATTTAGAGAAGGGGAAACAGGAGCTTAGTGTACAAAACTTAGATAAAGGAGGCAGGGCCAGGCTGAGTGGCTAATGCCTATAATCCCACCACTTTGGGAGGCCAAGGTAGGAGGATTGATTGAGCCCAGGAGTTTGAGAGCAGCCTGGGCAACATAATGAGACCTTGTCTCTACCACAAAGAAAATTTTTAAATTAGCCAGGCATGTGGCGTGTGCTTATAGTCCTAGCTACTCAGAAGGCTGAGGCAGGAGGATCACTTGAGCCCAGGAGTTTGTGGCTGCAGTGAGCTATGACAGAGCAAGACTCTGTCTCTTAAACAAAAGATAAAGGAGGCAGTTTGCTACAAGCACTTTGGATAGTTACGTTGCATATGAAAGGTATGCTCGCAGGCAAGTTTGCTGTCTAAAAATTAGCCCTGGAAGAGCAGGATTAGCTCCAGGATTAGCAAGGCCTCTAAAATGTAAAAACATCATAAAACACAGAAAACAAAATAACATCGTTAATAGTGTCAGTGTCTATCGTCAGTAATTACATCAGTATGATCAGGAATAAATATGTCATAAAATTGCTGCTGACATTAATTTTGTTTTCCTTTTGTAGGAGGAAGAGGAAGAGGAGGAATTAGTGGTAAGAACTGTCTCAGGTTTGGAAACATCTCAGTAAAAGCAGGGTTTGAGCTTCATGAAATTCTAAGGGCATTTTAAGGAGTTTTTACTTGATACCTTGTAGATAATGGGGGTGGAATAAGCTTTGATACTTCCTGTGCAGTGGAGAGTTTAGGGTGTGAGCCTTGGAAGCTGAGTCTGTTCTGGGTTTGGGGCTTCTTCAGTTGTGGTACCAGGGAGCAGATGGCATCTTGAGGGCCTGGCACTCAATCATCTGCTATTTGTGGTTTAATAAAGAACTTTGGGCTAGGCATGGTGGCTCGTGCCTGTAATCTCAGCACTTTGGGAGGCCAAGGCAGGCGGATTACCAGCCTGAACAACGTAGAGAAACCCCATCTCTACTAAAAATACAAAATTAGCCGGGCGTGGTGGCACATGCCTGTAATCCCAGCTACTCGAGAGGCTGAGGCAGGAGAATTGCTCGAACCCGAGAGGCGGAGGTTGTGGTGAGCTGAGATTGCGCCATTGCGCTCCAGCCTGGGCAACAAGAGCAAAACTCCGTCTTAAAAAAAAAAAAAAAAAGAACTCTGAAGGAACCTTTGTTAGATAGTCCTTCTCTATGTTAGCATTGCCTTTCTAGTTGGGCAGCTGGGGTGCATAGGCCTGGTTCTCAGACAAGGGGATTTGAAGTTTCAGACGTGTCATATTCCAAAATGCTGTGTTAACAAGTAAGGCCTCCTATAGATCTACTTCAAGTTTGGCCAGGTTTCCTTTACCACCTTGTTTTTCAGATAGGACTGAGGCTTTCAGTGCATACTGGCAACCTTGGAAGGCAGGAATGTGAAACTTTTCCCTACTACTTAGCATCAGAATTGAATGGGAGACCGCATTCTGCCATTTCTGGCGGCAGTGTGGCTCTGCCAGCTGGCCTTCTGCACGGTAATTCAGAGGCAGCACCTTGGTTTGGTGGTTGTGTTAATCAAAGCATATGTGTTTGGTGGGTCTCTGCTAAAAATGCCCATTTTGTTTTTTTTCTGTTTCTACATCAGGATCCCCTAACAACAGTGAGAGAGCAATGCGAGCAGTTGGAGAAATGTGTAAAGGCCCGGGAGCGGCTAGAGCTCTGTGATGAGCGTGTATCCTCTCGATCACATACAGAAGAGGATTGCACGGAGGAGCTCTTTGACTTCTTGCATGCGAGGGACCATTGCGTAAGTCAGTGGGAAGTCAGGAAGGGGAAAGGTTGCAATGGTCAGGGAAGACTTGGTGCCAACAATCTTTCCATGCTAGGGAAAGGCCCATCAGTTACTCTGGGCCCAATATATGTGACATATGGTGCGCTGAGCATTTTATGTAAATAACCTATTCTATTTTATTGAGAGGGTCTCACTATGTTGTCCAGGCTGAAGTACAGCGGCATGATCGTAGCTCAGTGCCAACCTTGAACTCCTGGGCCTAAGTGATCCTGCCTTGGCCTCCCAAGTAGCTGGGACTACAAGTGCATGCCACCATGAGAGGCTAATTTTTTATTTTTTAATTTTTTCTAGTGACGGGGCCTTGTTATGTTGCCCAGGCTGGTCTCAAACTCCTGGGCTCAAGCAATCCTTCCTTCCATCTCGGCCCTCTGAAGTGCTGGGATTATAGGCATGAGCCATTGTGCCTGGCCTATAAATAATCTTGCCTAGGGCGCGGTGGCTCATGCCTGTAATCCCAGCACTTTGGGAGGCCGAGGCGGGTGGATCATGAGGTCAGGAGATCGAGACCATCCTGGCTAACAAGGTGAAACCCCGTCTCTACTAAAAATACAAAAAATTAGCTGGGCGCGGTGGCGGGCGCCTGTAGTCCCAGCTACTCGGGAGGCTGAGGCAGGAGAATGGCGTGAACCCGGGGAAGCGGAGCTTGCAGTGAGCCGAGATTGCGCCACTGCAGTCCGCAGTCTGGCCTGGGCGACAGAGCGAGACTCCATCTCAAAAAAAAAAAAAAATAATAATAATAATAATCTTGCCTAATCCTTACTACTTCCACTGGAGATAGGTATCATTATCCCATTTCACAGATAGAAACTGAGGCTCAGAGAAAAAAACATAAACATCCCAACATGCACCACTAAACAGTGGGGAAGCTGGATTTTGTACTTTTCAATAACAGACTGTTCTTTAAAAATAATTTGTATTGGCCGGGCGCGGTGGCTCACGCCTGTAATCCCAGCACTTTGGGAGGCGGAGGCGGAGGCGGAGGCGGAGGCGGGCGGATCACGAGGTCAGGAGATTGAGACCATCTTGGCTAACACAGCGAAACCCGTCCCTACTAAAGTACAAAAAATTAGCCGGGCGTGGTGGCGGGCGCCTGTAGCCCCCAGCTACTCGGGAGCCTGAGGCAGGAGAATGGCGTCAACCCAGGAGGCGGAGCTTGCAGTGAGCCAAGGTTGCGCCAAAAAAAAAATAATTTGTATCCTCAAATGTGTCTAATATATAGTAGTTGGTCCAAAAGGTTGCTTTTTTTTTTGAGACGGAGTCTTGGTCTGTCGCCCAGGCTGGAGTGCAGTGGCGCGATCTCGGCTCACTGCAAGCTCCACCTCCCGGCTTCACGCCATTCTCTTGCCTCTGCCTCCCGAGTAGCTGGGACCGCAGGCGCCCGCCACCATTCCCGGCTAATGGTTTTTTTGTTTTTTTTTGTTTGTTTGTTTTTGTTTTTTTGTATTTTTAGTAGAGACGGGGTTTCACTGTGTTAGCCAAGATGGTCTCAGTCTCCTGACCCCTGTGATCCACCTGCCTCAGCCTTCCAAAGTTCTGGGATTACAGGTGTGAACCACTGCACCCAGCCTTTTTTTTTTTTTTTGAGATAAGGTCTTGCTTGCTCTGTCACCCAGGCTGGAGTGCAGTGGCACAATTATGGCACACTACAGCCTCTACCTCCTGGTTCAAACAATCCTTCTGCCTTAGCCTCTGAGTAGCCAGGACTATAGGCACATGCCACCATGCCTTGGTAATTTTTTTTTTTTTTAATTTGAGACTGAGTTGCACTCTGTCACCCAGGCTGGAGTGCAGTGGCGCAATCTTGGCTCACTGCAACCTCCACCTCCTGGGTTCAAGCGATTTTCCTGCTTCAGCCTCCCAAGTAACTGGGATTAAAGGTGCACGCCACCACACCCAGCTAATTTTTTGTTTGTTTGTATTTTTAGTAGAGACGGGGTTTCACCATGTTGGCCAGGCTGGTCTTGAACTCCTGACCTCCAGTGATCCACCTGCCTCAGCCTTCCAAAGTGCTGAGATTACAGGCGTGAGCCACCGCACCTGGCCCATACCTGGGTAATTTTTGTATTTTTTGTAGAGATGGGATTTTGCCGTGTTGCCCAGGCTGGTCTAGAACTCCTGGGTTCACACATGCCACTCATCTCAGCTTCCCAGAGTGTTGGGATTACAGGTGTGAGATACCATGCCTGGCCTCAAGGGGTTGTTTTTTAAAAGTAAACTCAGGCAGGGCATAGTGGCTGACGCTTATGATCCTAGCACTTTTGGAAGACCAAGGCAGGAGGACCCCTTGACCCCAGGAGTTTAAGACCAGCCTGGGCAAGATAGGGGAACCCTGTCTCTACTTTTAAAAAATCAAAATTAAAAAAATAAAAATAAACTTCTGCTTGACTCTTACATATAACACAGTAAGGTATTTTACATAAATTATACATAAGCAAAGTTTGATGTGGTTGCTTCTATTAAAACTAATTGGATGGCCAGTAAACGTATGAAAAGATGTTCAACATCATTAGCCACCAGGGATACTACCATGAGATAACACTTTATACCAACTGCCCACTAGGATGGCTATAATAAAGAAGATAACGAGTGTTGACGACAATGTGGAAAAGTTGGAAACCTCATACGCTGTCAGTAAAAGTGTAAATTGGTACAGCCACTGTGGAAAACATCTGGCAGTTCCTCAAAAGGCTAAATATACAGTTAATATATGACACAGCAATTACACTCGAAGATATATACCCAAGAGAAATGAAAACATATGTTCACATAAAAACTTGTACACAAATGTTCATAGAAGCATTATTTATACTACCCAAAAAGTGGAAACAACATAAGTGTCCATCAGCTAGGCTGGGCACTGTGGCTCATGCTTGTAATCGCAGAACTTTGCGAGGTCAAGGCAGGCAGATCACCTGAGCCCAGGAATTTGAGACCAGCCTGGGCAACATGGTAAAACCCTGTCTTTACAAAAAATATATATATAAAAGCCGGGCGCGGTGGCTCACGCCTGTAATCCCAGCCCTTTGGGAGGCGGAGGCGGGTGGATCATGAGGTCAGGAGATCGAGACCAGCCTGGCCAATATGGTGAAACCCCATCTCTACTAAAAATACAAAAAAATTAGCCGGGCGTGGTGGCGGGCGCCTGTAGTCCCAGCTACTTGGGAGGCTGAGGCTGGAGAATGGCGTGAACCCGGGAGGCGGAGCTTGCAGTGAGCTGAGATTGTGCCACTGCACTCCAGCCTGGGCGACAGAGCGAGACTTCATCTCAAAAAAATATAGACAGATAGATAGATAGATAGATAGATAGATAGATAGATAGATAGATATAGATAACCAGGCAAGCTGGCTCACACCTGTAGTCCTAGCTACTTGGGAGGCTGAGGTGGGAGGATCACCTGAGCCTGGGGAAGTCAAGGCTTCAGTGAGCCATGATCACGCCACTGCACTCCAGCCTGGGTGACAGACTGAGACCCTGTCTCAAAAAAAAAAAAACAAGTTCTTTTCTCAAAAATTAAACATAGAATTATGTACTATATGATCTAGCAATTTCACTTCTAGGTATATACCCAGAAGTATTGAGAGTAGGCTTAAACAGATATTTCCACATTCATATTCACAATAGCCAAAAGGTAGAAACAACCCAATTTTCCATCCATAGATGCAAAGATTTTTTTAAAATGTGCTTTGTATATACAATGGGATATTATTCAGCCTTAAAAGAGAAGGGGGCCGGGGCACGGTGGCTCATGCCTGTAATCCCAACACTTTGGGAGGCCAAGGCAGGCGGATCACAAGGTCAGGAGATTGAGACTATCCTGGCTAACACGGTAAAACCCTGTCTCAAAATACAAAAGATTAGCCGGGCATGGTGGCGGGTGCTTGTAGAACCAGCTACTTGGGAGGCTGAGGCAGGAGATTGGCATGAACCCGGGAGGCGGAGCTTGCAGTGAGCTGAGATCACGCCACTGCACTTCAGCCTGGGTACAGAGCAAGACTCCGTCTCAAAAAAAAAAAAAAAAAGAGAAGGGGCTGGGCATAGCAGCTCATGCCTGTAATCCCAGCTTTTTGGGAGGCCGAGGCAAGTGGATCACCTGCTGTCCGGAGTTCGAGACCAGCTTGACCAATATGATGAAACCCCGTCTCTACTAAAAACACAAAAATTGGCTGCGCATGGTGGTATATGCGCCTGTAATCCCAGCTACTCGGGAGGCTGAGACAGGAGAATTGCTTGAACCCCGGAGGTGGAGGCTGCGGTGAGCCAAAGTTGCGCCATTGCACTCCACCCTGGGCAACAAGAGCAAAACTCCGTCTCAAAAAAAAAAAAAAAAAGGAGGGAAACTCTGACACGTGCTGCAACATTGATGAACCTTGGAGACATTAAACTAAGTGTCAAGGAAGACAAACATTGTATTGTTCCACTTTGGTGAGGTACCTAGAATAGCAGTCACATTCATAGAGACAGAAAGTAGAATGGTAGTAACCAGGAGCTGAGGGGAGAAAGGAAATGGAGAGTTACTGTTTAATGGATATAGTTTTGATTTAGTAAGATGAAAAAGGTCCCAAGATTGGACGTTCTAGAGATTGTAGGGGACTGTATGGTTGTAGAACAATGGGAATGCACTTAACTGCCACAGAAATGTACAGTTAAAAATGATTAAAGTGGGGCCTTGTGCGGTGGTTCACACCTCCTACACTTTGGGAGGCCAAGGCAGGCATGTCACTTGAGGTCAGGAGTTTGAGACCACCTCGGACAACATGGTGAAACCTTGTCTCTACTAAAATAAAAAATTAGCTGAGTGTAGGCCAGGTGCGGTGGCTCACGCCTGTAATCCCAGCACTTTCAGAGGCTGAGGCACGTGGATCACCTGAGGTCGGGAGTTCGAGACCAGCCTGACCAACATGGAGAAACACCGTCTCTACTAAAAATACAAAATTAGCCGGGCGTGGTGGCACATGCCTATAATCCCAGCTACTAGGGAGGCTGAGGCAGGAGAATCGCTTGAACCTGGGAGGCAGAGGTTGCGGTGAGCCATTGCACTCCAGCCTGGGCAACAAGAGTGAAACTCTGTCTCAAAAAAAAAAATTAGCTGAGTGTGGTGGCGCACACTTGTAATCCCAGCTACTCAGGAGTCTGAGGCAGGAGAATCACTTGAACCCGGGAGGCGGAGGTTGCAGTGAGCCAAGATTGTACCACTGCACTCCAGCCTGGGGGACAGAGCAAGACTGCCTCAAAAAAAAAAAAAAAAAAAAGATTAAAATAGAAAAAAAAAATTACTGAAGTGGAAAATTTTATGTTAGATGTATTTTATCATAATTTTTAACAAAATAAGTACTGAACATGCTACAACCTGGATAAACCTTGCAAACATGCTAAATGCTAAGGGGAAAAAGCCAGTCACAAAGTAAAAAATATCGTATGATATGATTTGTATGAAATGTTCAAAATAGGCAAGTCATGATCTGTTCCCTGAATTAACATCCCTACTGTTGATTTTCCCCCTCCCACTGTGTGGTCATTCTAAAAATATTTACATATATTTGTCAGCCAAGCACTGGTTTAGGATCTGGGAGTAAGATAGACATGGTTCATTCCTTCACTGAGTTTATGAGCCAGCATAGGAAACAGAAGTAGAACAAGTGCTAAACTTTGGTAAGTCTCTCAGGTATACCTTTCTCAGGGTAATATTAACTGAACCCCCCGCCCCGCCTCCCATTTATTTTCCTCCTAGCATTTCCCATTATCACAGGTTACCTTATTTATGTGTTCATTTTAACTCATTACCCTGTAAGTTTCTTAAGTGGCAGGCATGTTTTGTTACAGTTATAACTCACTCAGCACTTAGAACACTACCTGGCATATAGGAGATGTCCTGTTGAATTAATATGTAATGTTAATGTCACTGATGGGGAGGTACAAGTTTTTGTGGAAAGATAGGAGGGACAGATTTGTGTGTGGATAGGGGCTTGTTTAGAGAAGGCTTGCAGGAAATGACAGTTATCAGATCTAAATTCTAAAGGAAGAATAAAAGATGAAAAAAGTGGGGAGTTCACTAGGACTCAAGTGCTGCTTGCCTATGTGAGAAGGGGAGTGGTGAGAAGAGGGGCAGTACTGTTTCAGGTCTTGAAGGACCTTGTAAGCCATGACATTAAAGCTGCCAATTGATTACCTCCTTTTCTTTCCCCCATCTAGGTGGCCCACAAACTCTTTAACAACTTGAAATAAATGTGTGGACTTAATTCACCCCAGTCTTCATCATCTGGGCATCAGAATATTTCCTTATGGTTTTGGATGTACCATTTGTTTCTTATTTGTGTAACTGTAAGTTCACATGAACCTCATGGGTTTGGCTTAGGCTGGTAGCTTCTATGTAATTCGCAATGATTCCATCTAAATAAAAGTTCTATGATCTGCAAACCTGCCCGTCTTTTTTTTTTAATTGAGAATTTTTTTTTTTAATTTGATATTTTCTTTTAGTTTTGAGGGGGTGGGGAGCGGCAAGGAGGACAGGGTCTTACTTTGTTGGCTAGGCTGGAATGCAGTGGCGCAAACAGCTCATTGCAGCCTCCACTTCCTGGGCTCAACTGACCCTCTCACCGTGGCCCCAAGTTGCTGGGACTACAGCATGCATCACCATGCCCAGCTAATTTTAAAAATATTTTGGGCCGGGCGCGGTGGCTCACACCTGTAATCCCAGCACTTTGGGAGGCCGAGGCGGGTGGATCACGAGGTCAGGGGTTCGAGACCAGCCTGACCAACATGGTGAAACCCCGTCTCTACTAAAAATAAGAATATTAGCTGGGCATGGTGGCGGGCACCTGTAGTTCTAGCTACTCAGGAGGCTTAGGCGGGAGAATTGCTTGAACCCGGGAGGCAGAAGTTGCAGTGAGCCAAGATCGCGCCACTGCACTCCAGGCTGGGCAACAGAGCGAGACTCCGTCTCAAAAAATAAAATAAAAAATATATATTTTCTAGAGATGGCATCTCTCTGTGTCCAGGCTGGTCTTGAACTCTGGCCTCAAGCAATCCTCCTGCCTCAGCCTCCCAAAGTGCTGGGATTATAGGCATGAGCCACCACACATAGACCACAATTTTTAAACACATAAGAATAGATGTACCCATCACCTAGCAAGTATGTATGTCTTCATGAGGGCTGGGCCTGGCACGGTGGCTTATACCTGTAATCCCAACCCTTTCAGAGGCTGAGGCAAGAGGATCTCTTGAAGCCAGGAGTTCAAGACCACCCTAGGCAACATAGTGAGATCCTGTCTACAAAATTAAGTAGCTGGGTGTGATGGTGTTCTCCTGTAGTCCTAGCTACTTGGGAGGTTAAGATAAGAGAATAACTTAAGCCCAAAGTTCACTGGTTACATTGAGCTATGATCACTGAGTCTGGGACACATAGTTGAGACCCTGTATTTTTTAAAAGAAGAAGCCAGGTGAGATGGCTCACACATGTAATCCTAGCACTTTGGGAGGCTGAGGTGGGAGGATTACTTGAGGCTGGAAGTTTGAGACCAGCATGGGCAACATAGTGAGACTCTGCCTCTACAAAAAAAAAATTATGTAAGAAACTTTTGGTCAGGTGTGGTGGCTCATACTTATAATCCTAGCACTTTGGGAGAACGAGGTGGGCGGATTGCCTGAGCTCAGGGGTTCAAGACCAGCCTGGGCAACATGGTGAAACCCTGTCTCTACTAAAATACAAAAAAAATTAGCCGGTGTTGTGGTGTGTGCCTGTAGTCCCAGCTACTCTGGAGGCTGAGGCAGGAGAATTGCCTGAACCTGGGAGGCAGAGGTTGCAGTGAGCTGAGATCCCGCCAGTGCACTCCAGCCTGGGCGACAGAGCGAGACTCCGTCTCTAAAAAAAAAAAAAACTTTTCAATTTGGGAGGCCAAGGCGGGGGAATCATGAGGTCAGGAGATCGAGACCATCCTGGCTAACACAGTGAAACCCCATCTACTAAAAATACAAAAAAATCAGCTGGGCATGGTGGTGGGCAGAGAATGGCGTGAACCCGGGAGGCGAAGCTTGCAGTGAGCCAAGATTGCGCCACTGCACTCCAGCCTGGGCAACAGAGTGAGACTCCATCTCAAAAAAAAAAAAAAAAAAAACCTTTTTGGCCAGGCACAGTGGCTCATGCCTGTAATCCCAGCACTTTGGGAGGTCGAGGTGGGCGGATCACCTGAGGTCAGGAGTTTGAGACCAGCCTCAACATGGAGAAACCCCATCTCTACTAAAAATAAAAAAAAAATTAGCCAGGCATAGTGGTGCATGCCTGTAATCCCAGCTACTCGGGAGGCTGAGGCAAGAGAATTGCTTGAACCTGGGAGGTGGAGGTTGCGGTGAGCTGAGATCGCGCCATAAAAAAAACTTTAAAAAGAAAAAACCAGGCGAGGTGGTTCACAACCCGTAATCCCAGCACTTTGGGAGGCCGAGGTGGGTGGATCACGTGAGGTAAGGAGTTTGAGACCAGCCTGGCCAACATGGCAAAACCTCTCTAAAATTAGGTGGGTGTGGTGGTGGGTACCTGTATCCCAGCTACTCGGGAGGCTGAGGCACAAGAATGGCTTGAACAAAACCTCTCTAAAATTAGGTGGGCGTGGTGGTGGGTACCTGTATCCCAGCTACTCGGGAGGCTGAGGCACGAGAATGGCTTGAACTAGGGACGTGGAGGTTGCAGTGAGCTGAGATTGCACTATTGCACTCCAGTCTGGGTGAGAGACAGAGACTCCATCTCAAAAAAATAAAAATTAAAAAAAAAATTTATTTTTCAAAAGACAGGGTTTTGGCCGGGCTTTGTGGCTCACACCTGTAATCCCAGCACTTTGGGAGGCTGAGGCAGGTGGATCACCTGAGGTCAGGAGTTCGAGACCAGCCTGGCCAACATGGCAAAACCCTGTCTCTACTAAAAGTACAAAAATTAGCTGGGCGTGGTGTCACGCGCCTGTAATCCCAGCTACTCAGGAGGCTGAGGCAGGAGAATTGCTTGAACCCAGGAGGTGGAGGTTGCAGTGAACCGAGATCACGCCACTGCACTCCAGCCTGGGTGACAACAGTGAGACTCCATCTCAAAAAGAAAAAAAAAAGAAAAGGTAAAAACCAGAACAAATGCTGTGGTGTTTAGGTATTGGTATGCACACACACACAAAAAAGACAGGGTCTTGCTCTGTTGCCTAAGTTGGGAGTGCAGTGGCAACATCATAGCTCACTGCAGCCTCGAACTGGGCTAAAGAGATCCTCCTACCTCAGCTTCCCATAGCTAGGACTTACAGGTACATGTCACCATGCCTGGCTAATTTTTTAAAAAGGGAATGAGGGCCAGGCGTGGTGGTTCACTGCTGTAATCCCAGCACTTTGGGAGGCCAAGGCAGATAGGTCACTTAAGGTCAGGAGTTTGAGACCAGCCTGGCCAGGCCAACATGATGTATCCCGATCTCTTTTTTTTTTTTTGAGATGGAGTCTTGCTCTGTCACCCAGGCTGGAGTGCAGTGTCGCGATCTCGGCTCACTGCAAGCTCTGCCTCCTGGGTTCATGCAATTCTCCTGCCTCAGCCTCCAGAGTAGCTGGGACTTACAGGCACCCGCTACCACACCCGGCTAATTTTTTGTGTTTTTTTTTAGTAGAGACGGGGTTTCACTGTGTTAGCCAGGGTGGTCTCAATCTCCTGACCTCGTGATCCACCCACCTTGGCCTCCCAAAGTGCTGGTATTACAGGGGTGAGCCACCGCGCCTGGCCCCAAATCTCATTTCAAATTGTAATCCCCAGGTGTCAAAGGAGGGACCTGGTGGGAGATGACTGGATCATGGGGGTGGTTTCCCCCATGCTATTCACATGATAGTGAATGAGTTCTCATGAGATCTGATGGTTTAAAAGATTTTGACAGTCCCCCCCCATCTCATTGCCAGCTCCTCTCTGACCCCGCTGCTGCTATGTGTGGGGAAAAGAAAGAGGGATCAGATTGTTACTGTGTCTGTGTAGAAAGAAGTAGACATAGGAGACTCCATTTTGTTCTGTACTAAGAAAAATTCTTCTGCCTTGAGATGCTGTTAATCTGTAACCTTACCCCCAACCCTGTGCTCTCTGAAACATGTGCTGTGTCAACTCAGGGTTAAATGGATTAAGGGCTGTGCAAGATGTGCTTTGTTAAACAGATGCTTGAAGGCAGCATGCTCCTTAAGAGTCATCACCACTCCCTAATCTCAAGTACCCAGGCAAACACTGCGGAAGGCTTCAGGGACCTCTGCCTAGGAAAGCCAGGTATTGTCCAAGGTTTCTCCCCATGTGATAGTCTGAAATATGGCCTCGTGGGAAGGGAGAGACCTGACCATCCCCCAGCCCGACACCCGTAAAGGGTCTGTGCTGAGGAGAATTAGTAAAAGAGGAGGGAATGCCTCTTTGCAGTTGAGACAAGAGGAAGGCATCTCTCTCCTGCGCGTCCCTGGGCAATGGAATGTCTCAGTGTAAAACCCAATTGTATATTCCATCTACTGAGATAGGGGAAAACCGCCTCAGGGGTGGAGGTGGGACATGCGGTGGGCAATACTGCTCTTTAAGGCATTGAGATGTTTATGTGTATGCATATCTAAAGCACAGCACTTAATTCTTTACCTTGTCTATGATGCAGAGACCTTTGTTCACCTGTTTATCTGCTGACCTTCTCTCCACTATTATCCTATGACCCTGCCACATCCCCCTCTCTGAGAGAGAAACACCCAAGAATGATCAATAAATACTAAGGGAACTCAGAGGCTGGCAGGATCCTCCATATGCTGAACGCTGGTCCCCTGGGCCCCCTTATTTCTTTCTCTATACTTTGTCTCCGTGTCTTTTTCTTTTCCAAGTCTCTTGTTCCACCTAACGAGAAACACACACAGGTGTGGAGGGGCAACCCGCCCCTTCAGCTATGTAAGATGTATCTTGTTTCCCCTTTGCCTTCCCACATGATTGAAAGTTCCTGAGGCCTTCCCAGCCATGTGGAACTGAGTTAATTAAGCCTCTTGTGTTTATAAATTACTCAGTCTCAAGTAGGTTTTTTGCGAAGAGGCGCGGTGGTTCACGCTTGTAATCCAGCCTGGGCAACAGAGTGAAACACTGTCTTGAAAAAAAAAAAAAAATTCAAATGTACACCAAGGGTGAAATTTTGCAGTGAACATCCCTAAACCCATCACCCAGATTTTAGTAAATGTTTACTGATTGGTTTGGCTCTGTGTCCCCCGCCAAATCTCATCTTGTAGCTGCCATAATTCCCATGCGTTGTGGGAGGGACCTGGTGGGAGATGATTGAATCAGTGGGGCAGGTCCTTCTTGTGTTGTTCTTGTGATAGCGAATGGGTCTCACGAGATCTGATGGTTTTAAAAACAGGAGTTTCCCTGCACAAGCCCTTTTTGCATGCTGCCATCCACGTAAGATGTGACTTGCACTGTACTACAATAAGTAAGAGTAAGACTCTGTCCAGGAAAAAAAAAAAAGAAAAGAAAAAAGAAAGAAATGCCTAAGATGGCCGGGTGCGGTGGCTCATGCCTGTAATCCCAGCACTTTGGGAGGCCAAGGCGGGTGGATCGCGAGGTCAAGAGATCAAGACCATCCTGGCTAACACGGTGAAAACCCATCTCTACTAAAAATACAAAAAATTCGCCGGGTGTGGTGGCAGGCGCCTGTAGTCCCAGCTACTCAGGAGGCTGAGGCAGGAGAATGGCGTGAAGCCGGGAGGCAGAGCTTGCAGTGAGCCGAGATCGTGCCACTGCACTCCAGCCTGGGCAATAGAACGAGACTCCAGCTAAAAAAAAAAAAAAAGAAATGCCTGAGACTGGGTAATTTATAAAGAAAAGAGGTTTAATTGGCTCACAGTTCTGCAGGCAAGCATGGGTGGGGAGGCCTCAGGAAACTTACAATCATGGCGGAAGGTGAAGGGGAAGCAGGCTCATCTTACATGGCTGGAGCAGGAGGGATAGAGAGAAGGGGGAGGTGGTATACACTTTTTGTTTTGTTTTGTTTTCAGATGGAGTCTCACTCTGTCGCCCAGGCAGGAGTGCAATGGTGAGATCACGGCTCACTGCAGTCTCCACCTCCTGGGTTCAAGCCTCAGCCTTCCGAGTAACTGGGACTACAGGCACATGCCACCATGCCCGGCTAAATTTTTTTTTTTTTTTTTGTATTTTTAGTAGAGATGGGGTTTCACCTTATTGGCCAGGCTGGTCTCGAACTCCTGACCTCATGACCCACCTGCCTCGGCCTCCCAAAGTGCTGGGATTACAGGCGTAAGCCACCACAACCAGCTGGTGCTATACACTTTTAAACAACTTGATATGAGATTTGGGCAGGGATGCAGATCCAAACCACGTAAGG
The DNA here is from genome assembly GCF_000001405.40 of Homo sapiens. Lineage (NCBI taxonomy): Eukaryota > Metazoa > Chordata > Mammalia > Primates > Hominidae > Homo > Homo sapiens. Next base: position 46,322,710 of record NC_000001.11, read on the forward strand.
TTTTAAAATGGTTAACAGAAAAATGGCTTAAAATTTTAATTGGCTTTATATGGCATTAAATTTAATTAATTAATTAATTTCTCTTTCCCCTCCCTGCCCTCTTTTATGGCATTTTAGTTCCCAGAAGTGGTCTACATAAAACTGTCAAAAGTAAAAAAGTTAAATACATATAAATAAATATTTGTGGGTGTGCTTTTTGTGTGGCTTAAAATCTTAAACTGGAGCAGGATTGGCCGGGCACAGTGGGTCATGCCTGTAATCCCGGCACTTTGGGAGGCCGAGGCGGGTGGATCATGAGGTCAGGAGATCGAGACTATCCTGGCTAACAGGGTGAAACCCCGTCTTTACTAAAAATACAAAAAATTAGCTGGGTGTGGTACCATGCACCTGTAATCCCAGCTACTCAGGAGGCTGAGGCAGGAGAATCCCTTGAACTCAGGAGGCAGAGATTGCAGTGAGTCGAGGTTGCGCCATTGCCTGGGTGACAGAGCAAGACTCCATCTCAAACAAAACAAAACAAATAAACTGGGGCATGATTTCTGGATTCCTAGATTTTCACTAAAATTTATGTTTGTTAAGAATTTAAGGTAACATGTAATTCTGTATATAAAATATGCCAAAAGATGGTGCTCTTATTAATTTTTTCTTTTGGCCAATTTGGGTATTATTTAAAGAGAAGTTTAAAATAAGAAACTGGGCCAGGTGCAGTGGTTCACACGTGTAATTCCAGTACTTTGGGAGGCCAAGGCAGAGGATCAATTGAGCACAGGAGTTTGAGACCAGCCTGGGCAACATAGGGAGACCCTATCCCTAAACAAACAAAAAAATGAGCAGGGCGTGGTGGTACATGCCTGTGGACCCAGCTATTCGTGAGACTTAGGTGAGAAGATTGCTTGAGCCTGGGAGGTTGAGGCTGCAGTGAGCTATGATTGCTCCAGTTTGGGCAACAGACTGAAACCTTGTCTCAAAAAATTAAAAAATGAAAAAGAAACCAGTAAGTAGGAGAAAGAGATATAAAGAAAGATATAGGCCGGGTGCGGTGGCTCACGCCTGTAATCCCAGCACTTTGGGAGGCCGAGGCGGGCGGATCACCTGAGGTCAGAAGTTCGGGACCAGCCTGACCAATATGATAAAACCCTGTCTGTACTAAAAACACAAAAATTAGCTGGGCGTGGTGGTATATGCGCCTGTAATCCCAGCTACTCGGGAGGCTGAGACAGGAGAATCGCTTGAACTCGGGAGGCGGAGGCTGTGGTGAGCTGAGGTTGCACCATTGCACTCCAGCCTGGGCAACAATAGTGAAACTCCGTCTTAAAAAAAGAAAGAAGGAAAGAAAGAGAGAGAGAAAGAAAGAAAGATACAGAAATAAAGATGTATTTTTAATTTTAAAAATATAGGCCGAGGCCGGGCGTGGTGGCTCACGCCTATAATCCCAGCACTTTGAGAGGCTGAGGCAGGCGGATCATGCGGTTAAGAAATCGAGACCATCCTGGCCAACATTGTGAAACCCTGTCTCTACTAAAAACACAAACATATTAGCTGAGCGTGGTGGTGTGCGCCTGTAGTCCCGGCTACTCCGGAGGCTGAGGCAGGAGAATCGCTTGAACCCGGGAGGTGGAGGTTGCAGTGAGCCGAGATCTGTGCCACTACACTCTAGTCTGGCAACAGAGCGAGACTCTGACTCAAAAAAATAAAAAATAAAAAATACACACACACACACACACACACACACACACACACACACACGAGTAATTTTACATGAGGTAAAATCTTATGTGGTAAATTCTTGTCCTAGAGTGAAATGACTGGTTATTTATTTTATTTTATTTATTTATTTAGTTTTATTTTTTGAGATGGAGTCTCGCTCTGTCACCCAGGCTGGAGTGCAGTGGCACGACCTCGGCTCACTGCAAGCTCCGTCTCCTGGGTTCACGCCATTCTCCTTCCTCAGCCTCCCGAGTAGCTGGGACTACAGGCGCCCGCCACTGCGCCCGGCTAATTTTTTGTATTTTTAGTAGAGATGGGGTTTCACCATGTTAGCCAGGGAGGTCTCAATCTCTTGACCTCGTGATCCACCCACCTCAGCTTCCCAAAGTGCTCAGATTACAGGAGTGAGCCACCGCACCTGGCCTATTTTATTTTATTTTTGAGATGGAGTTTTCCTCTTGTTGCCCAGGCTGTAGTGCAATGGCACGATCTCGGCTCACCAAAACCTCCGCCTCCCGGGTTCAAGTGATTCTCCTGCCTCAGCCTCCCGAGTAGCTGGGATTACAGGCATGCGCCACCACACCCGACCGATTTTGTACTTTTTAGTAAAGACGGGGTTTCTCCATGTTGGTCAGGCTGGTCTTGAACTCCCGACCTCAGGTGATTCACCTGCCTTGGCATCCCAAAGTGTTGGGACTACAGGCGCCCACCACCACGCTGACTAATTTTTTTGTATTTTTTTAGTAGATACAGGGTTTCACCGTGTTAGCCAGGATGGTCTCGATCTCCTGACCTCGTGATCTGCCCTTCTTGGTCTTCCAAAGTGCTGGGATTACAGGCGTGAGCCACCGTGCCCGGGTGATAAGTTCTTAAAAGAAACAGGTTATAGTATTGAAAAGCAAAATTTCTTGTAATTTTTTTTTTTTGAGACAGAGTCTCACTCTGTCCCCCTACCCCGAGAATCAATTACAACCAAAATAAAAGAGCCTTTAATAGGTATTGTTAAGTACCCCCAACTACTATTAACCTTTAGGAAATCACTAGCTGGGTACACCTGTCCAATATTAAACCTGTTTCTTATGAGTCCCTGTAGGAGTAAAAGGAGGACATCATGACCTACACTTGTGAACTTGTAGCAGGATGAGCCGCAGACAAAACCTCTCAGACACCGAGTTGTAGAAGGAAGGGCTTTATTCAGCTGGGAGCATCGGCAAGCTACTGCCTTAAAATCCGAACTCCCCAAGAGAGCAATTCCTGTCCCTTTTAAGGGCTCACAACTCTAAGGATTTCACATGAAAGGGTCGTGATTGATTTGGAGCAAGCAAGGGGTACGTGACAGGGGCTGCATGCACCGGTGGTCAGAGAGAAACAGAACAGGGCAGGGAGTTTCACAATGTTCTTCTGCACAATGTCTGGAATCTATGAATAACATCGGTTTTTAAGTTATGAGTTGATTTTTAACTACTGGGTTTAGGCCAGGCAGGCCCAGGCTTGGTTTCGGGCCTGGCGCTGGGCTGCCTGTCTTTGGTTTTACTTCCTTGTTTTTTTTTTTTTTTTTTCTTAAAATAGGTACTGAGTATAAAACAATATAAAACAATATGAGAAGGTCTCTCTCTCCCCTCATTTCCCCCCTTTGAGACTCTCACTTTCTATTAGTGGGAGTTCTGACTTTTATTTTTGCTACTTATGTCTTTTTGTGCAATAGATTGATAGTGATTTATATAGTACACTTGTGCTAAAGCATTTTGGTGAACTAAGATAGTGATGAAGCTTTTTATCATTTGAAGAAGTACAGGTAGCAAACAAGGAAGCAGTAAACAGGTTCTTATTACTATTATAAATTCTATTATAAGAGTTTTAAATCCTTCTAGTGCTGGGAACTAATTTTTAAACATGGCTTCAGGATCGAATTCATGCTACACTTGCATGGGCACATGTGTCAGTTTTGTCATATTTTTAACTATGTCTTTAACTACTTGCCTTTGATTATCTATGTGTAGACAGTAATTAGTAAGGTTAAATTTCTTATAGACCTCTCTTTCAGCTGCTAGCAAGTAGTTGAGAGCCAATCTATTTTGATAGATAGCATTTCTTATCTGAGTTTCTTGCTGGGCCAGAATAGTCAAGGCTTGACTGGTTTTACTAGTGATGATTTCTAAAACAGCTTGCAGCTGTATGATTCAGTTGAGCATGTAAGTGGGGGTCCAGTATCCCCATGAGCCGTCTTGTGTCTAAGTGGCAGGCCTATAGTATTATATAATTTTTTTTTGAAGGTCATTTATCATCTTTCCAATTTCCTATGGCTATGCTTCATTTTCCGCGGGAAGCATAGACAGGGAAGCCCAGGAGTTTGCCTGTTTTTATGGTCAGTAGAAAGAAAGATGGTTTAATAGTGCCAATAACACAACTACCTGTCCACTGGTCAGGCAGCTTAGCTTAAGCTCTATGTCTACGTATTCAGTATAACTTGGTGGGGGCAGTCCAGTCCCGGTGGAATTCCAGGTGGGCCCAGACAGTCTGCAACCTTGGAAATTTACTGAATGGATCTCTTTCTATATAATTGGAACTTCACCATGTAACTGTTTTTTTGCGGTACCATTATACAGTTCTTGGCCCAAACAACTAAGACATCCTATAGAATGAGTGAATTCTTTCTTTTTTCTAGCTATGTAATATTGTCCAATAATTGAGACTTTTAGAACCTAGAGATGATCAGGGTGATTCTTGTGGGCCAGGAATTCATCAGGAACTGCGTCTGTAGGCACTAATTCTTGGGCTTTTTATGGCCATTGAGCTCTTATTACAGTTTTTTCACAAACATAACATGAAGTGACATTTAGAGACTGGGCTACACGCTCGGCTAATTGCAAAAACAAATTTCTGGTTTTTCCTGGAGTCTCTTGGTACTGGCAAATTTAGTTCATCATAGAAAGTCTGAAATACTGGTTCCAGAGAGAGTTTACAAAACTCCTCTTTTACTAAGATATTTGCTGTAGGACCTAGTCTTTTCCTATTGATGCCCAGAGATACGTGTTCTCCTTTTTTCTACCTTGGGTTTAAGGGATTTGTAATTATTAATTTCAAGGGGTTCCAATGTCCACTCGTATAGGAGGGGCTGCATTCTCCTTTTTGGAGCTAAACAGGATCTTTTTCATCCTTTTTCTAAGTAGTCTAGATGACACAAGACCAGTAATTACACACATTTGCACATGAGCTTAATTCATGGCAGATATACTTATTTCCTGCCGTGTAAACTTTTTTTTTTTCAACTTAAAGAACTGCATCTTATTTTATGCCAATTACTATTGATAGTGGCACAAGCATTAAATTTTAGGGTTATATGCTTGGAGACCCCTCTTTCTTCTGTCCTAGCTATTACTTTACTTGTGTCGCCTAGAAAAGGACCAGTCATTAATTTTATTTTAAAAACTGATCATGGGAGGCTTAAAATGGGTCATAACACGCATCAGGTTGGTTATTTCCTGGGCTACATACCTTGGATAGAATTGCATTATACAAACAACTTTTAGAGTCCTGGTACACTTATAATAACCATAAAATAATAAGACTTTAGCAATCTTTTGTCCCTCAGTGACTTGATGTATATACTGGGAACAGCCCTCAGTCTTAGGAAGGTCAGTTGAAGTCCTTACAATACAAGTCCAAATTTTAAGGAAAATGAGTCCCCTGCTATGAGTTTCCTCATGCTTCAGCTGTGTGTGGACCAGTCAGCTTCCGGGTATGACTGGAGCAGGGCTTGTCGTCTTCTTCAGAGTCACTTTGCAGGGGTTGGCGAAGCTGCTCCCATCCGCGTACAGCTCCCAGTCTACTGCTGTTTAAGGATGGTCTCGGAGTTTGGGCCCACTAGAATAAACTGAGTCCAATACTTCTACACAGTTATGTTTAACTGGGCTCTCTGATACAAGATGCCCAGCAAGATGGCGGGGTTTAGGGTGTTGCAAACTTCAATGGTTATGCAGGGATTTTCACAGAGCAAGCTTTGGTATCTAGTTAGTCCAGCATTCATTAGTTAATGGTGTCCTTTGGTATTTATTAAAATCACCACAGCATGGGGGGACTTTAGGTTTTGCCTAAGAGTTAGCTTATTTGCTTCTTGTGCTAACAGGGCCGTTGCTGCCAGGGCCCTTGGACGTGGGGCCAGCCTTTGGAAACCCCGTCTAGTTGCTTTGAGAGATAGGCCACTGGCCTTGGCCAGGGCCCTACAGTCTGGGTTAAAACTCTAACTGCCATTTTTTCTCTTTCTGACACATAGAGTGTAAAGAGTTTTGTCAGGTCAGATAGCCTCAGGGCTGGGCCCAAAAGGAGTTTTTTTTTAACTCATGTAAAGCTCATTGTAATAGATGTAGTTTTTCTAATCTACATTTTTATTGACTGTCATCTATCAAAATATTGACTTAAATCCTGTAACTATTTGATTTCAAGCTTTAAATTGATCTGGTATTCCTTGCGGGGCTCCAGTTGCATCTAAATAGATGTGAGAGTTGAAAGACCTATAAGGAGCTTCTCTCGCTTTATGATGTCTTATTTTTTTTTTTTCCTCTGGTTGATGAAATGCCAGGGTAAAAGGGATAGCCAAATGGACTAAAGCACAAGTGCCACTCTAGTTATTCAGCAGAGTGCCCAGTAAAGGTCCACCACAATACCACCATACATCCACTCGGGGATGAACAGAGGCTGACTGATTGATAAGCTCTTGAAAATTCTTAAGCTCACTGCATCCCTTCAGGTCTCCAAGGAATGCTAAATCTCCTCCCTGCCATGAGAGACAAGAAGTGAACTTAGTGTTGGGAGACATAAGTTGGATGGCCCTCCGGGGCTGACCCGCAGGGACTTCAGGATATAGCAGAGAGAGCTTGGCATGACTTATCACTCCAGGCTGTAGAATCCTGGAAAAGAGCTACCATGCAGCCCACGCCTGGTCGACTGGAGGACCACCTTAGTGGAAGGGGGACAATCAGGGCCTCTGGCCTGCCACGTGCACAAGCATAACAATTGCTTTTGTTTAACGTGCAGATGGAATATATGATCCATTTCAACCAGGCATTTGCATCTTGGTATGCCGTCTTAATTGCCAAAGTTTGTTTTAAGTCTTTAACTTGTATGGTCCTCTAGTAAAATGAATGTTTCCTTTAGCACCTATTTTTATTAGTTTTTAGACCAAAGAAAGCTAAACATTATTTTATATTTAATAATGTTTCTTGTATGATTTTTATACCAGATAAGTTAAATTTTACCTTTATATTAGTGTGTTGTTAATGTTAAACTTAATTTTAATAAAACCTTGTAGACATATTTATCCAATTTTTTATGTTTGACCAATTTTTTATGCTTGAAGGCGGCATGCTCATTAAGAGTCATCACCACTCCCTAATCTCAAGTACCCAGGGACACAAACACTGCAGAAGGCCTCAGGGACCTCTGCCTAGGAAAGCCAGGTATTGTCCAAGGTTTCTCCCCATGTGATAGTCTGAAATATGGCCTCGTGGGAAGGGAAAGACCTGACCATCCCCCAGCCCGACACCCGTAAAGGTTCTGTGCTGAGGAGAATTAGTAAAAGAGGAAGGAATGCCTCTTTGCAGTTGAGACAAGAGGAAGGCATCTATCTCCTGCGCGTCCCTGGGCAATGGAATGTCTCAGTGTAAAACCCAATTGTATATTCCATCTACTGAGATAGGGGAAAACCGCCTCAGGGGTGGAGGTGGGACATGCGGTGGGCAATACTGCTCTTTAAGGCATTGAGATGTTTATGTGTATGCATATCTAAAGCACAGCACTTAATTCTTTACCTTGTTCATGATGCAGAGAGCTTTGTTCACGTGTTTACCTGCTGACCTTCTCTCCACTATTATCCTATGACCCTGCCACATCCCCCTCTCTGAGAGAGAAACACCCAATAATGATCAATAAATACTAAGGGAACTTAGAGTCCGGCGGGATCCTCCGTATGCTGAACGCTGGTCCCCTGGGCCCCCTTATTTCTTTCTCTATACTTTGTCTCCATGTCTTTTTCTTTTCCAAGTCTCTCGTTCCACCTAACAAGAAACACCCAAAGGTGTGGAGGGGCAACCCACCCCTTCATTTTTTGTTTACAACTTTTGGAGACAATTTTTCAACATGTCTCAACTTTCTGACTTATTACAAACTTTTTTTCTTTAAACAAACAGTTAATTTATTTCAGGACAAGAATTTACCATATAACACTCTTTTTACATAAATTTTGCCTGCCCCCCTTTTTTTTTCTTTTTTTGAAGATAACCATTCCTTATGTCTTTGGACTAGACTGTCCAAGGCCACAAGATTAGAAGTTACCATAATACATGTTACACTGTTAACTTTTAGCAAACGTCACTTTTGTTGAAAACCTTGTAAGTTTGGGATTTCAATTATCCTTTGCTATTAATAAGACCTTGTTTAGTCTAAATTAACTTAGAATTGGTATAGATGGCCTCTTTTTCTCTCTGCTGGTCTTTCCTTGCCTCTGCCAGCCATTTATGCCGCTATTCTTTTTTTTGAGATGGAGTCTTGCTCTGTCGCCCGGGCTAGAGTGCAGTGGTGCGATCTCAGCTCACTGCAAGCTCCGCCTCCTAGGTTCATGCCATTCTCCTGCCTCAGCCTCCCCAGCAGCTGGGACTACAGGTGCCTGCCACCACGCCCAGCTAATTTTTTTTTTTTGTATTTTTAGTAGAGACGGGGTTTCACCGTGTTAGCCAGGATGGTCTCGATCTCCTGACCTTGTGATCCGCCCGCCTCGGCCTCCCAAAGTGCTGGGATTACAGGTTTGAGCCACCGTGCCCGGCCATTATGCTGCTATTCTCTTGACTGCTGTGGGGGGGAAGGGGGTCTAAAACCAGCTGTAACTGTCTATGTACAGAAACTGGTCTGGGTGCCTTGGCTTACAGGTGGCCTTCTGTCATACCTTTGAAACAACGGACCTGTCCAGGCCAACCCACCTCTAATGCTGTCCAGTCTATTTCACACAAAGTTTTAAGTTTTCCTGGTGCCACAGTAACACCGTAATCTCCCTTAAATTCTCTCTTGAAATTCTCTTTTTAACATAGTTCCTAGTGGGGTGGGCTTATTTGCCTGACCCATGCTGCTTTTTTTTTTTGATACAAAATACCATGCTCACATCACACACACTCACCACAAGACAAAGAACAGGTAAAAAGGGCACACATACACTTTTACCGTTTATACCAAACCAAAATCACGAAATTCAAAATCCGAGTACCAAAAAATCCAAGACAAGTCAAAACCAAAACCAAAGTATCCAGCAATTCAAGTCAAGTTAAAACCAGAACAAAAGTGCCAATGCAGACCCGCCATGGGTGATCAGGCCATGCTTCCACTCAGATGGAGTGGGGCAAGTTCCAAAGACTAGTCTTACCAAGTTTCAGATGTCCGGACTCCAAGTGCCAGTTCCTTCCTGGTGTTCAGCCACTGTGTTAATCCTCTGTGGGGGCCTGCTACATGCTGCTCTGGCGACGCGTTCCACTGGGGCAATTGCCTACCCGGGAGCACTCTTTGGATCGCGTCACTCAAGCTGTCTGGAGTCCCCCACAGGGACGCTCCACAGGGCAGGTTTAAGCCGGCCGTCAGTCACCTCGCTTCCCGGTCAGGGAACCAAGAAATGTAGCAGGACAAGCCGCAGACAAAAACCTCTCAGACACCGAGTTGTAGAAGGAAGGGCTTTATTCATCTGGGAGCATCGGCAAGCTACTGCCTTAAAATCCGAACTCCCCGAGTGAGCAATTCCTGTCCCTTTTAAGGGCTCACAACTCTAAGGATTTCACATGAAAGGGTCGTGATTGATTTGAGCAAGCAAGGAGTACGTGACAGGGGCTGCATGCACCGGTGCTCAGAGAGAAACAGAACAGGGCAGGGAGTTTCACAGTGTTCTTCTATACAATGTCTGGAATCTATGAATAACATCGGTTTTTAAGTTATGAGTTGATTTTTAACTACTGGGTTTAGGTCAGGCAGGCCAGGGCCTGGTTTCGGGCCTGGCGCCGGGCTGCCTGTCTTTGGTTTTACTTCCTTGTTTTTTTTTTTTTTTCTTAAAACAGGTACTGAGTATAAAACAATATAAAACCATATGAGAAGTTCTCTCTCTTCCCTCAAACTCTTATAAGACTTAAAGTTGTGGCCGGGCACGGTGGCTCATGCCTGTAATCCCAGCACTTTGGGAGGCCGAGACGGGCGGATCACGAGGTCAGGAGATTGAGACTATCCCGGCTAACACAGTGAAACCCCGTCTCTACTAAAAATACAAAAAATTAGCTGGGCGTGTTGGCGGGCGCCTGTAGTCCCAGCTACTCGGGAGGCTGAGGCAGGAGAATGGCGTGAACCCGGGAGGCGGAGCTTGCAGTGAGCTGAGATCGCGCCACTGCACTCCAGCCTGGGGGACAGAGCGAGACTCCGTCTCAAAAAAAAAAAAAGTTGTTATTTCACAAACACAAAACTAAATAATATTACAAGGCTGAGTATGTGCAGTATTAAACTATATTTGTTATTCTCACCTGGTTTTTACCTTTCCTAAGACTTTTAAATAGCGATTCTATTATTACTAATTTTTGGCCCTTGCTTGTTTAACCTCCTAGTAACATTTGTGTCTTCTAGACTACAATAATTCCACATGAAAACAATGCTGGCACAAGACTTCTAACCCATCCCATCTTCTGACTTAGAAAATAAAAACAAGCAGCTATTAGACCCATCAGATTAGGTATCCAGAGATTGTCACTCCTCCAATGCTAGGCAGGGCCTATGACCATAAAATTAGCAGAAAACAGCTACAGAAGATGGCCCTCTTCCCTTCTGCAGCCCATTTAAGGTCTTTTTAAAGAGAGAGTCTCACTCTGTCCCCCAGGCTGGAGCGCAGTGGTGCTATCTTGGCCCACTGCAACCTCCTCCCGAGTTCAAATGATTCTCCTGCCTCAGCCTCCTGAGTAGCCTGGACCACAGGCCTGTGCCCCACGCCCAGCTAATTTTTGTATTTTTAATACAGATGGGGTTTCATTATGATGGCCAGGCTGGTCTCGAACCCCCGGCCTCAAGTGATCTACCTGCTTTGGCCTCCCAAAGTGCTGGGATTACAGGCCTAAGCCACCACACCTGGCCGCCCCTTTAAGATTAAGGAGGAGTATCTAATCTCTGAGGGGGAATGAAGTAGGGGACTGGCAGGAATTATTTCCAGCTCCCAAGGTGCCGCTTAGATAAAATGAAGAAACCGGCAGGAACCAGCAGATGGCAACAAAAACCATCCCTAGCTACCCTCACTGGTCATTAGCATAAGATACTTCCTCTGGGGCATATTTACAGATGCTATGGCAATGACCAGGAAGTTACTGCCCCTTTCCTAGAAAGTTAGGAATAACCTGCCCCTCAATTTGCATTAGCCTGCTTCTTAATTTGCATCTAATTAAAAGTGGGTGTAAGTGGCTATAAATACAGTTGCTAACAGGACAAGAGCGGCTCTGGGCACACTGCCTATGAGTTGTCTCTACTCTACAAGGAGTAGCTCCAGTTCAATAAAAATTGCTGTTTGACCACTCATGGTGGCTGATGCCTCCAATAACAGCACTTGGGGAGGCTGAGGCAGGAAGATTGCTTGAGCTCAGGAGCTTGAGACCAGCCTGGGCAACATAATGAGATCTTGTCTCTACAAAAAATACAAAAATTAGCTGGTCATGGTGGTGGGCACCTGTGGTCCCAGCTACTTGGGTAGCTGAGGTGGGAAGCTTGTTTGAGCCCAGTAGGTTGAGACTGCAGTGAATTGGGATTGCACCACTGCACTCTAGCCTGGGTGGCAGAGTGAGACCCTGACTCAAAAAAAAATTGCTGTTTAACACCACCGGCTCACCCTTAAATTCTTTCCTGGGCAAAGCCAAGATCCTTCCCAGACTAAGCCCCAGTTTTGGGGCTCGCCTGCCTGTCTGCATCTAAACCACAGCCCTGCACAAAAACCATCACAACCTTACACAAAATACTACTGTGAAAACATCTGCCCAGTAACTGCCTGTCCAACCTTGGACTGATGCTTGTTATTGACTAACCCTTGTTACTAATTCTTGTAGCAAGGGATAATTGTTCCAAAACAACTTACTATGTGTAACGATTCTCACTTTTCCTTTAACCCCCGCCCCCCCTGCTTTTTTTTTCAGGTCAGGCATAGTGGTTCATGCCTGTAATCCCAACTCTTTGAGTGGCCAAGGCAGGCGGTCCCTTGAGCCCAGGAGTTTGAGACCAGCCTGGGTAAAATGGTGAAACCTCATCTCTACAAAAAATATGAAAATTAGCCAGGTGTGGTGGCTTGTGCCAGTAGTAGTCCCAGCTACTTGGGAGGCTGAGGCAGGAGGATTGATTGAGCCTGGGAGGTTGAGGCTGCAGTGAGCCATGACTGTGCAACTGCGCTCCAGCCTGGGCAACACAATGAGACCCTGTCTCAAAAAAAATTAAAAAACAAAAAACAACTCTTGTTTTCCTTTACCTCCTCATATGCCCGTAGGTTAATATGGTACCATATTCCACATTGCAATGCTTACTCCTGAATTAATTGATTATATTTGGATAATCTCTTTTATTTAGTTTGACAACAGAACTAAGGTAGAAAGAAATCAACTATAAATATAAGAGTGGAAATCAATTACATATAAAAGAAACGGAGGAAAACAACAAAACCGAAAGCTAGTCCTTTGAAAAGTTCAATAAAATATATAAACATCTCATTAGCCTGATAAGGTACAAAAGAGGGAAGACACAAATTGCCAATATCAGTAATAGGGGACATCACTAAGGATCCTATAAACCAAAGGTCAGCAAGCTTTTTCTGTAAAGATTCAGGGAGCATGTTTGGCTTTGTGGGCCACACATGATCTGTGGAGCAACTACTTAACTCTATTGCAGTGGTAAAGGAGCCATAAAAATTATGTATTTATATTTCAAAAACAGGCTGCAGGATGAATTTGGCTTGTGGCTGTAGTTTGCCGCCCCATACTATAGACATTAAAAGGATAATAATGGAATATTCTGAAACACTTTATATGAAGACAATCAATACCTTAGATGAAATGGACACATTCTTTAAAAGACTAAAATTGTTGGGGCTGGGCTTGGTGGCTCATGCCTGTAATTCCAGCACTTTGGGAGGCTGAGGCAGGGGGATCACCTGAGGTTGAAAGTTAGAGACCAGCCTGGGCAATATGGTGAAACCCCGTCTCTACTAAAAATACAAAAATTAGCCGGGTATGGTGGTGCGTACCTGTAATCCCAGCTACTCAGGAGGCTGAGGCACAAGAATCTCGAACCTGGGAGGTGTAGGTTGCAGTGAGCTGAGATTGCACCACTGCACTCCAGCCTGGGTGACAGAGTAAGACTCTGTCTCAAAAAAAGAAAAAAAAAAGATTCAAATTGTCAAAACCAATGCAAGAAGAATTAGAAAGTTCAAATAGCTCTATATTAGGGTTTCTCAACCTCAGCACTGTTGATATTTAGGTTGGATAATTGTTGTGGGGAAGGGCTGTCCTGTGTATTGCAGGGTACTGAGCAGTATCCCTGGCCTCTACTGACTAGATGCCAGAATGACCACCCAGTTGTAACAACCCCAAATGTCTCCAGATGTTACCACATGTCCCCCAAGGGAGGGATAAAATCACCACTGCCCTATATCATTAAAGCAATTGAGCCAGGCACGGTGGCTCATGCCTGTAATCCCAGCACTTTGGGAGGCTGGGGCAGGCAGATCACCTGAGGTCAGGAGTTTGAGACCAGCCTGACCAATATGGAGAAAACCTCGTCTCTACTCAAAATACAAAATTAGCCGGATGTGGTGGCACATGCCCGTAATCCCAGCTGCTCGGGAGGCTGAGGCAGGAGAATTGCTTGAACCTGGGAGGCGGAGGTTGTGATGAGCCAAGATGTGCCATTGCACTCCAGCCTGGGCAACAAGAAGGAAACTCCGTCACAAAAAAAAAAAAAAAAAAAAGGCCAGGCGCAGTGGCTCATGCCTGTAATCCCAGCACTTTGGGAGGCCGAGGCAGGCGGATCACCTGAGGTCAGGAGATCAACACCATCCTGGCTAACATGGTGAAACCCTGTCTCTACTAAAAAATATAAAAAATTAGCCAGGCGTGGTGGTGGGCACCTGTAGTCCCAGCTACTTGGGAGGCTGAGGCAGGAGAATGGTGTGAACCCAGGAGGTGGAGCTTGCAGCGAGCCGAGATGGCACCACTGCACTCCAGCCTGGGCGACAGAGCGAGACTCCTCAAAAAAAGAAAAAAAAAAAAGAAATTGAGAAGTTGGTTAATAGGTACAAAAATATGGTTAGAGAGAAGGAATAAATTCTAGTATTTGATAGTAAAGTAGGGAAATTATAATTATAAATAATTTAGTGTATATTTTAAAATATCTAGAAGAATTATAATGATCCCAACACAAAGATAAATGTTTGTGTTTGAGGTGATGGATATCCCAATCCCTTCATAATTGATCATTATACATCATATACATGTATCAAAATATCACATGTACTCCCAAAATATGTACAATTATTATATATCAATAAAAATCACCAGCCTGACTTTGGGAGGCCGAGGCGGGCGGATCACGAGGTCAGGAGATCGAGACCATCCTGGCTAACACGGTGAAACCCCGTCTCTACTAAAAATACAAAAAATTAGCCGGGCGAGGTGGCGGGCGCCTGTAGTCCCAGCTACTCGGGAGGCTGAGGCAGGAGAATGGCGTGAACCCCCGGGGGCGGAGCCTGCAGTGAGCCGAGATTGCGCCACTGCACTCCAGCCTGGGCGACAGCGAGACTCCGTCTCAAAAAAAAAAAAAAAAAAAAAAAAAAAAAAAAAATCACCAGCCTGGCCAACATGGTGAAACCCTGTCTCTACTAAAAATACAAAAGAAAAAAAAATTAGCCAGGTGCGGTGGCGGGTGCCTGTAATCCTAGCTACTCAGGAGGCTGAGGCAGGAGAATCGCTTGAACCTGGGAGGCGGAGGTTGCAGTGAGCCGAGATCATGCCATTGCACTCCAGCCTGGGCAACAAGAAGGAAACTCCAACTCAAAAAAAGAAAAAATTAAAAAAAAAAAAGAAAATAGAAGTGAAGGGACATTTCCTAAATTCATTTTATGAGGCCAGCATTACCCTGATATCAGAATCAAACAAAGACTTTATAAGAAGAAAAAACTGCAGGCAAATACGACTCATTAACTCAGACCCAAGAATCCCAACAATCTGGGAGGCCGGAGCGGGCGGATCACGAGGTCAGGAGATCGAGACAATCCTGGCTAACACAGTGAAACCCCATCTCTACTAAAAATACAAAAAATTAGCCGGGCGCGGTGGCGGGCGCCTGTAGTCCCAGCTACTCGGGAGGCTGAGGCAGGAGAATGGCGTGAACCCGGGAGGCGGAGCTTGCAGTGAGCAGAAATAGCGCCACTGCACTCCGGCCTGGGTGAAAGAGCAAGGCTCCGTCTCAAAAAAAAAAAAAAACACACACACACACACAAAAAAGAATCCCAACAATATTTAAAAAGAATACTGTATCATCGGCTGGGCGCAGTGGCTCGTACCTGTAATCGCAGCACTTTGGGAGGCCAAGGTGGGTGGATCACCTGAGGTCAGGAGTTCAAGACCAGATTGGCCAACATGGCAAAACCCTGACTCTACTAAAAATATAAAAATTAGCTGGGCGTGGTGGCCTGCACCTGTAGTCTCAGCTACTCAGGAGGCTGAGGCAGAAGAATCGCTTGAACCTGGGAGGCGTGGGTTGCAGTGAGCCAAGATTGTGCCACTGCACTGCAGCCTGGGTGACAGAGCAAGACTCTGTCTAAAAGAAAAAAAATACTGTATTTGTATCATGAATTGATGTGTTTTTTACAAGAATGCAAAGTTGGTTCATATTGAAAAGTCAGTCAACATGATGCATCATAGTAATGGAATAAAGAAGTAAAACTGGCTGGGCGCAGGGGCTCACACCTAATCACAGCACTTTGGGAGGTGGGCGGATCACCTGAGATCAGGAGTTCGAGACCAGCCTGGCCAACACGGTGAAACCCCATCTCTACTAAAAATACAAAAATTAGCCAGGCGTGGTGGTGCATGCCTGTGATAACAGCTACTCAGGAGGCTGAGGCAGAATAATTGCTTGAACCTAGGAGGCGGAGGTTGCAGTGAGCCGAGATGGCACCACTGCACTCCAGCCTGGTGACAGAGCGAAACTCCGTCAAAAAGAAAAAAAAAAAAAAGGAGTAAAACTGTATGATCATCTTAACAGAAAAAAAAAAAAAACTTAAGGAAAATCAACAACTATCATGATTTTTTAAAATCTCAGCAAACTAGGAACAGAAGGGAACTTTCTAAACCTAAGAAAGGACATCTATACACATGCAGGTACACGCACACACAAAACTACAGCTAACATCATATATAATGGTGAAGTACTAAATGCTTTCTTCTTAAGAATGGGAACAAGGCAAGGATGCCTACCATCACCACTTACATTCAACTGTGTACTGGAAGTCCTAGCCAGTGGAATAAAGCAAAGAAAAAAAAAAGGGATATAGATAGAAAAGAAAGAAGTTAAAGTGTCTTTATTTACAAAAGACATGACCATATGCATAGAAAACCTGAACAGATTTCCAAAAAGTTACCAAAAGTAATAATTGAGTTTAGGAAGGTCTCAGGATACAAGGTCAACAGAAAAAATCAATTATATTTTAATATACTAGAATTTTTCTTTTGAGACAGAGTCTCACTCTGTTGCCCAGCCTGGAGTGCAGTGGCATGATCTCAGCTCACTGCAACCTCTGCCTCCTGGTTTCAAGTTATTCTCCTGCCTCGGCCTCCCAAGTAGCTGGGATTACAGGCATGAGCCACCATGCCCAACTAATTTTTGTATTTTTAGTAGAGACTGGGTTTCACCACGTTGGCCTGGCTGGTCTCCAACTCCTGACCTCAGGTGATCCACCCACCTCGGCCTCCCAAGTGCTAGGATTACAGGAATGAGCCACAGTGCCGGCCAGCCTTTTTCTTGAAAAATGAACAAAGTGAGCCTGTCACTTCAAGGAAAATAACTGACAGTATTTGTTGCCAATAAGAAAATTCCAAAATTCCACATTCAAATGCCAAATAAGAAAAAGCTTTCGGCTGGGGGCAGCGTGAGCCACCGCGCCCGGCCAAGTTTTGTATTATTTTTCTTAACTATGTCTTCTCAAATTGCGGAAGCGTTAGGCCCCACAACATTTGACATCACCAGTAGGGATCCAGTGGAGAGGAGGGACATGATCAGAAACTGTGTTTTTAAATGATCATTCAACAGCCAATTATCAGGGTGGGTAGGAGTGAGGCAGGGAGATCAAAAGGCAGGGAGATTGGCTGGGATTACAGGCATTGTTACCAGAAAGGGGTCCCGATCCGGACCCCAAGAGAGGTTCATGGATCTCGCACAAGAAAGAATTCAGGGCGAGTCCGCAATGCAAAGTGAGAGCAAGTTTATTAAAGTACAAGAATAAAAGAATGGATAGTCCATAGATAGAGCAGCTCCAAGGGCTGCTTGCCCATTTTTATGGTTATTTCTTGATGGTACGCTAAACAAGGGGTGGGTTATTCACGCCTCCACTTTTTTTTTTTTTTTTTTTTTTTTTGAGACGGAGTCTCGCTTTGTCGCCCAGGCTGGAGTGCAGTGGCGCGATCTGGGCTCACTGCAAGCTCCGCCTCCCGGGTTCACGCCATCCCTCAGCTTCCCGAGTAGCTGGGACTGCAGGCGCCAGCAACCTCGCCCGGCTAATTTTTTGTATTTTTGGTAGAGACGGGGTTTCACCGTGTTAGCCAGGAGGGTCTCGATCTCCTGACCTCGTGATCTGCTCGCCTCGGCCTCCCAAAGTGCTGGGATTACAGGCGTGAGCCACCACGCCCGGCCAGGTCCCGAAACTTAAGCTTCATTTGTTTCACTGCAAATCTGCTTCTGCCTACAAGCCTGGTCTCATTTTCCTCTACCTAAGGATCTTCCTCCATGCAATTTCGGCCTAGGAGGCCCTTCCCGCCCCTTTTCGCCTAGCTAACTCTTTCGGTACTCAACCACCAACTCCTAATCCTCCCTGGTCCCCCAAGTGGGCTAGGGGCTTCTTGGGAGTCCCTCGCACTGCTCTAAGCATCCAGGCAGAGTCATTATTCCGGGTGCCAGGTTGCTCTTTTTCCAGCAGCCTTCAGGGGACTCCTGGCTGGGCGGAGTCTGTAGAGGCGCGCGGAGTCCTGGGAGAGCGTCAGATGTATTTCCTTTCCCTTTTTTCGCTCGTGTCCCGCCGGGTGGCGCTCACCACCTCCCCGGAACACGCGAGTCTCCTGTCGCGGTTCCGGTCGGAATTACCCCGTGGAGCACGCCGATATGGCTGCGCTGACACTGAGGGGTGTCCGGGAGCTGCTGAAGCGTGTGGACCTCGCGACGGTCCCGCGGAGACATCGATATAAGAAGAAATGGGTAAGGTCCGGCTGGGGGCGCAGGAGGGAAAAGTGAGGGTGGAAACTTCTCCAGTCTTTCCGTTTCCCGGCCCTCTAGAACGCCTAGCGTCTTTCCCAAGCACTCCACGGAACGTCCTTAGGCACCTCCCTCTCTCGTCTTTTCCGTCACCGCCTCTGTCCGCACTCTATGTCCCGAGCGTTAGTGTCTTCCACTTGTTACGTCTGCAGTCTCCTGACTCCGCCCAAGTTGCGTCATCACCTTCGCCTTCATTCTTTTAGTGATGTCACTGTCTCTTGTTCCCCAGCTGTGTCCACCTACCTTTCTGTCCCCCACTCCCCCTTTTACTTCCCTCCCTCCCCTCCCCCTTTCCCTTGCCCATTCTTCCCCCACATGACTTCTCCTTTCCTCATTGATTTTCCAGCCCGGTCGCCCTCACCCCTCGGAAAATACCATAGCGACCTTGCCTGCACTCCTGGGTCTCCGCCGCCTTGCAGGAAAGGATTCAGCCCCTTCCTCAACCTCGAGCTGCCTCTGGCGACCGGGCAAGGTTACAGCGACCACCCTGTCCATACTGCCGGCCCAAACCCTGGCAAAAGGTGCAACGAATCCTCTCATCCTCTGGACTCTCCTTGCTTCTCCAGAGACCCTTTTTCTTGCCTCACTGGAAGCCCTGGAATTTCTTCTATGACCGGCACGCCCCCCTGCCCACCCCAGCCGATTCCCTCGCCACCTCCACCATCTCTTCCACCCCCACAACCTTCCTCGCACTCAGGGAGATGGTCTTTTGAGTCCTCTTCCCCACTCCTGGAAAGGACCTACTGCCGCTAGCCCTGCCACTCGGGTTCCCCACTCTCCAGCCCTTATTTTGAGCAGTTCAGCATTCCGGGGTCACCCCCTCTCTGTCAGCGGACACCTTATTGCAGCTGGATGAGTCCCTCCAGAATGCGGCGTCCCTGTCTTCAAGGCACGTACTGTGACCAGCACACTAATCTCTGTTACTCTAGCGGATGGCCTTCAGCTTTTGGAACCAGCCCGGCAACCTCCTTTCCCCTTGCTCATCAGTCCCCGGGAACGAGCCCAGTGACCTCCCCTCAGCTCACTCATGTACCCTTGGAAACTGGACCCATGATTTCGCCTCCTCCTACACATAGGACCCCGGGAACTTGCCTCACGATTTCACCTCCTCTTGCTCGCCGGCCGGTGGAAACTAGTCCTATGGCCTCCCCAACCCTTTCTCACAGAGTTTTGGAAACTGGGCTGATGATCTCTCTGCCCTCTCACTGGTTCTCAGGGAGAAGTTATAATGACCCCCTTCTCTCCCCAGCATCTTCCCCACCTACTGGCAGCTTTTACCATGGCAGCCTTAAGCCTCTAGACTCTTGTGAACCCAAACCACAGCTTGACCTGCCCCTTGAGAAAAATTGTTGTGGCTTCCCACTCTCTTCTCAGGCAGGCATGCCTGGCTCTCCCAGCTCACCTCAGGAGGGCTCTTATCATTACTCCCATCTTTCCTCAGAGGCCTACATACCTACCCCTGGGAGTCCTTGCTATGCCATCTGCCTGTGCCCCGGGAGTACTGATTCTCCTTGCTCACCCCAGTCCCAGGCTCCCAGGAAGGCTTGCATTGAGTCCCTTCTCTCCTGGGAGGCAACTGGGAACTCTTACCTCATCCTAACCCCGGACACCACAACTTCTGGTCCCCCCTGTTCCCAGGAACCATCTCGTCCCCATGGTCCTCATTCTGTCCTTTCCTTCCCTTCACCCCTGGGCAACCAGTTTATATCTCCACCCCAGTCACTTCCCCGCAGAAGCTATAATGAACCCCCTCTTCCCACTCCAGTTTCCCCCCAACCGAAGTCCCCTAAGTCCCCAGAGTTAAGACAGTCACATACTCCCCACAAATGTCTCTCCCTAGTCAACACTCCCCAGCACACCCCTTCTGGCCAGCCCAAGCCCGCTAAGGCCCACACCTGTCCCCCACCTCCCTCCTGCCTCTCTGGTCCTTCTTGTATGCAGCCATACATCACAACTCCTTCAAATTCCAGCCCCAAAGAACTTCCCCCAGGGACTACCTTACTGACTGTGGTCCCTAGAGCTCTCAAAAGTGTTATCCCCACTTCTTTTCCCCTCTGCCTTCCTTGTGATCCTGTCTCGGCCAATAGTTATGCTCAGAGCAGCCGCCATGGACCCTCCATAGGGCCCCCCTGCAATACCCATATATGCTCTGTGGTTCCCTCCACCCCCCATCCCTGCCCACTGTCTGGCTCCCTCAATCATTCGACAGGCCCCCCTCCCATTGTGCCCCTGTGTGACACCTATAGCACTCCCAGGGGCCCACCCCAACCTCGTTGTCAGCCTGTGATGCCTCCTTGTTCTACCCACATCTATTCTTTTATCCCTTTGAGAACACCCTTTGATCCTCAAAGTTTACCCATTGTCCCCCGAGTCCGGGCCTACCCTGATACTGTCCCCTGTGGCCTCCATATCTACCCTGTGGCCTCTCAAGGCCCTTGCAAAGAGCCTCTGCAGATCCCCTACAGCTGCCCTTTGCCTTCATCCAAGGATTCCAGCTGTAGCACCAATCCCAGCTGTAGTTCGACTATTATTAGCAAATGCCAGAGTAGTGACAGCGAGAGCAGGAGTTCCCACCAAAGCCAAAGCCGGAGCCAAAGCAAGAGTCCCCATGATGGCAGAAGTCAGAGCTGGAGCAAGAGGCATCATCTGAGCAGAAGTCCAAGTCAGAAAAGCAGTCCCTATCCTAGCAGAAGCTGGGGCCGGAGCAGTAATCCTCAACAAAACACAAGTCAGGGCCAGAGTGAGAGTCCCCAACTTAGCATAAATGAGCACCAGGGTGAGAGTCCCCAAATTAGCAGAGGTCAGGGCAAGAGCAAGAGTCTATGATGGCAAAAGTCGGAACCGGAGCAAGAGTCCCCAACATGGCAAAGGTCAAGGCCAGAGCAAGAGTCCCCAACATAGCAGGAGCCAGAGCAAGAGTCCCAGCGAGGCAAAAGTCACAGAGCAAGAGTCCTCACCATAACAAGAAATGAGGGCCAGAGCAAAAGTTCTGACCAGACCAAAAATCTAGGCCAGAGCAAGGCATAGATAGTAACAAGATTGCCAGCTATAGCAAGCATCCCAGCTGCAGCAACCAGGACCGACTTGTGCACTCCTCATCTGAAGTCTTCATTTCTCTTTTACTCTGCCTCCTTGTTCTTGTCCTCTTGTCCCCTGCTACCCCCATAGCAGTCATCCTAGAAGTCCCTGTTTTGGTTCACACCTCAAGATTCTGTGGGCCCTCCTTATCCAACCTTTCTGGGGTCTGGGAACTCTCCCAGCATGACCCTCAAACCTCTGATTCTAAGCATGGTGGTGCTAGTCACTGTGTGACGCTAGGTAAGTTACCCACATCTCTTCATCAAATTGAAATGTTGTTAATTTTTTTTTGTATCTTACTGAGCTATCAGTTGTAGTGCTCACATAAGCTAGTAGACATGAAAGTGCTTTGAAAATAGAACTGTTCAGAAGAAAAGGGCCTTTTGCTTTTAAGTTCAAAGCTTCCCAGAGCCTCCATAGTTTCTCCTAATCTTCTGCAGGCTCTCCTCAAGAGTCCTCTCCTGAGCTCCCATATTCCTAAGTTCCTCTTTCTCCAAGGTCCCCCTTCTTGATGACCCCCGCACAGTACCGTGAGAGTTACATCTTTATCTGACAACCCTGGGATGGGAAGGCCCACTCTCCACTACTTTTCCCTCTCACACTTCTCTGGCAGGCAGGCAGGATGCAAAAGCAGGAGTGGGCACTAGCTGGATCCAAGTTTGCCCCTAGGCTCTGAGGTGGGGGTCAGGTAGTAGGGGGTAGAGTCAAGACTGGGAAAACCAATAAGCCTGTCCTCTCTCTTTTAGGCTGCCACAGAGCCCAAATTCCCTGCTGTTCGACTGGCTTTGCAGAATTTTGACATGACTTACAGTGTGCAGTTTGGAGATCTTTGGCCATCAATCCGTGTCAGTCTCCTCTCAGAGCAGAAGTATGGTGCACTGGTCAATAACTTTGCTGCCTGGGATCATGTAAGTGCTAAGCTGGAGCAGCTGAGTGCCAAGGATTTTGTGAATGAAGCCATCTCCCACTGGGAACTGCAGTCTGAGGGTGGCCAATCTGCAGCCCCATCCCCTGCCTCCTGGGCCTGCAGTCCGAACCTTCGATGCTTCACTTTTGACAGAGGGGATATCAGTCGCTTCCCTCCTGCCAGGTAGGATCTGGAGCCATGACTGGAGCGGTCCTGAGTGTCTGCTGGAAGTAGACATGTTGAGACCCAGCTTCTACCCTCTGTAATAAGGACCATAATATTGCTAATATTTATGGCATGTTTATACAGACTAGGCATTTTTTTGAGGTGCTGTACATATGTTATCTCTTTTTGTTCTGTCAGCAGCCTTATGAAGTAGGTAATATTATTGCTGTTTTACATTTGGAGAAACTGAGGTACAGAGAAGTTAAGATTCTTACTTGCTTTAGGTCCCTCAGATGGTAAGTGGTGTGACTAATATTTAGACCCAGAACCTGCACTTTGAACCCACTCTGCTCTGTGCCTCTGGTAGAAAACAGCCACCTTTTACATGAGCACTCACTGGGCCCTCTCAAGTTGAAATGTGTTATTCACAGCAGTCTTCTCATTTTGCCCTCACAGCCACCCATCAAAGTGAATAGGAAAAGTAACTTCATGGTAGCAAAGAGGTAGTGGGACTTTCCTAGGAAATAGGGCTGGTCTAGGGGCACAAACTTGGTATTAGACTGGGAAAAAGAAAGGAGAAGTTCAGTTTCTTGATTCAATCCTCATGTATATGAAGTTGAATGAGAAAAGACTGCAGAATCAAATGCTGAATTATGCTTTAACAATTAAGGAGAGCTCAATGTTAGTTGTAGGGTATGGGAATTGATTTTTGAAAGACTGATTTATTTATTAAAAAATATTGGCCGGGTGTGGTGGCTCACGCCTTTAATCCTAGCACTTTGTGAGGCTGAGGCGGGCGGATTGCCTGAGCTCAGGAGTTTGAGACCAGCCTGGGCAACATGATGAAACCCTGTCTCTACTAAAATACAAAAAAATTAGCTGGGTGTGGTGGCGTGCGCCTGTAGTCCCAGCTACTTGGGAGGCTGAGGCAGGAGAATTGCTTGAACCCAGGAGGTGGAGGTTGCAGTGAGCTGAGATCGTGCCACCGTACTCCAGTCTGGGCGACAGAGCGAGACTCTGTCTCAAAAAAAAAAAAAAAAAAAATTATCTACCAAATGCTAGGCATTTAAGTGCCTTGATGAACAAGCCCTCATAGAGCTTCCAGTTTAGTGAGGAAGACAGCTATTTAAAAACAATAATTGGCCAGGCACAGTGGTTCACACCTGTAATCCCAGCACTTTGGGAGGCCGAGGCGGGCAGATCATCTGAGGTTAGGAGTTCAAGACCAGCCTGGCCAAAATGGTGAAACCCCATCTCTACTAAAAAATACAAAAAATTAGCTGGGCATGGTGGCACAAGCCTGTAATCCCAGCTACTTGGGAGGCTGAGGCAGGAGAATCACTTGAATCTGGGAGGCAGAGGTTGCAGTGAGCCAAGATTGCGCCACCGCACTCCAGCCTGGGCAACAGAGCGAGACTGTGTCTCAAAAAAAAAAAAAAAAAAAAAAATTAGCCAGGCATGGTGGCGGGCACCTGTAATCCCAGATATTCAGGAGGCTGAGACGGGAGAATCACTTGAACCTGGGAGGTGGAGGTTGCAGCGAGACGAGATCGTGCCACTGCGCTTCAGCCTGGGTAACAAAAGTGAAACTCCGTCAGTCAATCAATCAGTAAATAAATAATCATTCTGGCTCCCGTATAGATGAATGAATAAGTGAATAAGTAAGTGTGGGTCTGAAAAATGAGTTTTTGGTGATTGGAGCTCAAGCCCCAGAGGGCATAGACTTGGTGGCCTAGACTCCCAGTGGGTGTCCTGACCTGGAATTTAACAATAAAGTGGTCTCCTCTTTTCCAGACCTGGCAGCCTGGGTGTCATGGAGTACTACCTGATGGATGCTGCCTCCTTGCTGCCTGTTCTGGCCCTCGGCCTGCAGCCTGGGGACATCGTGCTTGACCTATGTGCAGCTCCTGGGGGAAAGACACTAGCGTTGCTTCAGACTGGCTGTTGCCGTAAGTCAGGGTGCTGGTGTGTTGGGCAGAGAGAGCTCCCCACCTCACCTAGTCCCAGGTACATTTAATATGGTAGGTTCGGCCAGGCGCAGTGGCTCCCGCCTGTAATCCCAGCACTTTGGGAAGCCGAGGGAGGCGGACCACCTGATGTCAGGAGTTCCAGACCAGCCTGGTCAACATGGTGAAACACCATCTCTACTAAAAATACATAAATTAGCTGGGTGTGGTGGTGCACTCCTGTAATACCAGCTACTCAGGAGGCTGAGGCAGGAGAATTGCTTGAACCCGGGAAGTGGAGGTTACAATGAGCTGAGATCCTGCCACTGCACTCCAGCCTTGGCGACAGAGTGAAACCCTGTCTCACACACACACAAAAAAAGAATATGGTAGGTTCTCTAGTCCCAAAGTCAGAGTGGAGGGTAGTACTTACTTTCTAAGCTTGTGTATTTTTTCATTAGTTCCTCTCTTTCTCTGTCAATTGGTCAAGAAAGATTGCTGAGCAAGTTCTCTGAAGTCAGATTGAAGTAGGGCTCTGATCAGTTGATCACATGATACACACTCCTCTTCATCTGTTTACTTTTCCTCTAAGATTAAGCCCATTTCTTTAGCCTACCAACTAAAATGATAAGATCTGCCTGCAGCCACCATTTATATGCTTTATATGTCACTCTTCTAGGCTTTATGTGCTTTAACCTTACTCTGCTACTCTCTGTTGCCTTTGCTCTTGTTAAATTTTCTCCCTGGAATTCCCTCACCCTTGGCTGTCCAAATCCTTTTGACTTTCTTTTTTTTTTTCTTTCTTTTTTTTTCTCTTTTTTTCGAGATGGAGTCTCACTCTGTCACCCAGGTTGGAGTGCAGTGGCACGACCTCGGCTCACTGCAAGCTCCGCCTCCTGGGTTCACGCCATTCTCCTGCCTCAGCCTCCCTACTAGCTAGGACTACAGGCGCCCACCACCACGCCCAGCTAATTTGTTTTTGTACTTTTAGTAGAGACAGGGTTTCACCCTGTTAGCCAGGATGGTCTCAATCTCCTGACCTTGTGATCTGCCCGCCTAGGCCTCCCAAATTGCTGGGATTACAGGCATGAGCCACCGCGCCCGGCCCCTTGTGTCAAGTACTCACTTCAGCCATCCACTGGCTGATATCCTGCCTGCCCAGTCATCCTTTTGACTTTCAAGCCTCAGCTCAAGTGTGCCACCTCCTGGACGTCTGTCCTTACGACCTCTGCTGGCCGGTTCAGAAATGATGCCTGTCTCCTACGCTCCCACAGCATGGGTATCGCCCTTGCAACATTAGCCTTGCCTTAGGGCTTTACTAGTTATATATCTTCTCCCTCTTAAAGATGATGGATTCTGGCCGGGCACGGTGGCTCACGCCTATAATTCCAGCACTTTGGAAGGCTGAGGCGGGTGGATCACCTGAGGTCAGGAGTTCAAGACAAGCCTGGCTAACATGGTAAAACCCCGTTTCTATTAAAAATACAAAAAATTAGCCGGGCCTGGTGGTGGGCTAATCCCAACTACTTGGGAGGCTGAGGCAGGAAAATCGCTTGAACCTGGGAGATGGAGGTTGCAGTGAGCTGAGATCACGCCATTGCACTTCCGCTTGGGCAACAAGAGCAAAACTCTGTCTCAAAAAAAAAAAAAAAAAAAAAAAAAAAGTGGATTCCTTGGGGATAGGCCCACATCTTATTTGTCTCAGTAAAGTAGCCCAGCGAAGGCCTTGTGCACTGTTTTTTTTTTTTTTTTTTTTTTTTGAGAAGAAGTTTCGCTTTTCTACCCAAGCTGGAGTGCAGTGGCACGATCTTAGCTCAATACAACCTTCGCCTTCTGGTTCCAAGCAATTCTCTTGCCTCAGCCTCCTGAGTAGCTGGGATTACAGGCACCCACCACCACACCCGGATAATTTTTGTATTTTTAGTAGAGATGGGGTTTCACCATGTTGGCCAGGCTGGTCTCGAATTCCTGACCTCGCAATCCACCCACCTCGGCCTCCCAAAGTGCTGAGATTACAGGTGTGAACCACCGCGCCCAGTCTTGTGCACTGTTTTTTTTGGTTTGTTTTTTTGTTTTTTTTTTTTTGAGACGGAGTCTTGTTCTGTCACCCAGGCTGGAGTGCAGTGGCGTGATCTCGGCTCACTGCAAACTCCGCCTCCCGGGTTCATGCCATTCTCCTGCCTCAGCCTCCCAGATAGCTGGGACCACGGGCACCCGCCACCATGCCCGGCTAATTTTTTTGTATTTTTAGTAGAGATAGGGTTTCACCGTGTTAGCCAGGATGGTCTTGATCTCCTGACCTCGTGATCCGCCCACCTTGGCCTCCCAAAGTGCTGGGATTACAGGCGTGAGCCACCGCGCCTGGCGCCTTGTGCACTGTTAAGTACTCACTTCAGCCATCCACTGGCCGATATCCTGCCTTAAAATAGATAGTTTTTTTCCTTTGGCCCCTGACAAAGGGCCGTAATTTACACACCTAACCTGGAGCTCAGCCAGGCTTCTCTTGCCGTGTGCCCAAGCCCTTCTGTTGGACCTAGACCCTTCTTTTCCAGGTCTTGTCAGCCAGCTTGCACAGTTTGAGTCAGCATCCAGCCTTATGATAGGCATTGGTTGATTCAGAGAGATATCACATTCGGTCATAGCCTTCTGGAAGTCCAGAGGGAGAGAAGAAAAGGTGGGGTCATGGGCTTAATGAATCCAATGCAAGAGAGCCCAGCCTGTGTGCTGGACAATTCTTATCTGACTGAATGCTGTGGGAATCCATTAGAAGGGAGATGAGTAAGGGTAGGGTTACTTGGAGGAGGAGGAACTTGAACTAGGAGGAGGAAGAAGGGCAAAGAAGAAGTAATTGAGAGTTGTTCTTCTAAGGCATGCTTAACTATCAGCACCTCACCTTCATCCCAGCTCCTCATCAAGCGACAACTCTTGATCCGAGGAAAACGGGATCACAGAATTTGTATAAGAAGGGAAATTAGTGTTTACTTAGTCTAGCCCTCATATTTTATGGAGGGAGAAATTGAGTTCTGTGGAGATTAAATAAATAATACAAGAATTGGAGGTAGAGCCAGAACTGGAACCCATCTTTCTTTTTCTCAGTTCATATCCTTCTGCAAATTCCTCTAGAGCAGAGAATACAATTTTTACTTCTTTGAGTGCCCTCAAAAATGGAGACATTGGCCGGGGGGCGGTGACTCACGCCTGTAATCCCAGCACAAGCTAGGAGGCTGAGGCAGGTGGAATACTTGAGTCCAGGAGTTCGAGACTAGCCTGGGCAACATAGACCTCATCTTCATTAAAATAAAAAAAAAGGAGACATTTATTTATGGGATTACTAAGCTGGTTCATAGTAGTGACCACTATTAGATAAGGTGGACACTTGCATCTCGCATTCTTTACCATTCCCACCCTACCTTGTTGTTCTTTGACTCAGAGGCCAGGTATCAAGTGTCATTTATCATCAAGCTTGCAATATTTTTCTCATAGTAGCACTAAGAGCAAAGTGAGATATTTCTTGAACTCATGTCTACCAATAAAGAGAAAATGAAAGGTAGATGGTAAATCAGAATTAGGTTTGGTTGCATTTGATAGAAAACCTAACTAATTGGCTTAAAGAGGAAACATTAATTTATCTCTTACATAAGAGAAGCTGAGATATAGGCACTCCAGGTATGGAGGCTCCACAATTATCAGGGACTTAAGCTCCCTTTTTCCTTTTGCAACGTATTTTGTTGCTAGTGTCAGCCTTAGCCTCCCTCCCTTTAAGAGGGAGAAGATATGTAACTAGTAAAGCTCTAAGGCAAGGCCTCATGGTCCAGAATGACTGCTGGAAGTCCAGCCATCACATCCATATTTGAGTCAAGAGGAAAGGATTGGGCAAAAGAGACTCATTTCATCTCCCAATTATGTCAGCCTTTTAAAAATATCTTCCCAGAATTCCTATCCAATACTTATGCCTACAACTATGACCAAAAGTTAGTCATATAGTCATACTTAGTTGTAAAAGAAAGGCTTAGCCGGGTGTGGTGGCTCACACCTGTAATCCCAGCACTTTGGGAGGCCGACGCAGGCAGATCACCTGAGGTCGGGAGTTCAAGACCAGCCTGACCAACATGGAGAAACCCCGTCTCTACTAAAAATACAAAATTTGCCGGCGTGGTGGCGCATGCCTGTAATCCCAGCTACTCGGGAGGCTGAGGCAGGAGAATCGCTTGAACCCGGGAGGCGGAGGTTATGGTAAGCCGAGATCGCGCCATTGCACTCTAGCCTGGGCAACAAGAGCGAAACTAAAGAAAGGTTGAGAAATGTAGTCTTTTGGGGCAATTTTCCCCTTCCAAAAAATTGGGGTTCTATTAATAAGGAGGAAGAGGAGAATGATTTTGGCTAAATAAACTGTAGTATCTACCAAAGATGAAGAGAGCCATAGGTTTCCAGAATAGTGGGAGAGCATATTTTTTTAGAAATAAATATTCTTGGCTGGGCATGGTGGCCCACACCCATCATCCCAGCACTTTGGGAGGCTGAGGTGGGAGAATTGCTTGAGGCCAGGAATTCAAGACCTACCTGGGCAACATAGTGAGACCCAGTCTCTTTTTTTTTTTTTTTTTTTTTTTGAGATGGAGCCTTGCTCTGTCGCCCAGGCTGGAATGCAGTGGCGCCATCTCGGCTCACTGCAAGCTCTGCCTCCCGGGTTCACGCCTTTCCCCTGCCTCAGCCTCCCGAGTAGCTGGGACTACAGGTACCCACCCCCATGCCCGGCTAATTTTTTGTATTTTTAGTAGAGACGGGGTTTCACCATGTTAGCCAGGATGGTCTCGATCTCCTGACCTTGTGATCCGCCTGCCTTGTCCTCCCAAAGTGCTGGGATTACAGGTGTGAGCCACCGTGCCTGGCCTTCCAGTCTCTTTTTAAAAAATTATTTAAATATATTTTTATTTTTGTAGAAATGAGGTATCGCTATGTTGCCCAGGCTGGTCTTGAACTCCTGGGCTGAAGCAATCCACCTACTTTGGCGTCCTCCCAAAGTGCTGGGATGAGAGGCGTGAGCCACTATGCCCAGACTCAGAGACCCTGTCTTTAAAAAAAAAAAAAAAGAATGTGGCTGGGTGCAGTGGCTCACACCTGTAATCCTAGCACTTTGGGAGGCCAAGGCAGGCGGGATCACCTGAGGTCAGGAGTTCAAGACCAGCCTGGCCAACATGGTGAAATGCTGTCTCTACTAAAAATGCAAAAATTAGCCGGGTATAGTGGTGCACACCCATAGTCCCAGCTACTCAGGAGGCTAAGGCATGATAATCACTTGAACCCAGGAGGTGGAGGTTGCAGTGAGCTGAGAGTGTGCCACTGAACTCCAGCCTGGGCGACAGAATGAGACTCTGTCTTAAAAAAAAAACAAAAGGAAAGAGAGGGAGAGAAAGAAAAGGAGAGAAAGGAAAGGGAGGAAAGGGGAGAGGGAAAGGAGAGAAGAAAGGCGAAAGTAATGGGGAAAGGAAAAGGGGAAAGGGGAAAGAAAGGGGAGAAAGGGGAGAGAGGACAGGAAAGGAGAAAGGAAAGGAGTCTTACTTGGTCTGCTTTATTCATTGACTTAAATAACTTTGATACTTTCTGGCCCATTTAGGTGTTTGCCATTGTACCCCCACTCAGAATGACTGATGCTGTGCCATGCACATAATAAATGTTCCTGATGCTGGGGTTTGCATTGGCTGGGACTACCTGAGAATTGGTCTGACTCCATCAGCGCCATTGCTGGTGGAATGTTTCATTGGGTCATGGCCTCTGAAGTATCTTTATTTCCATAGGCAATCTTGCTGCCAATGATCTCTCCCCGTCCCGAATAGCCAGACTACAGAAGATCCTTCACAGCTATGTGCCTGAAGAGATCAGGGATGGAAATCAAGTTCGAGTTACCTCATGGGATGGCAGGAAATGGGGAGAACTGGAGGGGGACACCTATGACCGGGTGAGTGATTCTTGATTTAGGACATGCATCCAGCTTAATGCGGCCTCCCCATCCTGGTTCTAGGGCCTGAGGGGTTAGGATCCAGCCCCTATGTTTGAGCATGTAGAGCTGTTTCTGGACTGGCCAGTTCTACATTGGTGATTTGACCAAAAGAAAAATCAGCTTAGATGACTGGTTATTATCTCTATTAAAGATAGTTGGCAGCAAAAAAGAATTTGAAACTATTTGAGTAGGGGAAAAATTTACTAGGCTTACTTTATTTCTCAAGTCACTTGGTTGCTCAGAAAGCCTCATGAAGGTAAGTAAGAATAAGCTCATTTATTTATTTTTGAATGTTAGTACAGCACATGGTACAAAATTCAGAAGGCACAAAAGAGTATCCAATGAAAAGTGAGTTTTTCTCATCTGGCCTGTAGCCCCCTACTTCCCCACCCTATAGATAACGATTGTTTCTTTTTTTTTTTTGAGACGGAGTTTCGCTTTTGTTGCCCAGGCTGGAGTGCAATGGCGCGATCTCTGCTCACTGCAGCCTCCGCCTCCTGGGTTCAAGCAATTCTCTGCCTCAGCCTCCCGAGTAGCTGGGATTACAAGCGCCCACCACCACGCCCGGCTAATTTTTGTATTTTTTTTAGTAGAGACGGGGCTTCACCATCTTGGCCAGGCTGGTCTTGACCTCCTGACCTCGTGATCCACCCGCCTCGGCCTCCCAAAGTGCTAGGATTACAGGCGTGAGCCACTGCGCCCAGCCGGTAGTATATTATATTATACTCACTATTCTGAACTTTGTATTTTTTTATTTAATAATGTGTCCTGGGGTTAAATCCTTTTTTAATTTTGTTGACATTGTGGAAGTATAGTTGTTGAATAACAGTTTACATCCATTTAAGATTTTGATAGCGATTGCTAAATTTCTCTGTGGAGGTTAAACCAGTTTCACTCCTACTGGTAATGAATGAGTACTGATTTCCCACATGCTGCCAATATTGGTGCTATCAAACTTAATTTTTTTGCCAAATGGATAGTATCTAATTTACAATCTCTTATTAATCATGTTGAAAATCTCCATATTAATTTTTTTAAAGTTTTTTTTTTTTGAGTGGCAGGTTTTCACTTTGTCACCCAGGCTGGAGTACAGTGGTGTGAACACGGCTCACTGCAGCCTCAACCTCCTGGGCTCAAGGGGTCCTCCTGCCTCAGTTTCCCGAGTAGCTGGGACTAGAGTGTGCCACCATGCCCAGCAAATGATTTTTTGTAGAGACGGGGTCTCACTATGTTGCCCAGGCTGGCCTCGAACTCCTGGGCTTGAGCAGTCCTCCCACCTTGTCCTCCCAAAGTGCTGGGATTATAGGTGTGAGCCACTGTGCTGGGCCAGTCTCTTCATGTTTTTAAGTTATTTATTTTATTTTAAATGGCATACTCTAAAAATATTTGTTTAGAACACATATTTCTAAAAATATATAAAATATATAGCTGTTGTCTCTGTGTTGTCACCTGATTTACCTAATCTGTCTAGTTCTCACCATTCTGCCTCAACCACTCTAAGAAACTGAAAGAAAGACCAAGGCTTATGGAATCTTAGATAGGCTTGAGACTTGCTTTCTGCCTGTGTAGGAATCCCCTACTCATTTTTTTCTTTTTTTTTTTTGAGACAGTTTTGCTCTTGTTGCCCAGGCTGGAGTGCAGTGGCGCAATCTTGGCTCACTGCAGCCTCCGCCTCCTGGGTTCAAGCCTGGGTTCAAAGTTCGATTCTCTTGCCTCAGCCTCCCAGGCAGCTGGGATTACAGGTGTGTGCCACCACGCCTGACTAATTTTGTATTTTTTTAGTAGAGACGGGGTTTCACCATGTTGGTCAGACTGGTCTCGAACACCTGACCTCAAGTGATCCATTAGCCTCAGCCTCCCAAAGTGCTGGGATTATAGGCGTGAGCCACTGCGCCCGGCCTATTCATTTTTCTTGATATGAGAGCAGTGGAACATGATGGAGAGAGCATGACCTCTCCTGTCAGCCTAACCAGTTTCTACATTACAGGGGTGCTACTTACTAACCTTAGGCAAACTGTTGATCTTGCTGAACTTCAACCTCTTCGTTTGTGAAACAGGGTAATCCTACCACTTAGGATTATTGTGAGGATTCAGTGAGAGTATCCAGGGAAAGCACTTAGTATAGTACCTGGCGGTGAAGATTAGGCAAGCAGGACCCATTATCATTATTCAGCCTATGCTTAAACACATCCGTTGATGGGTGCACACTGAGATTCTGTTGTTGAACACTTACAATGTTAGGAAGTTCTGCCTCTTACTGCAATCTGTAGATAGCATGGTATATGGGTTAGGGCAAGGATTCTGGAGTCAGACTGCTTGGATTAGTCCTGGTTCCATTACTTATCAGCCAGAGAAGTTTCGGTGAGTTACTTAACTTTCAGTTAAGCTTCAGCTTCTTCATCTGTAAAATGAGGATAATAGTATAGTGCCTATCCCGTAGGTGAAAATTAAATAAGAATGCATTTGGCACAATGTCTGGAATATAGAAAACATTCAGTAGTAGTATAATCATCACAATCCTTACCATTATTATTATTATTTCCATTCATTGATCCTAGCTACTTATTTTAGAACAATATAGAATGAGTGACCTGCTATTTCACTTGACAGCTTTAATGTTTGAAGATGTCTTTGTTAACTTGTTTGTTGAAAAACTAGTTGTGGCCGGGCACGGTGGCTAACGACTGTAATCCCAGCACTTTGGGAG
The DNA here is from genome assembly GCF_000001405.40 of Homo sapiens. Lineage (NCBI taxonomy): Eukaryota > Metazoa > Chordata > Mammalia > Primates > Hominidae > Homo > Homo sapiens. The sequence continues at coordinate 46,355,778 of NC_000001.11, forward strand.
GCCAAGGTGGGTGGATCACCTGAGGTCAGGAGTTTGAGACCAGCCTGGCCAACGTGGTGAAACCCCGTCTCTACTAAAAATACAAAATTAGCCGGGTGTGGTGGCAGGCACCTGTAATCCCAGCTACTTGGGAGGCTGAGGCAGGAGAATTGCTTGAACCCGGGAGGCAGAGGTTGCAGTGAGCTGAGATCGCGCCATTGCATTCCAGCCTGGGGAACAAGAGTGAGACTTTGTCTCAAAAAAAAAAAAAAACTAGTTGTGTACAATATACTCTGTGGTAGGCAAGTGTTAAGCACTTTTATTTATTTATTTGAGACAAGGTCTTGCTCTGTTGCCCAGGCTGGAATGCAGTGGCGCAATCATGGCTCACTGCAGTCTTGACTTTCTGGGCTTAAGTGATCCTCCTACCTCAGCCTCCCAAGTAGTTGAGACTACAGGCATGTGCACCATGCCTGGCTAATTTTTTAACTTTTTGTAGAGATGAGGTCTCACTATGTTGTCCAAGCTGGTCTCGAATTCCTGAGCTCAAGTGATCCTCCTGCCTCAGCCCCCCAAAGCATTAGGATTACAGGTGTGAGCCACCGTGCCCAGCCGTGTTAAGCACTTTAGATGCAAAGAAGAATGCTACTTCAAGGCTGGGCGCGGTGGCTCACGCCTGTATTCCCAGCACTTTGGGAGGCCAAGGCGGGCGGATCACGAGGTCAGGAGATGGAGACCATCCTGGCTAACACGGTGAAACCCCGTCTCTACTAAAAATACAAAAAATTAGCCGGGTGAGATGGCGGGCGCCTGGAATCCCAGCTACTCGGGAGGCTGAGGCAGGAGAATGGCGTAAACCCTGTGGGGCAGAGCCTGCAGTGAGCCGAGATCGCGCCACTGCACTCCAGCCTGGGAGACAGCGAGATTCCGTCTCAAAAAAAAAAAAGAAGAAGAAGAAGAAGAATACTACTTCAGGGCTCTACATACTCTTGGTAACTCCATCCTTCTCCCGCTCCACTTGTCCATCAGCTGGAGAAGGGACAGGACCTCAGAGCTCTGCATGTTCATGGAAGACACTAACCCCCCCATGTCACAACTTTCTTTTTTATGTGAGCTCAAGTTTATTTCAAATAATACAATGTTTATTTGAACATGTTTCTATCTTCCCTTATAATACAATATTATACAAATTGATATTAATACAAATAATATTTGTTAGACACTTGCCCAGGGCTGAGATTCAGTGGGAGCACTATCCTGGCACGACTGGTTATTTATGACTGACATCCATGCCAGTGCCTGATGTGAAGATGCATGTGCCATATCTGATGTTGAGTGGTTTGACTACCCTCCCTAAATGTTTCCTAAGTGTAGTGCAACAGTACAACTTCCTTTTCTTTCTTCTGTGACTGAGTGAGATCAACATATTTTTTTATTTTTGAGACAGGGTTTCACTCCCATCGCCCAGGCTGGAGTGCAATGGCACAATCTCGGCTCACTGCAACCTCTGCTTCCTGGGCTCAAGCAATTCTCCCGCCTCATCCTCCCAAGTAGCTGGGAGTACAGGCATGTGCCAGCATGTCCAGCTAATTTTTTTGGTATTTTTTGTGGAGACGGGGTTTTGTCATATTGCCCAGGCTGGTCTCGAAATCCTGGGCTAAAGCCATCCGCCCGCCTTGGCCTCTCAACATGAACATTTTCCACAGTTAACACTACTGAAACAATATTAGAAATATATTAGAACCAAGATATTCAGATATATTGCCATCGATTTATAGTCCCCTTGAAATTACATAGCTCTGCTGTTTCTCTGCATTAGGGGCTCAGGAGTCCAGCGGTCCTAAGTATACCTTGCAGCCATCTTCCTAAAAGTTCTGACCATGACTGAGGACACTGAGAAGGAGTAAGGAAAGAGTCTGTAGACATTTCCTCCTTTTTGGGTTGGGGAAACTCCTACAGCTTTTTTTTTTAAAGGATTGCAGTTATACCTTTGCTCATCCCTTTATATTTAGGTCATTTCCTTTTAGGTGTATCTCTTATATGCTGCATAGACAGGTTTTGCTTTGTGAGCCAATCTATAAATTTTATTCTTTTCATTGCTGACTTAAGCAATTGATGCCATTGATGATTTTGGTCTCAGCTCTGTCAAATTATTATCATTTTATTTATTTATTTTTTGAGACAGTCTCGCTCTGTTGTCCAAGTTGGAGTACAGTGGTGCCATCTTGGCTCACTGCAACCTCCACCTTCCGGGTTCAAGCAATTCTTGTGCCTCAGCCTCCCAAATAGCTGGGATTACAGGCGCCCGCCACCATGCCTGGCTAATTTTTGTATTTATTTATTTATTTATTTATTTTGAGACGGAGTCTCGCTCTGTCACCCAGGCTGGAGTGCAGTGGCGCAATCTTGGTTCACTGCAACCTCCGCCTCCTGGGTTCAAGCGATTCTCCTGCCTCAGCCTCCTGAGTAGCTGGGATTACAGGTGCCCACCACTGTGCCCGGCTAATTTTTGTATTTTTAGTAGAGACAGGGTTTCGCCATGTTGGCCAGGCTGGTCTCGAACTCCTTACCTCAGGTGATCTGCCCGCCTCGGCCTCCCAAAGTGCTGGGATTATAGGCATGAGCTACTGCTCCTGGCCTAATTTTTTTTTTTTTTTTTTTTTTGAGATGGAGTCTCACTCTGTTGCCAGGCTGGAGTGCAGTGGTACGATCTCGGCTCACTGCAACCTGTGCCTCCTGGATTTAAGCGATTCTTCTGCCTCAGCCTCCCGAGTAGCTGGGACTACAGGTGCGTGCCACCACACCCAGCTAATTTTTGTCTTTTTAGTAGAGATGGGGTTTCACCATGTTGGCCAGGATGGTCTCGATCTCTTGACCTTGTGATCTGCCTGCCTCGGCCTCCCAAAGTGCTGGAATTACAGGTATGAGCCGCTGTGCCTGACACCTGTCAAATTATTTTACTGTGTTTATTTACCATGTTTCTTTCACTGTGGGGTCTCTGTCCTTGCTGTTTTGTTTTTCTTTTAACTTCTTTTGTTATTTAGGAAGGTTTATATTAATATTTTAATTCTACATTGGATAATTCCTATATCAAAACTATTGTTGACAATCAGTTACAGATGGAACTTCGTCTACTCTTTCTCCCCTTCTCACTCCTGCTCTTTCTCCCTTTCTCACTCCAGCAGTTGACTAGTCTCATTGAAAAAACAAATTGGGGCCGGCCAGGCATGATGGCTCATGCCTGTAATCCCAGCACTTTAGGAGGCTGAGGCGGGTAAATCACCTGAGGTCAAGATTTCGAGACCAACCTGGCCAATATGGCAAAACCCCGTCTGTACTAAAAAAATACAAAAATTAGCTGAGCGTGGTATTGTGCGCCTGTAGTCCCAGCTACTTAGGAGGCTGAGGTGGGAGAATCGCTTGAACCCGGGAGGTGGAGGTTGCAGTGAGCCGAGATCGTGCCATTGTGCTCCAGCCTGGGTGACAGAGCCAGACTCCATCCCAAAAACAAACAAACAAATAAACTGGGAATTTAGTTTTACTGGTTGCTGTTTCTGCTGACTTGCTCAAGGAGTCGTGTTTCCTTTTAAGTTTTGTGGTTATTTTTGTGTCCTGTAGTAAGCTTTTTTTTTTCTTTTTCGAGGCGAAGTCTCACTTTGTTGCCAAAGGCTGGAGTGCAGTGGCGCGGTCTTGGCTTACTGCTACCTCCGCCTCCCAGGTTCAAGCAATTCTCCCACCTCAGCCTCCTGAGTAGTAGCTGGGACTACAAGAGCGCTGCCACCACGCCCGGCTAAATTTTTTTTTTTTTTTTTGAGATGGCGTCTTGCTCTGGCGCCCAGGCTGGAGTGCAATGGCGCGATCTTGGCTCACTGCAACCTCTGCCTCCCAAGTTCAAGCGATTCTCCTGCCTTAGCCTCCCGAGTAGCTGGGATTACAGGTGTGTGCCACCATGCCTGGCTAGTTTTTAAATTTTTTGTAGCTGGGACTACAGGTGCATGCCACCACGCCCGGCTAATTAAAAAATTTTTTTTGTGCAGGTGGGGTCTCACTATGTTTTCCAGACTGTAATAACTTTCCTATTGGAGTATAATACAGAAGTGACCAAATCATAAGTGTACTGTTTAAAGAATTATCTTATAGTTAGTCTGGGCAACATAGCAAAATGCTGTCCCTACAAAAATACAAAAATTAGGCCGGGCATGGTGGCTCATGCCTGTAATCCTAGCATTTCAGGAGGCCAAGGCGGGCAGATCATGAGGTCAGGAGATCGAGACCATCCTGGCTAGCACGGTGAAACCCCGGCTCTACTAAAAATACAAAAAATTAGCCGGGCATGGTGGCAGGCGCCTGTAGTCCCAGCTACTCGGGAGGCTGAGGCAGGAGAATGGCGTAAACCCGGGAGGCGGAGCTTGCAGTGAGCCGAGATTGCGCCACTGCACTCCAGCCTGGGCGACAGAGCAAGACTCCATCTCAAAAAAAAAAAAAAAAAAAAAATATATATATATATATATATATATATATGTAAATTAGTCTGGAGTGGTGGTTTGCATCTATGGCCCCAGCTACTCAGGAGGCTGAGGTGGGAGGATTGCTTGATCCCAGGGAGTTTGAGGCTGCAATGACCTATGATCACATCACTGTACTCCAGTCTGGGCAACAGAGCAAGATTTGTCTCTAAAAATTAAAAAAAAAAAAAATTATAGTTACTTGTGTGTTAGTTTTGGGTTTTTGACCAGCCATGAATATTCCCAAATATACTATTTTCCACTCATTATTTCACAATTGTCTACCAAGTTAAAATGAAGAACTTTGTCAGGTACTCTGCAAAGGAGGGATGGGCAGAGGGAATATTTCACAAACTTAGGCCAGGGGCCTAAAACATCTCTGGCCTAAGGAAGAGAAGCCTATAAGGATCTTTAATACTTTACCCTTTAACACTCTGGGTAGGTGCTGGTGGATGTGCCCTGTACCACAGACCGCCACTCCCTTCATGAGGAGGAGAACAACATCTTTAAGCGGTCAAGGAAGAAGGAGCGACAGATATTGCCTGTGCTGCAAGTGCAGCTTCTTGCGTGAGTGACAGATTTTTAAACTCAGGACTTTGTGCCAGAGTGCTCTGGGAGACTGGGGGACTGGAAGCTCTTACCAAGACCATAACCCACACAAGAATCTTATGGCTGGAGATCTGCCTAGAGGAGACAGAAATGGGATCATCTCTGGAACATAAAAACCCTATTTGAATTAGCTGGGTGTGGAGATGCACACCTGTAGTCCCAGCTACTCAGGGGGCTGAGGGAGGAGAATCACTTGAACCTAGGAGGTGGAGGCTGCAGTGAGCTGAGATCGTGCCACTGCACTCCAGCCTGGGTAACAGAGCAAGACTCTGTCTCAAAAAACAAAAACAAAAACAAAAAAGCAACCCTATCTAGTAGGATATATATACTAGAGTGGGCTGCACAGATTGACTCATGCTATTTCATCCTCAGTACCAGTGAGTAGCACATGTTTGAAAAATAGCTGCTAGAGTAAGGACTCATTCTATAGCCAGCATAGCAATTTGGTCCATAAACAAGAGCTCAGGGGGTCATTGTAAGGAGACTTCCTAGTGAAGAGCTCATGGAGTAAGGTTGGGTTGCTATCTGCCTTGAGAGTGACTTTTCAGACAGTGTCATTGTGGAAGGGACTTGAGAGGCAGTCTAACCAGCTACCCATCCTGTAGTAGCCTTCCCTTATCCATGTTTCCAGCTCCTTATGTTGCTCTTCTACTGCTGGGAAGCTCACTAGTAACTGCTTCTGTCTCTTTCTGGTTTCAGGGCTGGACTCCTTGCCACCAAACCAGGAGGCCATGTTGTCTATTCTACCTGCTCACTCTCACACTTACAGAACGAGTATGTGGTGCAAGGTGCCATTGAGCTCCTGGCCAATCAATACAGCATCCAGGTACAGGTGGAAGATCTGACTCACTTCCGAAGGGTTTTCATGGACACATTTTGTTTCTTCTCATCCTGTCAGGTTGGGGAGCTGGTAATACCAAACCTCATGGCCAATTTTGGCCCCATGTACTTCTGCAAAATGCGTAGGCTGACATAGTATCACCCAATCCCTGAAGCAAGAATACAAAGGGTATACTCTGTTGGATGCACCAGAAACTGGAAACTGGGACCAGTGGCAGAGATGCACTCTCGGTCCTGTCTCCATCCTGTTCGTGTCTTTCTGCAGTTTTCGGCAATAAGAAGTAGAAGATTTGCTGTCCTGCTGTCCAATTGTGGAGCATCAGCAGGTTTCCAACTCACTCATTAACCCCTACCCCATCTCCAGGCCTGTACTAAAGTTTGCTGCCCGCTTAGGGGCTTAGAAGGAGAAGCCAGTGAGCAGGCTCACACTAAGTTGTAAACATAGGAGAAGCATTTGGCCAATAAAGTTGTTGAAACTCTATAGACCTGGGGCTGCAGTTGGGGACTTCATGTCAGTGCAAATGCCATTAGTTCCATTTGTACCAGCCAGTTACTGAGCCCCTGTCACCCTTGAAGTGAGTTCCACCTGACCAGTCTTGAGCAGCCAACAGGCTCAATTAAGCCCGCCTGGTTTTTCCATATGGCTCATGATCTAATTTAAGGAACAAGTAACTAAAAATGTTAAGCCAGTGCAAAATAATCTGCTTACCTACTCACATTGGAAAAACCCTCTGAGCTGAATAATTCTGGCCATTCCTGCTGTCAACAATACTGCTGCCCAAATGTGGCTTAGGAGGCTGCTTCTGCCACAAAACCGTCATACTCTTGTGCGTGCCTTGTTCTTTGTTCATTCATCTAGCAGGTATTCCCAGACCTCGTGTATGACAGGTAGCTAGGGAGCTCTTGGAGATGTAGCAGTTGGGATTGTGGGAGATTACTGGGCTTCCTCATCCTTTAGAATGGTAACTCTCCTTTTGCTTTCTGAACACCTAGGAATTTCCTGATGTTTTGTTTTGTTGGATTCCAGACTTTTTGTTGTTTCTAGTCTGCAGCTGAGCTCTGGTGCCTGTTCTTTGGCCCACCCCCTAATCCCTAACTCTTCCCTCAGCATCACAGGGCTTCACTGCACACACTGTGTTCAGGGCAAGATTTCATCATTTACTGACTGCATACTCGATATGTTGTTTTTGTAACTTTAGCCAAAAGAAAGTAACCTTTAGTGGCAGGGATATAAAAAATTGCTCAGGGTCACTTGCAGATATTTTATTTTTAAACTTTTTTTTTTTTTCCTGGAAAACATCCTGTGCAGAAAAGGGTATATAATTTTAGAATACCTGAAGGCTTCTTGGCTTTTCCACTTTCCTTATTCCTCCTCTTCCTGCCACTCTTTTTGTCCCTTCTGTCTTTCCTGCTCATCCTTATTTGGGTATTAGAGGTGTCAGTTGAGGAGGGACTTTAGCTGAGGTTAAGCCTTCTTTTGGGATTTGCATTGTAATTGAGGGCCCTGGAAGATCTCTGAGACTCAAAATCAGGTGAAGCTAGGAAGATGGAGCTTTAAGGAGCATGGCTAGTGCTCTGAGTAGGACCGTAACCGCCTCCGTGCGTGGCATATGGTCCCTGCATGCTGTTCACTCTGTATAGTACTTAGTATTCGCTGAGGCTAAGAGGCCTCAGGTGCCTGGGCTTCTGCCCTTGGACTCCTGGATATCCAGCCTAGTGCTAATTGAATGCTAAGCAGTGGTAATTCAAAATGAGAGGGTCCCCTGCCTCTAGAGTCATCATCTAATTGGGGACAGGCAGACCTAGATAAGAAAAGCAGAGAACTACTTTGGAAAACAGTTTATCTGCTGTAATTGAACATTCAGCTACCCTATAACCCAGTTAATCCAATACTGGGGATAAATCCTAGAGAAACTCATACATGTACACCAGGAGATGTGTACAAGAATATTCATAGCAACCCTATTCACAAAAGCAAAAGCCTAGAAATAACCCAGATGCCCATGAGCAAGAGAGTGGACAAGTAAACTGGAATATTCACATAATAGAACATTATACAATTGTCAAATGAACTATAATGATACCTAACCATATGGATGAATCTGAGCAATAAAATAATTAAGTGAAAAAAGTTTAATCCCAGAAGAGTAAATGTAGCATGATGCCCTTTCTAAATGAAAGGTTTTTTCTTTTCTATGGAGTTATTCTTTACATACAATATAGTTCATAAATTTTAAATATATTGTTTAATAAATTTTGATAATTGTATATAATAGTATAGTCACCATCAAGATGTAGAAAATAGAAAATAGGCTAGGCACAGTGGCTCACGCCTGTAATCTCAACACTTTGGGAGGCCAAGGTGGGAAGATCACTTGATCCCAGGAATTCTAGATCAGCTTGGACAATGTAGTGAGACCTGGTCTTTACCAAAAAAAAAAAAAAAAAAATTAGCTGGGTGCGCTGGCATGTGCCTGTGGTCCCAGCTACTCAGGAGGCTGAGGCAGGAGGATCACTTGAGCACAGGAGTTTGAGGCTGCAGTGAGCAGCCTGGGCAAGAGAGTGAGACTCCGTTTTGTGCCACTGCACTCCAGCCAGGGTGACAGAGTGAGACTCTGTCTCAAAAAAAAAAAAAAAAAAAAAGGCATTGGGATTTATAATGTGCTGTTTAAAGTCTGAAGCTCGGCCAGGTGCGGTGGCTCACGCCTGTAATCCCAAAACTTTGGAAGGCTGAGGCAGGTGGATCACCTGAGGTCAGGAGGAGTTCAAGACCAGCCTGGCCAACGTGGTGAAACCCCATCTCTATAAAAGTACAAAAGGGCATGATGGCAGGTGCCTGTAATCTCAGCTACTCAGTAGGCTGGAGCGGGAGAACTGCTTGAACCTGGGAGGTGGAGGTTTCAGTGAGCCAAGATAGCGCCATTGCACTCCAGCGTGGGCGACAGCAAGAGACTTCATTTCGATAAATAAGTAAATAAATAAATAAAGTCTGAAGCTCCACTGGTCACTCCTTTTATTGATTATTTGCAGCTGGTCTAACCAGTTACGTATGTCTGGCTTGATTACATGGCCAGAGCAACATAAAAGCCCTGCTGGGAACTTCTGATTTGAGCTCTTCCAAAACCAGGATGGATGCCTCACATAGATCATGATGATTCAATCCAAAGGCACTTTGCAGTGCAGTCCACATGTGCATAAGGACCATGGGGAGCTTGTATTTGGGAATTCTGAGATTCCTGATGTTTACCTACCTAGTCTTTCTCTTGCTGCCCTGTATCCTTTGCCTTTAAATAAAAATCTTAAGTGATTATGCTCTGTGAAGCCTGGATAATCCTTTCAAATATTTGGTCTTGGAAAATTTTTGCATATATACATGGAATCATACAATATGTAGTCTTTGGTGTTTGACTTCTTTGACTTAGTGTAATGTTTTTGAGATTCAGTTTGTTGTGAGTATTAATGTTTTGTTCCTTTTTATTGCTGAATTGTATTCCATGGTGCAGACATACCACCATGTTGTTTATCTGTTCACCAGTTGATGGACATTTGAGTTGCTTCCAGTTTGGGGCTATTATTAGTAATGCTGCCAATACCTTTTGGGCATATAATTTTGTGAGTACGTGTTTTCTTTTCTTTTTTTATTTTTTGAGATGGAGTCTCACTCTTTTGCCCAGGCTGGAGTGCAATGGTGCAATCTCAGCTCACTGCAACCCCCGCCTCCCAGGTTCAAGCGATTCTTCTGCTGCAGCTTCCTGAGTAGCTGGGATTACAGGCACCCACCACCATGCCTGGTTAATTTCTTTGTATTTTTAGTAGAAACGGGGTTTCGCCATGTTGGCCAGGCTGGTCTCGAACTCCTGACCTCAGATGATCCACCTACCTCGGCCTCCCAAAGTGCTAGGATTACAGGTGTGAACCACTGTGCCCAGCCCATGTTTTCTTCTGAGTAAATACTTAGGGGTAGAATTGCTAGGTCATATGGTAAATGTATGTTTAACTTTATAAGGTACCACCATACTGTTTTCCAAAGTGGATCTACCATTTTGCACGGCCATCAGCAATGTATGAGAGGTCCATTTGCTCCACATCTTAGTACTAACACTTAGGATTATCAACGTTAAACTTTATTGTAGTGGGCCGGGCAGTGTGGCTTATGTCTGTAATCCCAGTACTTTGGGAGGCCGAGGCGGGCGGATCACTTAAGGTCAGGAGTTCAAGACCAGCCTGGCTAACATGGGAAAACCCCGTCTGTACTAAAAATGCAAAAATTAGCCGGGTGTGGTGGCACATACCTGTGATTCCAGCTACTTGGGAGACTAAGGCATGAGAATCACTTGCACCCAGGAGGTAGAGGTTGCAGTGAGCTGGGATTGCACCACTGTACTCCAGCCTGGGCAACAGAGGGAGACTCTGTCTCAAAAATAAATAATAAATAAAAACTTCATTCTAGTGGATGTATCTTGATACCTCGTTGTGGTCCTAATTTGCATTTCTCTAATGAGTAGTGATGCTATAAAATTAAATACAATTAAGAATTTAAAAACATGTAAAAAGAACATGTATGCAGTAAAACCATGTAAGAAGGAAAGAATGGTTCTCACTATGGAATTCAGTATAATGGTTCTTAGAGGTAGGGGGATAGGATGGGGCTGGAGGGAACATAAAGTTAGATTATTGTTAAGGCTCTAGCTTTTATGTTTGGTGCTTATTGAATTATTAAAAGCAGCTAAGTTAATAAAAAGTTATACATAAAAATTTGTTATTCATGACAAAAGTGATAAAAGTATGTTATAAACAAAGATTATGATTAATTCAATTTTGTACATCTGAGGTCTCCCTAAAAAAAGAGAAGGGGGTTGGCTGGGCATGGTGGCATGGTGGCTCATGCCTGTAATCCCAGTACTTTGGGAGGCCAAGGCAGGTGGATCACCTGAGGTCAGGAGTTCGAGACCAGGCTGGCCAACATGGTGAAACCCCATCTCTACTAAAAATACAAAAAAAAAAAAAAAAAAAAAAAAAGTGGGTAGAGAACCAAGCCCACAGAGAATAATAATGCAAAATATGGCTTAATGTAGGAGGGATCATATTGAGAGACCTGGAAGCTTAGCAGTATTGCCTCAGTCTTGTTCATGAGCTCCTCTTTCCTTGTGATTTGCAACAGTTGAACCACAGCAGAGGGTCAGGTATTGGGGCAGTTATGGGTCAATATACATTGATAGCTTGGATCTATGGTTTTCACCTTTTAGGAGTCACAAATCTGTTTGAGAGACTGGTAAAAGCTTTGGCCGTTCTCAGAAAAATAAAGACAAAAAACACCATAGCATTTTACATATAATTTCAGGGGCTTTGGTACTTCCTAAGGCCTATCTCCCCCAAGTTAAGAACCTTTGGATTAGAAGATCTCAGATTTGAGGGTCTTTAGTGGAAGGCAAGGGGGTCAAGCAGAGACCCCAGTAACAACTCAAATCACCACTCTCACCCCTGCCAATCTGCCCTTCTTCCCATCTGCATTCTTCATCTCCAAACTTAACACCACCCTTTACCCTGCTGCCCATGCCAGAAACTGCAGCTATCCTTGATGCAGTGACAGTAATCACTACTGTATATCGAACGTACCTGAGCCAGGCCCATGTGAAAAAAGCATTGTTTTACTTACATCATTGTTTCTTACTTTCACAGAAACCCTGGGATATGCTCTTTTTTGTTGTTGCCTATTTATTATAAAACTTTGAAAGAGTTATTCGTTAATTTGAACATTTTCATCCATTTTGTGGCTTTTCTTTGCACTATTTTTATGGTGTGTTTTTATTGCAGGGCAGGCAAGCCTCAAAACTGGGGCTTAGCCTGGGAGAAAGCCAGGAAAGAATTCAAGGGCAAGCTAGTGGTGTTAGACAGCAATCTTTTATTGAACAGTACTGCTCCTTGCAGAGTAAGGCTAACTCATAGGCAGCAAATCCAGAGTCAGCTGATATACTCTTTTTAGTCCCATTTTATAGAGAAGGAAACAAGCTTAGATTGCTTAAGTAACTCAAAAAGTTACAATCTGAAATTTCTTTTTTTTTTTTTTTTTTTTTTAAGACAGGGTCTGGCTCTCACCAGGGTGGAGTGCCGTGGTGTGATCTCGGCTCACTGCAACCTCCGCCTCCCAGGCTCAAGTGATCCTCCTGCCTCAGCCTACTGAGTAGCTGGGACTACAGGCACATGCCACCGCGCCTGGCTAATTTCTGTATTTTTAGTAGAGATGGGGTTTCGCCATGTTGCCCAGGCTGGTCTTGAACTCTTGAGCTCAAGTGATCAGCCTGCCTTGGCCTCCCAAAGTGCTAGGATTACAGGCATGAGCCACTGCGCCCAGCCACAATCTGAAATTCCTTTCTTGAAATGTCGCTTATATTTCTCTCCTTCCTAGCATTCCTACCTTAGGTAGGGCCTTATCATTTCTCACTGATCAAAGGCAGTAGCCTCAAAACTCATTTCTATTACTCCAATCAGCCCTAAATTCTTCCATTCTCCCCCATCCTCTCATGCCACCCCTTATCTGTTGTGTGATCGCCGATCACAATAATTCCTCCCATCCTGTCCCAGTACAATGTGACTTTGCTGCTTCTGTCATTAAGAGATGGAGTCTGTTTCCCCACCTCTTGAATCTGGGCTGATCTTATGATTTGTTTTGACCAGTAAAGTCTGGTGGAAGGGATGCTGTGCAACTTCTGCATGTAGGCCTCAAGAAGCCTCGCAACTTCCACGCTCATTTTGGAGCTCTTCTGCGGCTCTGTGAAGAAGCCTGGACCAATCTGCTGGAGACATGTGCTGGAAGCTGTCTTAGACCTCCTAAGCTCAGTTAAACGGTTAGGTGACCCAAACAGCATGAGTGACCCCAGCCAAGACCAACCTAAATCGCTGACCTCCAGAATCATGAACAAATAAAGTAGTGGTTGTTTTAAGCCAGTAAGTTTTGGAAATGGTTAAGTAAATTTAAATAAAATTTTAACATATGTCATTTGTGTTAGTAAGTAACACAAATCTGAGTGTCATTCATCTGCTTATAATTCTTTGTTCTTTAGGCTGGGCATGGTGGTTCATGCCTGTAATCCCGGCACTTTTGGAGGCCAAGGCAGGAGGGTCGCTTGAAGCCAGAAGTTTGAGACCAGCCTGAGCAACATAGGGAGAACCCATTTTTACAGAAAGATCCTTTGTTCTCTCTCCATTGCCAGCAGGATCAAGTCCAGACTTTTGCCCTGATCCCTGGTTGTTGATGCTGTTTTATCTGTGTCTGTCATGCCTTGCTGCTCCCCTTTTGCACAAATTCTTTGTCTATCCATGCATAGCATACCCCAATGCTTCTGGGTCAGGACAAATTGTCTCCTCTGTCTAAATGCCTTTTCCCTTGTGCTTTCTTGCTAGCTCAAATGTCCACCCCTCTGGAAGCTTTCTCTAATCCTTCTAAAGCTGGGTTGATCCTCTTCTGTGCTCCCCAACCTTCTCTATAATACAATGAATATAGCACTTTCCATGGCCACTTTTTCTTCTTTACCCATCTCCAAACTAGGAATTGTTAGGGACAGTAAGCTGGTATTTATTTTTGCATCCCTAACCCCCAAGTACCAACATGCTTAGTACCTATTTGGTAGTTAGTATATATTTGAGTACCTCCTATGTGCTAGGCTTAACTGTAGACGCTAGAGTGGTGAACAGAGCAGAAAAAAGTCCTTGTTCTCATGGGATGTACAATCTAGTGGGCAAGATAGACAAGTAATTACAAGTAAATTACAAGCAATTACAATTAGTTATAAGTAAATTATGAGTGAGCCAAGTACTGAGAGAAATGTAAAGTGCATATACCTGAGGGACCTAACCTCGCCTGGAGGAAGAGATGTTTAAACAGAGCTGAAGATAAAGAGGAGTTAAATTAGTGAGGCAGAGGAGGATGTTGGGAGTGCCCTAGCAGAGGGAACAGTTCGTGTGAATGTGAAGTCAGGAAAGAGGACATTCTAGATTCTGAAAGAGGTCCAGTATCCTGCAGTGTAAGGAGAAAGGAATGGTTGTGAAACACAAGGCTGGAGAAGCAGGCAGAAGCCAACCTACAACAGGGCTTTCTGGGCCACTTGAAGGAATAGGTATTCCATCCTGAGTAACTGGAAGCCATTGTCGGAGTTTTAAGGTGGAAAATGATCTGATCAGATTTCATGGGCCCCCCAGTGGGAATATGATTATCAGAATTTACTGAATGAGGAAGTTAAATAACTGGCTCTACAGAAATTGCTTCTGAAAGTCAGTCCTGTCCTTAAGTTTACTCAGCCTTATCTCTCTGAGTAAATGGGAACTTTTGAGCTCCAAGCTGTTCAGACCATATTTTGAGGTGACACTTTAGGAGGTGTACTGGCTGAAGAGGGTGACTGGGATGGAGAGGAAACTGAAAGTCTCATTCTGGGGAGAACTGGGGGAATTGGGAGTATTTCGCCAGGAGAAAGACAGACTTAGGGAAGAGAGATGTTGTCTCCAACTAGGACTGTTCTGAGGCAGGGGAAGCAGATGTGTTTTGAGTATCCCCAGGGGCAGAGCTGGGACCAGTAGAAGGAAGTTGTAGTGAGCCAGACTGTAGGTTAGCATACGAAACCTTTCAATGAGTGTTTTCTGAATTATCGCTCACAACCATGAATCATTAGTGGTCATGAAGTCAATTTGTGGGTATGATAAGCCTTAGGACTTCTCACAAAGGAGTACTTAGTTACTCCTTCTCTTGGACATGTAGTAGGCTTGCCTTCCCCACTCCCTCTGCAGGTAGGCATAGCCACGTGACTTGCTTTAGCCAATGAAATGTGCACAGAGGTGCTGTCTTTTTTTTTTTTTTTTTTTCCAGATTCATTTCACTTTTGTTATGAACAAACACAATCTCAGATCAGTATAACTAACTTCAGAGTTGATATTAATAGAAATTATTCCAAAATTATTCTTAGGTCACAAATTACTAGTATGCCACATAAAAAGGGAAAAATCCCACCTCATCAAAGAAAAGGTGTCCTGTGTATGTTTCCATGGGAATGAGTTTAAGCATTCTCAAATTTTCTCCGGCTAGTTATCCACCACTTCTCCAATGGATTCATTCAGTCTCTTAGAGAACCATATAGACTAATGATAGCTTCCGGGACACACAGACAGATCAAGTTCATGGTGGACATTGTTATTATAAAAAATACTCAGGTCTTGAGAATTCCTTTGCTGAAGGATCCCAAAATGCTTTATAAAAAGCATTAGTCATGCCTCAAAACTGCCCTTTGAGGTAGCTCAGTATTATTATCCCCATTTTAACAGAAGAAAACTGAGGCATATTAGAGTTAAGTGACTTGCCCAGGGTCACATAGCAAGTCAGTGGCACTGTGGTAGGAGAGGCTCTGTCCTTAACCACCAGCATAACATTGCCACCTTGATTTTTTTTTTTTTTTTTTTGAGACAGAGTCTTGCTTTGTTGCCCAGGCTGGAGTGCAGTGGTCTGATCGTGGCTCACTGACTCCCAGGTTCAAGCAATTATCCTGCCTCAGCCTTTCGAGTAGCTGGGATTACAGGTGCCTGTCACCACGCCTGGCTAATTTTTCTTTTTTACTTTTTTTTTTTTTTTGAGATGGAGTCTTGCTCTGTCGCCCAAGCTGGAGTGCAGTGGTGCGATCTTAGCTCACTGCAAGCTCCACCTCCTGGGTTCACGCCATTCTCCTGCCTCAGCCTCCCGAGTAGCTGGGACTACAGGTGCCTGCCTCCACGCCTGGCTAATTTTTTTGTATTTTTAGTAGAGACGGGGTTTTACCATGTTAGCCAGGATGGTCTTGATCTCCTGACCTCGTGATCCGCCCACCTCGGCCTCCCAAAGTTCTGTGATTATGGGCGTGAGCCACCGTGCTCAGCCTAATTTTTGTATTTTTAGTAGAGACGGGGTTTCACCATGTTGGTCAGGCTTGTCTCAAACTCCTGACTTCGTGATCCCCCCGCCTCGGCCTCCCAACAATCTGGGATTACAGGTGTGAGCCACCGCGCCTGACCAGGGAGCTTTCAATCATGATGAAGGTGAAGGGGGAACAGGCTTGTCACATGGCAAAAGCAGGAGCAAGCAAGTGGGGGTGGAGGTGGGCGGGGGGTGCCACACACTTTGAAATGACCAGATCTCATGTGAACTCAGAGAGCAAGGGTATGCTTATCATTGAGGAGATGGCCCAAACCATTCATGAGGGATCCGCCCCTATGATTCAAACACCTCCCACCAGGTCCCACCTCCAGTAGCGGGGTTTACATCTCAACATGAGATTTGGGTGGGGACAAATATCCAAACTCTATCAGAGTCCTTCTTTCCTTGTCTTGATAATCCCTTCTCTCTGTACTAGTCTCTTTAGCAAACTGGTTGCTGGGCCATACCCTTGGTTTCCTCTCCCAAACATGCCTTTTTACTGTTTTTTTTTTTTTTTGAGATGGAGTCTCGCTCTGTCACCCAGGCTGGAGTGCAGTGGCGCGATCTCGGCTCACTGTAAGTTCCGCCTCCCAGGTTCATGCCATTCTCCTGCCTCAGCCTCCCAAGTTGCTGGGACTACAGGTGCCCACCACCACGCCCGGCTGGTTTTTTTTTGTATTTTTAGTAGAGATGGGGTTTCATTGTGTTAGCCAGGATGGTCTCGCTCTCCTGACCTCGTGATCCACACGTCTTGGCCTCCCAAAATGCTGGGGTTACAGGCGTGAGCCACTGCACCTGGCCGCCTTTTTACTATTTACATGGCCAGGCTGAGTCTTCCAAATCTTTCCACTTTACTTCCCTTTTGATTATAAATTCCATCTTTAAGTCATTTTCCCCTTCTCACAACTTAATATAGGTAGTTAAAAGTAGTCATGCAGCAACCTGAATGCTTTGCTGCTTAGATATTCCTAATTTCTCCCACCAGATGGCCTAACTCACTGCTCTTCAATTCTGCATTCCATAGAGCCCTGAGGCATGGACACAATCTATCAAGTTCTTTGACAGTTTTTTGTTTTGTTTTGTTTTGTTGTTGTTGTTTTGAGACAGAATCTCAATCTGTTGCCAGGCTGGAGTGCAATGACATGATCTCAGTTCAATGCAACCTCTGCCTCCCAGGTTCAAGCAATTCTCCCACCTCAGCCTCCGAAGTAGCTGGGACTTCAGGCACGTGCCACCACGCCCAGTTAATTTTTGTATTTTTAGTAGAGACGGTTTCGCCATGTTGGCCAGGTTGGTCTCGAACTCCTGACCTCAAGTGATCCGCCTGCCTCGGCCTCCCAAAGTGCTGGGATTACAGGTGTGAGCCACTGCATTCAGCCTCTTTGCCCATTTCTAACAAGGATGGCCTTTAGCTTCCATTACCTTGTTCTTCAGGTCCATCTGAGACCTCATTAGAATGGCCTTTACTGTCCATATTTCTATCAGCATTCTGGTCACAACCACTTAAATAATCTCTGAGAAATTCCAGACTTTCCCTAATCTTTTTGTCTTCTGATCCTTCACCAGCACTGCCCTTAATGCTCCAGTCATGTCAATACAGACCATGCTCCTAGCCAACCTGCTCCTCCAAATTCTTCCAGCCTCTGCCCATTATCCAGTTTCAAAGCTGCTTCCGCATTTTCAGGTGTTCATTTTTAGCAACAACCCCACTCCTCAACACCAATCTTGTGTCTTAGTCTGTTTTCTGTTGCTATGAGTGACTACCTGAAGCTGGTTAATTTATAAGGAAAAGAAATTTATTTCTTTCAGTTCTGGTGGCTGGGAAGTCCAAGGTTAAGGGGTCCCACCTAGTGAGGGCCTTCTTGCTGGTGGGGATTGTCTGCAGAGTCCCAAGGTGGTACAGGACATCAAATGGCAAGGGGGCTAGAGCATGAGCCAATCTGGCTTTTATAACACCCACTCTTGTGATAACTTGATAAAAGCTGGAGGCTGCCCTCAGATCAGGCCCAGGAGGCCATCACCAATAATCCATTACCATGATAACCCATGAATCCATTAACCAATTAATCCATGAATGAATTAATCCACTCACGAAGGCAGACTCCTTATGACCTAATCTCCTCTTCAAGGCCCCACCCCTTAATACTGTTACATTGGGGATAAAGTTTCAACATGAGTTTCAGAGGGAACAAACACACAGGACACAGCAAAGAGGAATCTGAAAAAGTGGAAGTGGAAGTAGAGAATAGAATGGTGGTTACCAGAGGTGTGGGGTAAGGCGTTGGGGGATGGGGATGGATGGGGGTGGGGAGATGTTGGTCAAAGGATACAAAATTACCGTTAGAAATAATTTTAAGAGATCTAGCCGGGCGCAGTGGCTCACACCTGTAATCCCAGCACTTTGGAAGGCCGAGGCGGGTGGATTACCTGAGGTCAGGAGTTTGAGATCAGCTTGCGCAACACGGTGAAACCCCATCTCTACTAAAAATACAAAAATAGCTGGGCGTGGTGACACATGCCTGTAATCCCAGCTACTCGGGAGGCTGAGGCAGGAGAATCGCTTGAACCTGGGAGGCGGAGGATGTGGTGAGCCGAGATCGCACCATTGCACTCCAACCTGGGCAACAAGAGTAAATCTCTGTCTCACCAAAAAAAAAAAAAAAAAAAAAAAATAGAGATCTGTTGTGGCCAGGCACGGTGGCTCATGCCTGTAATCCCAGCATTTTGGGAGTCTGAGGCAGGCAGGTCATGAGGTCAGGAGTTCGAGATCAGCCTGGCCAACATGATGAAACCCCATCTCTACCAAAAACATAAAAAATTAGCTGGGCATGGTGGTGAGCTCCTGTAATCCCAGCTACTTAGGAGGCTGAGGCAGGAGAATTGCTTGAATCCAGGAGGCAGAGGTTGTAGTGAGCTGAGAGGGCGCCACTGCACTCCAGCCTGGACAACAGAGGGAGACTCTGTCTCAAAAAAAATTAAAAATAATAAAATAAAATAAAAGGGGATCTATTGTATAACATGGTGACTAGTTAATGACAATATTGTATTCTTGAAAATTACTAACAGAATAGATTTTAAGAGCCGATGGGCTTGGGGCACTTAGTCCCAGCTACTTGGGAGGATGAGGTGGAAGGATTGCTTGAGCCCAGGAGTATATGAGTATATGAGTATAAGCTATAGTGAGTATATGAGTATATGATCATGCCACTATACTCCAGCCTGGGTGACAGCATGAGACCCCGTCTCTGGAAAAAAAAAAAAGAATAGATTTGAAGTGTTCCCACCATACACAAAAAATAAGTATATGAGTAATGCATATGTTATTACCTCAATTTATTCGTATTTCAAAACAATATTTGCACACCATAAAGATATACAATTTTTATTTGTCAGTTAAAAATTAAATTTTTAAAAAGGGTAATAATAGTTTATTTGAACAATCAACATAATTGATAAACCCCTGACTAAACTGACCAAGAAAAGAGAAAACAAATTACCAATATCAAGAATGGGGCCAGGCGTGGTGGCTCATGCCCGTAATCCCAACACTTTGGGTAGCAGAGGTGGGTGGATCACCTGAGGTTGGGAGTTTGAGACCAGCCTGACCAACATGGAGAAACTCATTCTCTACTAAAAATACAAAACTAGCCAGGCATGGTGGTGCATGCTTGTAATCCCAGCTACTCGGGAAGCTGAGGCAGGAGAATTGCTTGAACTCAGGAGGCGGAGGTTGCAATGAACCAAGATCACGCCATTGCACTCCAGCCTGGGCAATAAGAGCAAAACTCGTTCTCAAAAAAAAAAAAAAAGGGCCGAGTGCAATGGCTCACGTCTGTAATCCCAGCATTTGGGGAGGTGGAGGCGAGAGTCTTTTTTGAGCCTAGGAGTTCAAGACCAGCCTGGGCAACATAGTGAGTCCTTGTCTTTACAAAAAATAAAAACAAAATTAGCCAGGCGTGATGGTATGCACCTGTAGTCCCAGCTACTCTGAAGGCTGAGGTGGGAGGATGGCTTGAGCTCGGCAGGCAGAGGTTCTAGTGAGCTGAAATCATGCCACTGCACTCCAGCTTGGGCAACAGAATGAGACTCTGTCTCAAAAAAAAAAAAAAAAAAAAAAGGAAGAATGATATTCACAATAGGTCTGATTTATATTAAAAGAATAGTAGTAAATAGGCCAGTGCGTGGCTGGGCGCGGTGGCTCACGCCTGTAATCCCAGCACTTTGAGAGGCCAAAGCGGGTGGATCACCTGAGGTCGGGAGTTCAAGACCAACCTAACGAACATGGAGAAACCCTGTCTCTACTAAAAATACAAAATTAGCCGGGGGTGGTGGCACATGCCTGTAATCCCAGCTACTCGGGAGGCTGAGGCAGAATTGCTTGAACCCAGGAGGTGGAGGTTGCAGTGAGCCGAGATCGCGCCATTGCACTCCAGCCTGGGCAACAAGAGCGAAACTAAAAAAAAAAAAAAAAAAAAAAAAAAAGAGGCCAGGTGCGGTGGCTCATGCCTGTAATCCTAGCACTTTGGGAGGCCGAGGTGGGTGGACCACCTGAGGTCAGGAGTTTGAGATCAGCCTGGTGAACATGGTGAAACTCCGTCTCTACTAAAAATACAAAAAAATAGACGGGTGTAGTGGTGGGGCACCTGTAATTCCAGCTACTCGGGAGGCTGAGGCAGGGGAATTGCTTGAACCTGGGAGTTGGAGGTTGCATAAGACAAGATCACACCACTGCACTCTAGTCTGGGTGACAGAGAAGGACCCTGCATAAAAAAAAAAAAAGCATAGTAGTAAAGATGTATTATGAATAAGTTTTTGCCAGTGAATTTATAATTTAGATGAAATGGACAAATTACTTGAAAATTTTCACTGACTCAAGATGTAAGATAAAATTTAATAGCACATCCTTAGATAATAGATTAGTCTGTCTCTCTAAAAAAAAATTAAAGGAACCACAACAAGCAAGTTAATAAATTAGATGGCCACCTTTAAATGAAAGGATAGAATAGAAAACACGTGCATCACACATAGTAAAGGTAAGTATTATATTATGAAGCATTTGCTTTAGAGAGCATGTGTGTGTGTGTGTGTGTGTGTGTGTGTGTGTATAGAAACACACTTACTAGGTTTTTTTTTTGAGATGGAGTCTTACTCTGTCACCCAGGCTGGAGTGCAGTGGCACGATCTTGGCTTGCTGCAACCTCCACCTCACAGATTCCAGCAATTCTTCTGCCTCAGCCTCCCGAGTAGCTGGGATTACAGGTGCACACCACCATGCCTGGCTAATTTTTGTATTTTTAGTAGAGAAGGGGTTTCACCATGTTGGCTATACTGATCTCAAACTCCTGATCTCAGGTGATCCACCCACCTCAGCCTCCCAAAGTGTTCGGGTTACAGGTGCGAGCCACTGCACCGGCCTTTTTTTTTTCAAGACAAAGTTTTGCTCTGTTGCCCAGGCTGGAGTGTAGTGGCGTGATCTCAGCTCACTGCAACTTCTGCCTCCCAGGTTCAAGCAATTCTCATGCCTCAGCCTCCAGAGTAGCTGGGATTACAGGTGTGTGCCACCACACCCGAGTAATTTTTGTATTTTTAGTAGAGACGGGGTTTCACCATGTTGGCCAGGCTGGTCTCAAACTCCTGACTTTAAGTGATCCACCCGCCTTGGCCTCCTGAAGTGTTGAGATTACAGGCGTGAGCCACCATGCCCAACCAGAGTTCTTTAAATAATAATAGACTTACCTTAGGATTTGATTTGCCTACAACCTACCAAGAATATATTCTCTGTGAAATATGACATAAATGTGGGATAATGACCCAAGAGTGCTTCTCAAGACGAGAGACGTGCTTTTCTGCATGTCTGATTTTCAAAAACTGGTTTGCCACCCAGGAGATGTTTTCTCCCACATCAACTTGGATAGAAGAGCTTATGGCAGACAAGCTGACTCAACACTCAGACTGATGTCACCAGATCAAAGTGAAAAATATGTAGCTCTCATGATCCAAATAAAAATGTTTTCGTAATAAAATTGCCATTGCTGTGGATCAGTTTTAGTCACACTTTTATTTTATCTAATGATATAGTCCTTGCTATATGTCAGGCACTGTTCTAAGCATTTCCCGAACATTAAGTCATTTAATTCCCACGGCAACCAATGGGGTAGTACAACATCCCCATTTTATAGATGAGGAAATTCAGGTACCGAGTAAAGAAACTAACCCCATAGTTTCAAACAAATTATAGGTGGGAGACAGCATGTATTTCATGTGTATCCAAAGAAGGCATGGGTGAAAACAGGTTGAGGAAAACAGATTTAAGGTGAGGTATGGCTGATGGGTTTCCAAGTTAATGATTGGGAACCTTTAATAACAATTCTACAGTCTAGTTGTAGGTGTCCATGTTACAGAGGTAGCAGGGCTTTTTAAAAATTTTTATTTTTTTAAATAGAGACAGGGTCTCCCTATGTTGCCCAGGCTGGTCTCGAACTCCTGAGCTCAGTAGATCCTCGGCCTCCCAAAGTGCTAGGATTACAGGTGTGAGCTACCATGCCTGGCCATAGCAGAGATTTTTTTTTTTTTTTTTGAGATGGAGTTTCTCTCTGTTCAGGCTGGAGTTCAGTGGTGCAATCTTGGCTCACCACAACCTCTGCCTCCCTGGTTCAAGGGATCCTCCTGCCTCAGCCTCCTGAGTAGCTGGGACTACAGGTGTGTGTCACCACACCCCTTAATTTTTGCATTTTTAGTAGAGACGAGGTTTCATCATGCTGAACAGGCTGGTCTTGAACTCCAGACCTCAAGTGATCCTCCCGCCTTGGCCTCCCAAAATGTTGGGATTACAGGCATGAGCCACTGTGCCTGGCCAAGGGATTTTGAGTCTTGAAGATCCAGGTGTGATTCACAGTTGGGCCCTCCACTGACTGTGTAGCACTGAGCAAGTGACTGGTTGTCTGTAAGGCCTCGGTTACTTATCTGGGCAATGAAGATCAGGAGATGTATCAGTTAGCTATTGCTTTGTAATGAACCAACCTTCAAAGTGGTGGTTTAAACAACCATTTATTATTGTCTGAGTCTATGGTTTGGTGGGTGGTTCCGCTGACCTTAGTTGGCTTGGCAAGACTCACTCATGTATCTGCAGTCAGGTGGCTCTGCTCATCTTGGCTGTCTCGCCTGTGTAAGGGCCTGACCAAGGGCAAATGGGCTGAGCAGGCTTTTCTCCACATGGCTTCTAGTCCTCCAGCAGGCTAGCTTGGGCTTTTTCTTATGGCAGTGGCAGGGTTCCAGGAGAGAGAGACAAAACAGTTCTCTTACAGCCTGGGCTAAGAAGTAGCACAAAATTCCTTCCACTACTTTCCATTGGTTAAAGCAAGTCACAAAGATTTACATGGGTAGGGAAATAGACTCTTCTCCTGGGGAGAGGAGTTGCAAAATCACTTTGCAGAGAGCACAGATACAAGGGGTCCTGGATTATTGGGGTCATTTATGTAATCAACTTAGCAGAGGAGACAAACTCTCCCCAAACTCAGAGGAGGGTGTAGAGGTTGGTAGGGGGCCCAGATATCTGCATTCAAAGTCCTGACAGTGCTTTGTAAATTGTCAGCACCCTAGGCAGTGCTTCTGAGTGTGGAATCCTCCCTCCTATGTGGGGCTGTGAGTTCCTGTCTTAGTCCAGTCATGCAGCTATACCAAAATACTTGAGAAGGGCCAGGTGGGGCGGCTCACACCTGTAATCCCAGCACTTTTGGAGGCAGAGGTGGGCAGATCACAAGGTCAAGAGATCTAGACCATCCTGGCCAACATGGTGAAACCCCGTCTCTACTAAAAATATGAAAATTAGCTGGGCGTGGTGGTGCGTGCCCATAGTCCCAGCTACTTGGGTGGCTGAGACAGGAGAATCGCTTGAACTTGGGAGGCAGAAGTTGCAGTGAGCTGAGATCGCACCACTGCACTCCAGCCTGGGCAACCAAGTGAGACTCTGTCTCAAAACCAACCAACCAACCAACCAAACAACAAACAAAAACAACTTGAGAATGGGTAATTTATAAAAGAGTGGAACATTTATTTCTTACAGTTCTAGAGGCTGGGAGGTCTAAGGTCAAGGCACTGGCAGATTTGGTGTCTGGGGAAGGCTTGCTCATTGCTTTATAGATGGTGTCTTATGGCTGAGTCCTCCCACAGCAGAAGAACAGAAGGGAAAAGGGGCTGTGAACAGCTACCCCATACCTCTTTTATAAGGTCTTTAATCCTATTTATGAGGCCAGGGACCTTTTGACTTAATCACCTCCCCCAAAAGCTCCACCTTCTAATACCATTACCTTGGTGATCAGGTTTCAGCATGAATTTTGAGGGACACATACACTCAAATCATAGCAGTTCCTTAGAGCTGGACTGCATCCTCCCCTTTAGTAGGCCCCTGGGAAAGGCTCACAGAAGAGAAAGGAAATGAAGAAGCAGAGCATTTACTGCTCCCATCCCTGGAACAAAGACAGACTTCACACCCTCTGGAATCTGAGAAGCTCCCTTCCCTTCTTCTCTCCCTTGGACAGCCCTGCCCCCACCTCAGAGGGTGCCAGGGAAGGTATTACCTGTCTTCCCACTCAACAGCTGAAGACACATAAGAATAACTTACCATCACCAGCTGACTGCGGATGCTGACAGGGAAACTTACCAGGGTCTGCTAGAGGGGCTGTGGGCAGGAGTAACTCTTGCATGAATGACCTGACAGCAGATTATGGCTCACAGAATGGTGTGGTGTTACCTTCTGGATAACACAGGTGGAGCCCTGGAAACCCACCCCCATTGGATCTTTGCATCCACCTGCTCTTCTAGTCCATGACCTTAGCTTCCAGCTTGCCTCTCCCAACCCTCCTCCATACTGCCTTCTCAAAATACTGGTTGGATTGCATACATCTCTGCTTAAAATAAAGTGAGCTAATATTTATTGAACACTTACAGTGGATGAGGTGCTGTTCCAAGCTCTTTGCTTGGATTAACTTGCTTAATGTTCACATCAATTGTGTGAGATAGTCACCAGTGTTATCCCCATTTTACAGATAAGGAAACTGAGGCACAAGAGGTTAAAGAGGCTTACTCCAGGTTACACAGTAAGTGGCAGAGTTAGGATTTGAACTCAGGCAGTCTGGTTCCTGAGCTTGGGATTCTCAGCCCATAAAACCCCTCTCTGTGGGCCTCTATTTTTCTAATAATAAGTAATAACAACAGCAATAATAATAATGATTAACATGCATGGATTTTTTACTATACATATGCTAGGCCCTGTTCTGGTTGTGTTACATGCATTAACTCATTTGATTCATATAATAGTACCAGAGTATTTGCTGTGGGGGGATACTATTATTACCATTATTTGACAGGTAAGGAAATGGGGACACAGAGAGTCACACAACAAGGATGGGTTACTAGCTAGTTCTACTCTACAGCCAAGCTCTAAAACACTTGCTCTGAATCATGTGCCATCTTGCTTCCCCCAAAGACTCTCCCCAACACAGTCCAAGGGCCCAGAATCCAAGGCCCTCTGGGTTATGCAGCACGATCTCTGCATTTCCACCAAAGCCTGTCTTGGTCTATGCAATCTTTTTTCTTCCCATTCAGGCCAGATTTTTGGTCTACTATTCGTTTAAGTTTCCCTAGAGCACAGCATATAGTAGCAGGTGTCAGTGGATGTCTGTTGAATTGAATCACTGGATGTCAGAAGGGTTTCTGGATCCTCTCTCACAGGAACAAAGTGGCCACTCACTGTGACTTGAACATTAGAGTCAGTCCAGGACTTGCTGCACTGGCCTCCAAACCCACTCCTAACCCCTAGACCCTTTTTGTAAATTAAGTTATATTTAATATGCGCCCAGGGAGCTTTCTGTTTAGAGAAGCCATCATTTCAGCAAACACAAGTGAATGCTTTGCAACTGGAGTCCCTAAAGTAGCAAATCTTGGCCCTACTCACAACAGGTTACAAACTTGGTGATTAAGCCTCAGGAATGACCAGTGTTTCCCTAGGACTATATATTATTTTCCCTTTGAGAAGGAGAGAGGGTCTGGAAAAATGCTTCTCATTTTGCAAAAGGAAGAATTGAGTTACCCAAGGTCATCCAACAAATGAATGGTGAGTTGAGGGCTAGAATCCTATTCTTTTACTCAGGAAATGGGGTGAGGTGACCTCATAAGAATCACTTCAGATTGCTGTTTCTGTCATCAGCACCTGTCAGCTCCCTTTTTCTAGGGAAACTGAGGTCTAGGACTTGAAACTTGTAAAGGGTTATCAGTGCTGAGTAGGAACAGAGGCACTCAATCCTCACTGAAGACAGAAACGCGAGGATTTGGGACCTTGCTTAACATACTCAAGAGCCTGACTCAAGGCCCTCAGGCTGGGATTCTTCCATTACCAACCAAGTCTTTCCATAGGTGGGCCTTTCACTCCATTCATAATCATTTATGGAGGGCCTACTAAGTGCCAGGCAGTGTTGCTAACCATCTTGCAAAGTAGGCATCATAACCAGCCCCCTTAGAAAAGTAAAGGCACAGATTCAGAGACGTAAAAACAACCAGGATCCGGGACTGCACCTCCACCCGGGAGCCCCTCCCCATGTTTCAGGAGACAGTGTTTCCCCGCACAAAGCACTTACCTGTGCCCCATCATACTTTAAGTAAAAAAGTCGTTGGGACAAATAGGGCCACTATGCAATGAAAAAAGCTACACGTCAACCCAAAGATACACACATTCTAAACTTTTACGACCCATTCCCAGGGGCAGTAATGGTGGTGCTGACGGATAGGGAAGAGCTCTGGCTTCCGGCTTCCCAGTGGAATCCCCATCCACTCAGCCACCTGTGTGACCCACAAAAGTTACTTTTATTTTTTAAATACTTAATTTATAAACATCAGTTCTATGGGACACAAGTTATTTAATGCCATTTGTCTTCAGTTACTTCATCAGTAATATGAGCATAAAAATGCTTCTTTTTTTTTTTTTTTGAGACAGTCTCACTCTGTTGCCCAGGCTGGAGTGCAGTGGCATGATCTCAGCTCACTGCAACCTCCACCTCCCAGGTTTAAGTGATTCTCCTGCCTTAGCCTCCCAAGTAGCTGGGATTACAGGCACAAGCCAAAATGCCCAGCTAATTTTTGCATTTTTTGTAGAGACAGGGTTTCACCATGTTGGTCAGGCTGGTCTCGAACTCCTAACCTCAGGTGATCCACCTACCTCGGCCTCCAAAAGTAATGGAATTACAGGTGTGAGCCACTGCACTGGGCCAAAAATGCTTTTCTCATAAAGTTGTTGGGAGAACAACTGAGATAAAGCACGTAAAGTTCTGTGAGAGAGGCCAGGACAGCAGTAGGGAACCTGTGTGTGTGTGTCTGTATCCGTGTAATTCATCCCCCTCTGAAGC
Organism: Homo sapiens; assembly: GCF_000001405.40. NCBI lineage: Eukaryota > Metazoa > Chordata > Mammalia > Primates > Hominidae > Homo > Homo sapiens. Next base: position 46,383,038 of record NC_000001.11, read on the forward strand.
GGACCAGGTCCCCAGACTCCCCCTGGTCTGGCATTCCTTCTGCTTCTTGGATGTAAAATCCAGAAGTACCCAGGACTGGGACAGGGTGACCCTGGGGAGGCCAGTCTGCAGGAAGTGGCTGAGCCAAAGGACAAATAATGGGTGGATTGGGCCATGAAGAAGAGCCCAGGGTGAGAGACCCGGTGTCCCGGGTTTGGGAAAGAGGAGGGGCAGGGGGTGGACGCCCCAGAGACTCTTCCAGTGTTTGTCCTGGGCTGGCGCACCGGAAGCCCCATGCTGGGGAGAGGTGGGCACCCTGTGGTGCATGACCAGCCTCCTGGTTCTCCAGGAAAGATACTGCTACAGGGTTTGTGGAGGTTAAAGAGGTCTGTGAACCCAATCTGTCACTGCTCCTGATCTTGTTGGCTGGTGTTTTTTTTTTTTTTTTTTTTTTTCCGAGATGGAGTCTCGCTCTGTCGCCCAGGCTGGAGTGCAGTGGTGCAATCTCGGCTCACTGCAAGCTCCGCCTCCCGGGTTCACGCCATTCTCCTGCCTCAGCCTCCCGAGTAGCTGGGACTACAGGCGCCTGCCACCACGCCTGGCTAATTTTTTGTATTTTTAGTAGAGGCGGGGTTTCACTGTGTTAGCCAGGATGGTCTCGATCTCCTGACCTCATGATCCGCCCGCCTCTGCCTCCCAAAGTGCTGGGATTACAGGCGTGAGCCACCGTGCCCGGCCAGGCTGGTGTTATAAATAAAGTTTTGGTGCCACAAAAGAAATAGCACTCAAATATAAAATTTTCTTTTTTTTTCTTCTCAGCAAGGCAATTTACCTCTATAGAAGGGTGTGCCCTCACAGATGGAGCAATGGTGAGTGCACGGCTGGACAAGGGAGGGGAAGGGGTTCTTATTCCTGATGCATGTGGCCTCTGCTGCTGTGTCGTTCACCTATTGGCTAGGGTTAGACTGCACAGGCTAAACTAATTCCGATTGGCTAATTTAACGAGAGTGATGGGGTGAGTGGTTTGGCGGGAAAAATGGTTATGGCAGAGCAGGAGATCGGAATGGGTCAGGGTGGAGAATGAGTCAGGGCAGAGCAGGTAATTGGAATGAGTCAGGGTGGAGTAGGTAATCAAAAAAGGTTGCTTTACAAGGAAGTTAAGTTTAAAAGTAGAAGGCAAAGAATTGAACATACTGACATAGTGATTCTTTGAAGAGAAATTTAGAACTCACATCTAGTAATCCCTCCTCTTGAATTTCCTTGCAGCTCTTTCTCTTCAAACTTCTTTAACATGTCTTGGCTTAGTTGTTCTGCTTGATTTTCCAAAAGAAGAAGCTTCTCTGGATAAGGTGGAGGATAGTTAAGGGAGGTTTTAGTAAGTGCTGTTTTTATGAGCCTCTGCACCAACCCATGGATGGATGTATGACACAGCACCTGATAAGAATAAGTACACCCATTACGGCTGTGAGGGAAGTTAGAATTGAGGCTATTATTCCTTTCCATTTACCAAACCACTTTTTAGCCATGCTGTAAAGGGATCATTTACCCCTGAGTTGTTGGCTAACTATTGGACAGAGCAGTCAGACCTTGCAATGTCTTTGTTACAGATAGACAGACTAAACTTTTCTTAGCTTTAATTTGGTAGGGCTTGATCCAGGAACAATGGCCCATGATTCTGATGATAATGGCACTTGCTTGACTCAGGTGTGATGTGTCCATCCCTTTCCGCTGTATCAAAAGCAGTCTTGGTGGTTAGCAGCACAAAGTAGAGTCCTTCCCAGGCTGGCTTGAGTTTCCCTTCTTTCCACCCTTTGACGAGAACATGATCCCCAGGCTGATGCTGATGTCCTGGCAACTCCAAAGGTGGCCCCTGTGCTAAAAGACCTCTTGTTTTAAGGGAAGAGAAGGTGGAGGATAAACCAAGTGTATAATTCCTAAGAAATTGATCTTTTGGTTAAAATGTGGGGACATCAGCAGTGGACTTCATAGTCCTTGGTGCCTTCTTGCTGAGAAATTTTCTTTAGCACCTATTTTTATTAGTTTTTAGACCAAAGAAAGCCAAATACCATTTTATATTTAACAATGCTTCCTGTATCATTTTTATACCAGATAAACTAAATTTCACCTTTATATTAGTGTGTTATTAATGTTAAATTGAATTTTAATAAAATCTTGTAGACATATTTATCTAATTTTAATGTCTGACCATAAGGTAAGATTTTTATAGATTGTTTTCAATCTTTTATAATTTTTGTTAAAGAGCAGGTTAGTGCTTTAAGAAAAACCTGTTGTGTTTTATTTCAATGTCAAGTTCACAGAAAAACTGGATGATACCCATTTAACTTTAGCCAATGTTTACACACAGAATTTCCTTTATAATTGTTTTCAAAACTTGCTTAAACCTTTAAAACAATTTTTTAACCTTTTAATGTAGATAAAAATCCACATTCTTATGCTTCCTTATAACCTTTTACCAAGGTATAATTTACTTTCCTTACACACCTTGCACATAAACTGTTTCTTCAATAGTTTTACATTCAGGAGGCCTCATTACTTTTAAATTATACAACATTTCTTGCATAAATTCCCTTTTATAACTTTTTTTCCATGACTTTTACAGACAATTCTTCGACATGCCTCAACTTTCTGACTTGTTGCAAACATCCCTTTATTTAAACAGCCAGTTAATTTATTTTAGGACATGAATTTACCATATAACATTCTTTTTACATAAATTCTACCCGCCCCCCCCACATTTTTTTTTTCAGTTGCAAGATTTAATAGAGTGAAAACAGAGCTCCCATACAAAGGGAGGGGACCCAAAGAGGGTAGACATTGCTGACTCGAATGCCTGGGTTTATATCCCAATCATTGTCCCTCCCGCGTGCTCTCAGGCGATAGATTTTTTGCTATTTCTTTACCTCCTGTTTTTGCCTAATTAGCATTTTAGTGAGCTCTCTTTACTACCTGATTGGTCGGGTGTGAGCTAAGTTGCAAACCCCGTGTTTAAAAGTGGATGTGATCACCTTCCCAGCTAGGCTTAGGGATTCTTAGTTGGCCTAGGAAATCCAGCTAGTTCTGTCTCTCAGTAACCCCCTCAACAGGAAAACCCAAGTGCTGTTGGGGAGGTTGGCCGACGACTGCTCTAACTGCTTCCTGCTGAATTGGGGTGAGTAGGGGTCGTGCAGATGAGATTTACTTGGGAGGGGTGCCTTTGATGTCATCAACATTGGAGCGTGGGCTAGCAGGCTGGTCCAGGGGTCCACAGTAGATCTTAGTCATGGGCTGCATCTGGGGCTCCATTTGAAGAACAATTTGTAGTTTTACAGCTTTGATTCTGGAAGAGACAAACTTAACGAGGAGGTTAAAGATACGGGGATTGAAATATATGGCCTGCAGTATAGGGGATTATTTCTTTGGCACACTTTACAGGCCCTGAATATCTGCTTGATAGTTTTAAAAAGGCCTGGTCCAGTAAATAATAATTTGGCCACCTGATGGGTGCTATCAATGCCTAAGTGAAAGGTTTGGCGAAGGGTTTTAAGTAGTTTTCATTGGTTAGCTGCAGGCAAAAGTATTTTTCCTTTGTTGGCTAGCCATCCTGAGGGGGGGAAACTATGTCCTTGTAAGGTTCCCTATTCTATTTCTCCTGTTGAGTACTGGGGCTTGGTTTCCCAGAGGGGATTACCCCATACTAGGGGTCCTTCTATAAGCATTTTTAATGGAGGGTCCTGCCTTGTGGCTCTTTTGGCTTCAATATTCGCTTGGCGGTTCCCTTCTATTTCCCTTTCCTTTCCTTTCTGATGACCCCAGCAGTGTAAGACTGCCACCTCTTTAGGTTTCTGTACAGCCGATAATAATCTCCTGATGGCTTCCTGATGTTTGATAGATGTTCCCTCAGAAGTTAGGTATTCCCTTTCTCTCCATATTGCTGCATGGGCATGGAGGACTAGGTAAGCATACTTAGAGTCTGTATATATGTTTACCCTTTTTTCTTTTTCTAATTTTAGTGCCCGAGTAAGGGCTATTAGTTTTGCCAGCTGAGCGCTAGTTCCTGGAGTGAGGGGATTATTTTCAAGTATTCCATTATCACTGACCACTGCATACCCTGCTTTTCGAAGTCTTTTTTCTACAAAGGAACTTCCATCAATATACAAGTTGAGGTCAGGATCAGTCAAAGGAACCTCTAGAAGGTTTCCTCGAGCGGCATAGGTTTGAGCAATCACCTGTTGACAGTTACGTTCTATCTTTTTTTCAATGTCTGGAAGAAATGTGGCTGGGTTAAGAGTTGCCCAAGTGCACAGTTGCAGCACTGGCCCTTCAAGTAATAGACCCTGGTATTTAAGTAAATGGCTGTCTGACAGCCACAGGTCTCCTTTAGCAGTGAGTATGCTGTTCACATCATGAGATGTCCACACAGTAAGATCTCTTTCCTGTATTATTTTAACTGCTTCAGATACTAAGATTGCTACTGCCACCATTACCCATAAACAATGAGGCCAACCCTTTGCCACTACATCAATTTCCTTACTCAGGTCTGCCACGGGTTGCAAGCTCGTTCCTTGGACCTGTGTAAGGACTCCTAGAGTTATTCCTGTTTTTTTCTGTGACATATAAAGAAAAGTCTTGCCCCGTTGGCAAGCTTAATACTGGGGCTTGGGTTAGGGCCTTCGTTAGGGCCTGGAAAGCCACTTCTGCTTTAGGTGTCCATCTTACTAAATGGGTATTGGCTTTCTGAGTTTCCTTAATTAGCGTATATAATGGCCTGGCTATTTCGCCATACCTGGGAATCCATATTTGGCAGAAGCCTGTTATGCCAAGGAACCCTCTTAGTTGCTTTAGGGTTTTGGGATGAGGATAAGCCAGTATGGGCTGGATACATTCCTTACTGAGGGCCCTGGTGCCTTTGGATAATTTTAGCCCTAAGCATTTAACCTGTTGTGAGCAGAGCTGAGCCTTTTGTTTGGAAACCTTGTAGCCACAGGTGGCGAGGAAATTCAAGAGCGCTTGGGTAGCTTGATGGCACAAGGTTTCTGAATGGGTGGCTAAAAGCAAATCATCCACATACTGAAGGACAAGAGTGTCAAGGTATGAGAACTGGCTCAAGTCTTGGGTTAACGCCTGGCCAAATAGATGGGAGCTATCCCGGAACCCTTGGGGTAAAACAGTCCAGGTGAGTTGAGACGTTGGGTTCGAAGGATCTTCAAAGGCAAACAAGAATTGAGAGTTAGGTTGTACAGAGATGCAGAAAAAGGCATCCTTAAGGTCCAGGACTGTAAACCACTCTGCTTCCTCTGGTATTTGGGAAAGCAGAGTATAAGGGTTAGGTACAGCTGAGTATAGAGGGACAATACCTCATTTATAATCCTGAGATCTTGCACTAGCCTCCACTGCCCGTTGGGTTTCTGTACTCCTAAAATTGGAGTACTACAGGGGCTATTGCATGGTTTTACTAGGCCTTGGGCTTTTAGGTCCTTAACAATCTTTTGGAGTCCTTGTTGGGCCTCAGGTCTAAGGGGATACTGCCTTTGGTAGGGAAAGGAGGCGGAATCCTTTAATTTAACTTGAATGGGACGGGCATTCTTTGCTCATCCATATCGTCCTTCTGTTGCCCAGACTTCAGGATTAATTTCTTCCTTAAGCAGGGGACAACAAACGGGTGTTCCTTTTCCTATGTTCAGGTGTATAATGGCCCCTGCTTTTGCTAGAATATCTCTTCCTAACAAGGATATGGGGCTTTCAGGCATAATTAGAAAAGCATGTGAAAAGAGTAAAGTTCCCCAGTCACAACTTAGTGGCTGGGAGAAGTATCTAGTGACTGGCTGTCCTAGGACCCCTTGGATAGTGATAGATCTGGAGGACAGTTGTCCGGGACAGGAGAGTAAGACTGAGAAGGCCACGCCAGTGTCCAGGAGACAGTTAACCTCCTGGCCCTTAATGGTCAAGCATACCTGGGGCTCTGTGAGGGTGATGGCATGGGTTGGTACTTGCCCCGGGCACCCTCAGTCCTGCTGCTGGATCATCTGGTTAGTGGCTTCTGACTCAGAGGGCCTTCGTCCCCTGGGGCAGTGGGCCTTCCAGTGATTCCCTTGACATAAGGGGCATGGACGAAGGGGTGGCTTATTTCTACTTGGACAATCTTTTTTTTTTTTTTTTTTGAGATGGAGTCTTGCTCTGTCGCCCAGGCTGGATGGAGTGCAGTGGCACAATCTCAGCTCACTGCAAGCCCTGCCTCCCAGGTTCACGCCATTCTCCTGCCTCAGCCTCCCAAGTAGCTGGGACTACAGGTGCCTGCCACCATGCCCAGCTAATTTTTATATTTTTAGTAGAGATGGGGTTTCACTGTGTTAGCTAGGATGGTCTCGATCTCCTGACCTTGTGATCCATCTGCCTTGGCCTCCCAAAGTGCTGGGATTACAGGTGTGAGCCACCTCACCCGGCCTACTTTGACAATCTTTTTAAAAGTGTCCTTGTAGACTGCACTGGAAGCAAGCCCTATTAGGCATTCGATTTGCCCAGTTTTTCCCTTTTCCAGAGCCTCCAAAGTCCACTTGCCTGAGGGCCATGACTAAAGTGGTGGCCTCTTTTTTATCCTGTTTGTCCCATTCCACCTGCTCCTCCTGATCTTTATTATAAAAAACCAAGGTTTCCAAGTTCAATAGGGTTTCTAAGTTTTGCTCCAGGCCTAAGGCGGACTTTTGAAGTTTTTTTCTAATGTCTGCAGCTGACTGAGTGATAAACTTATTCTTCAAGATTAGTTGGCCTTCAATAGAGTTAGGTGACAGAGAGGTATGCTTTCTCAATGCCTCCCTTAGTCTCTCCAGAAAGGCAGTAGGATTTTCTTCCTTTCCCTGTATTATAGTGGACATCATTGAATAATTCATAGGTTTCTTCCTAGTTTTCCTTAGTCCTTCTAGCACGCAAGTTAGCAAATGTCTGCTGCACCAATCTCCATGTTCTGATTCTGTGTCCCAGTGAGGGTCTACACTGGGAACTGCCTGCTGGCCTGTGGGGAATCGTTCTTTCCTCTGTTGTCATCTTGTCATTGACCTGACTGAGATACCAGAGATCACCAAACTCTCGGGCTGCAGTTATGGCAGCACTTCTCTCATTTGGGTTTAGTGTCTGATTTAGCAATAACATTATATCTTTCCATGTCAGATCAAAGGATTGTCCTAACCCTTGGAAAACATCAATATAGCCATCAGGGTTATCTGAGAATTTACCTAGGCCTATTTTAATTTGCTTTAAGTCTGAGAGAGAAAAAGGTACATGCACTCTGGCTGGGCCGAATTCTCCTCCTCCCATTGCTTGGAGAGGGGCATAATTGGGGAATATTAGCACTCTTTGGTTCATTGTTTACCCCTTTGTCTATCTCCTTTTGGACGTTTGGGTTGAAGGGGGGTCCTCATTAGTTGGGGAAGGAGTCGGGGGGACACCAGGGTAGGGAGGTAGACTCTAGGGCTTCCTGTAGGACATAAATCACACTTTTTACATAATTGCGAGTTGTCTCTTAATGAAAAGAAAGTTTGTACATATGGCACTTCATTCCATTTGCCTTCTTCTCTACAAAAGAGGTCTCACTGTAAGATGGTGTTATAATTTATATTTCCCTCAGGAGGCCAGGTTTCTCCCCCTTGAAGAGGATATCATGGCCAGGTGGTACTGCAGAAGAATATAAGTCATTTCTTTCTTAGCGTCTGAGGGTCAAATTGGTCCCAAATCTCCAGAATACATCTTAGGGGCGTTTTTGCCTTGTGGGGAACGTTTCCCATTGCTTTGGAGGTCCCTTCGTGGTCGCCAAATGTTACTGGGGGGTCCTTGCTCCCAGAGCTCCCAAGATGGTGGCGGGCCGCTTCCAAGATGGTGGCAAGCCTGGTGTTCTCTGACCTGGGGTTCTTGGCCTCACGAATTCCAAGGAATGGAATCTTGGGCCATGCGGTGAGTTTTATAGCTCTATTAGAAGCCGTGGGTCATGGAAGAGAACTGTGGAACCCAGTGACTAGTGTTCAGCTTGATTAGGATGAACCTGGGCACTTAGCCGTGCAGGAACAATGGCAAACCTTTAGCCTGATTGGGAGCGGCAATGGGCGCCTCGCTGGATCAGGAGCACAGTAGACACCCTGCCGGATCCAGAGGGATGGAAGTCGGCGGCGGGTCTGCGATGGCAGCAAACAGCAGTGGATGTCGAGCGAAAGCTCAGCTCCAGCCATAGCAAACACGGACCAGAAGAGAGTGCAGTTGCAAGATTTAATAGAGTGAAAACAGAGCTCCCATACAAAGGGAGGGGACCCAAAGAGGGTAGCCATTTTTTCACTTTTTTTTTTTAACTTTTGTTGAAAACATTTTAAGTTTGGAATTTCAACTATTCTTTGCTATTAATAAGACCTCATTCAGTCCATATTAACTTAGAATTGGTATAGATGGGTCCTTCCTGATTCTGTAAGTGCTTTAAGGCTTGGCTGAGTGCAAACAGCTCTCACATTTGAACAGGCCAATTATTAGGCAATTTTCCTAACTCTGCTTCTACAAGAGTTTCCTTATCACTTACTGAATACCCATTGTGTCTTTTTCCCTCAATTACCCAGGAGGAACCATCTATCATCCTGTCCTGAAGGGAGTTCTTCCTAGGTCTGGTCGGACCTTTGTATGGTAATTAATTAAGATTTAGATCCCATGTTAGGAAACCTGCTGGGTTAAGGGAATTTTCAGTGGTTAATATTAAATCATTTTTTTCTAACAGAACAGCCTCATACTTTAAGGTTCTTGAGTCAGTAAGCTACCTTTTTTTTTTTTTGACTTAGGATAGTTCTGACCTGATGAGGTGTGCTCACAATGAGGTTTCCTCTAAAAGTTGTTTTTCTACTTTCTTCTGTTAGCAAAGCAGTTGCTGCTACAGATTGAATGCATTTGGGCCATCTGCCGGTTACTGGGTTAAGGAGTTTTGATTAGGGAGGTTACGGGTTGTCAGTGGCCTCAGTGCTTTTGGGCTACATCCTTGTTTACACTGACAACAAGGTGGTATTGGAGTGTTATAGGGTCATGGAGAAGACCTTCAATTATCAATTACAGGTTTTGAATTTTATCCTGGCTTTTAAAGGAATAGGGTACACTGTTTTCTCTTTACTACTTCTATCTCTCTTTCTCTCTCTCTCTCTTTGACTCTCTCTCTCTTTCCCTGTCTCTGACTCCCTCTCTCTCTCTCTTTTTCTTTTGAGACAGAGTCTAGCTCTATCACCCAGGCTGGAGTGCAGTGGCGCGATCTCGGCTCACTGCAAGCTCCGCCTCCCAGGTTCACGCCATTCTCCTGCCTCAGCCTCCTGAGTAGCTGGGACTACAGGCGCCCGCCACCACGCCTGGCTAATTTTTTTGTATTTTTAGTAGAGATGGGGTTTCACGGTGTTAGCCAGGATGGTCTTGATCTCCTGACCTCGTGATCCACCGGCCTTGGCCTCCCAAAGTGCTGGGATTACAGGCATGAGCCACCACGCCTGGCTTCTGTCTTTCTGTCTCTTTCTCTCTCTGCCTCTCTTTCTCTCTCTTTGCCTCTCTCTTTCTCTCCAACTTCCTCTCCCAGTTTCTCTTTCCTCTCTGCTGGTCTTTCCCTGCCTCTGCCAGCTGCTTATGCTGCTGTTCTCCCCTCTCCTTCCCCTTCCCCTAGGGAAGGGACCGTCAGGAGTGCAGCTACTTTTTCTTCCCCGAGAAGAAAGGAAAGGGGAATTCTGAATATTTTTCTTACTACCGGAGGTTTGTGTGAGGTTTTTGATCCCCTGAAATTTGTGGAAGGCTCAACACCTCAAACCAGGGGGTATCTTGCCTTGCCTGACCTGGAAGGCTCAACCCCTCAAACCAGGGGGTGTTTTGCCTTGCTGCCCTGGAAGGCTCAATCCCTCAAACTAGGAGGTGTCTTGCCTTGCTTCCCTGGAAGGTTGACCTGTTTCCTCCCTTTCCCCCTCTGAAGGTCCTTTGCACACTTCCCACTCGTGTTGTCCTCTCTGGCTGCTCCCCCAAGGGAGAATTAGGCCCCCCTCAGCATTGGCATTCCAGTAGAAATCCCACCGCAGGATCCTCCCTAAGCCATATGAGGTAGCTACGGAAACGTGGAGAGGACCCACTCACTCCGTCCAGCAGTAGGACTTGTCATCATCCACACGAACAACACCACAGGTAGGGTTGTTTGTGATCATTCACGCACACACACATTTAGCCCTCCAGAATTTGACCACCAAGGAAGTACCTTACCGGCTCCCTCGGCTTCTTCCTTTGTCTGTGCACAGAGTTGTCTCTGCAGTGTGTGAGGATGCTTTACCCTAGGTTGCCTGCTGGTTTCTTTTCACATTGCTGAGAGCTCAGGTTATTTCTTGCACTGGGTGAGTCCTGATTTCTCACCCCTGAGGCCATCACAAGAGGGTGGGGCATACCTCCTCAGGAGAGAGAACCAGAGACTGCCCCTGAAGGGGAATGTAATCACGAGCAAGCCCCCAAATTGTTATAAATAAAGTTTCCCCCCAGTGCCGCAAAAGAAATAGCACTCGAATATAAAATTTTCTTTTTTTTCTTCTCAGCAAGGCAATTTACTTCTATAGAAGGGTGCGCCCTCACAGACGGAGCAAAGGTGAGCGCACACCTGGACAAGGGAGGGGAAGGTGGTTCTTATGCCTGACCCACGTGATTCCTGATGCTGTGTCCTTCCCCTGTTGGCTAGGGTTAGACCTATAGGCTAAACTAATTCCGATTGGCTAATTTAAAGACAGTGAGGGGGTGAGTGGTTTGGCGGGAAAAATGGTTACCGCAGAGCAGGAAATCGGAATGAACCACGGTGAAGAATGAGTGAGGGAGGAGCAGGTAATCGAAAAATGTTGCTTTATGAGGAAGTTAAGTTTAAAAGTAGAAGGCAAAGAATTGAAGATACTGACATATTGATTCTTTTAAGATAAATTTAGAACTCATATCTAACAGCTGGCATGTCTGGCATGGGGCTCCGGCTGGGGCGCAGTCTTCAGCATTTGGGGCTCTGGGGTGCAGGGGGCAGAGGACGGCCGGGGCTGTGGTGCCCAACCGGTGCTAAACTCAAGCTTGGGAGGTCGCCCACGAGAAACAGTCGCCCTTCCCCACCCGCCTGCTCGGCTTGGCGGGGAGCGGGATGTCGCTGGGGGCGATGCCAGGCGGGCCGCCTCTGATAGCCTCTAGGCTCTGGCGCGCTTCCCCGCCCCTCCCGCGCAGGCGGGCGTGGGATCCCGGCTGATCCAGTCCGGGTTTTGCGGCGGAGCGGGCGGGCTGCGCGTGCGGCGGCTTCAACTGTCGCGGTAGGCAGCAGCAGGCTGAAGGGATCATGGTGCAGTACGAGCTGTGGGCCGCGCTGCCTGGCGCCTCCGGGGTCGCCCTGGCCTGCTGCTTCGTGGCGGCGGCCGTGGCCCTGCGCTGGTCCGGGCGCCGGACGGCGCGGGGCGCGGTGGTCCGGGCGCGACAGAGGCAGCGAGCGGGCCTGGAGAACATGGACAGGGCGGCGCAGCGCTTCCGGCTCCAGGTGACTGCCGGAGCGTAGTGGGATGGGCGCGGCCTGAGGGTACTCGCAGCGGCACTTTCAGCCGCCGGACCCGCCGAGGGACAGGGGATGGGGCGGGCAGAGCAGATGTGTAACTCTCCAGAATCTCTCCTTGCCCTAAGATATTCCGCACTTTCTGAGCCAGGTAGAGCACGGGGGAAGAAAGGAAACGGTAGTGTCAAGGCAGGTGGTGGAAGGCCTTTCCCTCACTGGGTCAAAGAGGAGTTTTGCTTTGTGCCAAAGAATCTCACGATTGCTGCCTATTGGAATGCGAAAACGCAAGCGTGACAACCAGTGGGATGCCAGGGGTTGAGGACTTTGGAATCGCAGAGTGTAATGGCCAAGGGGATCTGGAGAGCTTAGAGTTTTGTTTTTTGTTTTTTTTTGTTTTGTTTTGAGACGGAGTCTCGCTCTGACTCCCAGGCAAGAGTGCAGTGGTGCGATCTCGGCTCACTGCAACCTCCGCCTCCCGGGTGCAAGCGATTCTTGCTGCCTCAGCATCCCCAGTAGCTGGGATTACAGGGGCCCGCCACTACGCCTGGCTAATTTTTGCATTTTTAGTAGAGACTGGGTTTCACCATGTTGGCCAGGCTGATCTCAAACGCCTGACCTCAGTTGATACACCTGCCTCGGCCTCCCAAAGTGCTGGGCGTGAGCCACCGCGCCTGGCTGAGTTCAAGCTTCTTGATTTGTGCATTTGGATCCTAAGAGGGAGCCAGAAAGAAACCTGCCAAGTGCACAGGGAGATCTTGGCAAAGCCAGGCTAGAAGGGAAGTCTCTCTGGCTCCTGCTGTGGTGTCCAACCCCTGGCAAGCCCTTTCCATGAGCAGGTTTAGTTCCAGCCCTCCGTGGGTGGTCTGTCAACAAGCTTTTCTCCCTGCGCTGCCTTTGGATCACCTCAGTATGTGGGTTTGGAGGCGTGGAAGGGCCTGGCTGAGGGTTTGGAAGATGTGGCTTGAAGAGGGGCTTTTCCTCTGGGTGTGTGAAACACTGACCCCAGTTAAAGCCTTCTTATGTGCTGAGAGAGGGAGGGCTTGCTGTATCTGTGGGACCTGACAGGTGGGAAGGCTTTACAGGTTGGGAACCGCAGGACTCAGGAGGGTGTGCCTGGGTGGGAGACAGAAAGAGTCACAGAAAATTGTGTTCAGCAGATGTTCCGCAAGTGATTTTTGAGTTGGGGCAGAGCTGGAACTAGAACCTAGGTGCCCGCTGCACTCTGCAGCCACACTTTCGTGGAGAGGAACAGGAGAGAGATATGAGGAAGGCACCTTGCATGCCAGCCCAGGGTGTAGCCCTGCATGTTGAAGGGGGCCAGCCCCTCCACACCTGTGGGTATTTCTCCTCAGGTGGGACAAGAGACTGAGAAAAGAAATAAGACACAGAGACAAAGTATAGAGAAAGAACAGTGGGCCCAGGGGACCACCGCTCAGTATAGGGAGGACCCGCGCCAGCACTGGTCTCTGAGTTCCGTCAGTATTTATTGATCACTATCTCTACCATCTCGGTGAGGGGGATGTGGCAGGACTATAGGGTAATGGTGGGGAAAGGGTCAACAGGAAAACATGTGAGCAAAGGACTCTGTGTCATAAGTTTAAGGAAAGGTGCTGTGCCTTGATGTGTATGTAGGCCAGATTTATGTTTGACTTTATACAAGCATCTCAGTGCAGTAAACAACAGTATTGTCACCAGCATGTCTCACCTCCAGCCATAAGGTGGTTTTCTCCTATCTCAGTAAATAGAACGTAGGATCGGGTTTTACACTGACACATTCCATTCCCAGGGACGAGCAGGAGATAGATGCCTTCCTCTTATCTCAACTGCAAAGAGGCCTTCCTCTTTCACTGATCCTCCTCAGCACAGACCCTTTACGGGTATCGGGCTGAGGTATGGTCAGGTCTTTCCCTTCCCACAAGGCCGTATCTCAGGCTGTCTCAGTGGGGAGAAACCTTGGAGAATACCCAGGCTTTCTTGGGCAGAGGTGCCTGCAGCCTTCCGCAGTGCATTGTGCCCCTGGGTACTCAAGACGGGAGAATGGCGATGACTTTTTGCCAAGCATACTGCCTGCAAACACATTTTTAACAAAGCACATCCTGCACAGCCCTAATTAAACCTTGAGTCAACACAGCACATGTTTCTGCGAGCATAGGGTTGGGGCTAGGTTTACAGATTACCAGCATCTCAAGGCAGAAGAATTTCTCTTAGTACAGAACAAAATGGAATTTCTTATGTCTACTTCTTTTTACATAGACACAGTAACAGTCTGATCTCTCTTTTCCCCACACATGTGTTGCGGTTTTGGCTGGCTGTAATGTATGAATTTACTCCAAACCATCCCTGGGGCCAAGATATCTCATATTTATTTAGTAAGATAAAAAATATATCTGGTTCCAGCCTCCACTCACCAAGCTGGCTGAAAAGTCCACCATCAGTCAGTTTTTAGGGTTTCTTCCTTCCAGAGTGAGAGGGCCCTGGTGGTCAACCCAAATTGGCCATCTCCCCTACACAAGCACAGGTTCTTCACTGTCTAGTTGCCCTCTCTGGCTGGGCGCTGGAGGTCCTCCTTAGAGATCCTCCTGTTTATCCCTGGCTCTGTGCAGCCAGCTGAGTTCTGCCAGCTCCAAGAGCAGCGTGGGCAGCACTAGCAGGGATCTGCTCACAGCTCTTGCCTGCAGAACTCCCCTCCTGGTTGCAAGGAATCCACCTGGCTGGCAGGGGTGTGGGATGGTAGCAGGATGGGTCTTCCTGCACTTCGGCTCCAAACAGCAGCATCTATATGGTTTTCCTCTGGAGCAACTGCTCTTCATTATTTTTACGAACAGATTATTCCAGGACAGAAGTTTTGGCTCTGAAAGCTTGGCTCTTTCAGGAGGAGAAGCGGGAAATTACCTTTCAGGTTTCCAGTGATTGTGGTTTTGAGTAATCAGCAAAGGGGTGGGGTCCTGATTGACAATAGCTTTGTAGGCTTTGCGGGGGAGTAGGATTTTTTTTTGGTTTTTGTTATTTTTGTTTTTTGTTTTTGAGACGGAGTCTTGCTCTGTCGCCCAGGCTGGAGTGCAATGGTGCGATCTCGGCTTACTGCAACCTCTGCCTCCCAGGTTCAAGCGATTCTCCTGCCTCAGCCTCCCGAGTAGCTGGGATTACAGGCGCCTGCCACCATGCCTGGCTAATTTTTGCATTTTTAGTAGAGACGGGGCTTCACCATGTTGGCCATGGCTGGCCTCGACCTCCCGACCTCAGGTGATCCGCCCGCCTCGGCCTCCCAAAGTGCTGGGATTATAGGCATGAGCCACCGCGCCTGGCCAATGCCTGGCTAATTTCTGTAGTTTTAGTATAAACGGTTTCGTCATGTTGGCCAGGCTAGTCTTGAACTCTTTTTTTTTTTTTTTTTTTGAGATGAAGTCTCACTTTGTTGCCCCAGCTGGAGTGCACTGGTGCAATCTCGGCTCACTGCAACCTCCACCTCCCGGGTTCAAGCAATTCTCCTGCCTCAGCCTCCCTAGTAGCTGGGGTTACAGGTGCCTGCCACCATGCCCGGCTAATTTTTGTATTTTTTAGTAGAGATGGGATTTCACCATCTTGGCCAGGCTGGTCTTGAACTCCTGACCTCAGGTGATCCCCCTGCCTTGGCTTCCCAAAGTGTTGGGATAACAGGTGTGAGCCACCTCACCCGGCCAGGACGTGGGAGTTTTAGCTGAACCCAGCCCAGGCTTGGGAACAGCTCTTTCCCCCGCCTCTCCTCCCTTCTGCCTACAACTCCTAAGGCACCCTTCTGTTTGGCTCTGGAGTCCTTGAATGATGGGCAGGTAGGATCTGTGACTGTCTGGGCAACCTTTCTTCTGGGGCTCTTAGCCCAGCCCTGAATCACAAGGGGGCACCTGAGATAAGCAGGGCTCCAGCAGGCCCTGGGAGAACACAGCGATTTGTAGTAAAGCTCCTGTCTGATAGATTCTGGACAAAGCGATTTGGCAACCAAGATTCTTTTTTTTTTTTGAGTCAGAGTCTTGCTCTGTTGCCCAGGCTGGAGTGTAGTGGCTCAATCTTGGCTCACTGCAACCTCCGCCTCCCGGGTTCAAGTGATTCTCCTGCCTCAGCCTCCTGGAGTAGCTAGGACTACAGGTGCCTGCCACCACATCCAGCTAATTTTTGCATTTTTGGTAGAGACAGGGTTTCGCCATGTTGGCCAGGCTGGTCTCGAACTCCTGACCTCAGGTGATCCGCCTGCCTCGGCCTCCCAAAGTGCTGGGATTACAGGTGTGAGCCACCACTCCCGGATTCTTGGCTGTGTCCAAGGAGGACACAGCTGGATGAAGGGGTACCTAAACACCTTCTGAATTTTCACAAAATAGTTCACCTCTCTCTAAACTCTTGAGCAAATCTAGAGAAAAATGTGTTTCTGGTAATTCTGTTGACGCTTCACCCATTTTTTCCCACCCTGCCCCCTGAATAAGTTTTGATATCTTTTCTAGACCGAAGAGAAGGACCACCATCAATAGAATAGTATAGCTGGGAGAGACATCACAGAACACCTATTTATGCCCTTATGCCTTTGTACATGCAGTTTTGTTTTACCCTGAATGGTTTTTCCTACATCTCTTACAACCCGCTTATCAATCCCACTGGCATTGTGGTTCAGAAGGAGAAAACAAAACAGATGGAGGAGGGGCAATGCCTCCTAAGTGATTGGTAGAGTATCCCTCTCTTGAAAAATTGTGCATGCAGGTGGCCACAGGTTTAGATGTTACCTGTATACTATACTTCCCTGCATTCTCCGCAAAATCAGGTTTCCGCATGTTCACTGATTGGTCTTCTGGAGGTGCAGACTTACTTTGGTGTCTAGGAGAAAATGTCTCAGCTGCCTGACACTAGTTGAAGATTTAAAAATAGCTGTTAGCAGCTGTGTCATTAACTGTCAACAGGCAAGAACATAGGAAAGAATGAAAATGTGTGCTGAGCGTGGAGGGGAGCACATTGCTAGCTGCTAGCTGCCGTGCACAGGCACTCTGTGGGCGCCTTGTAGCGAGGTCGGGGGAGTTGGTGACCGGACTGTCAGGTGGCAGTTATTCCAGGGTGGTGAATGCTCTGCTGATTTCGATGTCCTTCTCCATACTCTTAGGCATTTTTTAAAATACAATGAACCTGTATTTATATAATGAAAACAAAAATAAAGCAAAATTTGATTTTCATTGTGAGATGGGAAAGGCAAGATGCAGTACTGTGTGTATAGTATGATTCCTTTGTGCAAAAAAGAATATATATAGACAACTGTTGACATGGTGGGTTTTTCATAAATATTTTCTTTTCCTGTAAGAGTACACCAGAAACTGTTAATTATAGTTTTCCTTTATAGAGGAGGGACTGTGCAAGGAGAACCAGGGGTGGAGGGAATGCTCACTTTTCATTTTGTATACCTTTAAAGAATATATCAAGAGGATTATCTAGTGTGTTTGGGGAGAAGTCTTGAACCCATTTTTTCTTCTTTGTAGCTCCTTGTGTTAGAAAAAAAATCCAAAGTAAGTACTCTATCAGTTCAATGAATTCAGGGAAGTGCTCCTGACACTGAGGACATCAGGGGGCAGAGGCTGTGGCATGTGCTCGGAGAGGGCAGGCGCCAGGCTCTGGGGTGTGGGGGGTGGGAGGGGGCAGTGGTGCCTGGGTGGGGAGAGGTGCACATGAGTCTGAGAGGACCACAGCTTGGAAGCACCTCCTGGAATATGCTCTGGAGCCTGTGGTGTGATGAGATGGGGATTTTAAGGGGAGAGGCAAGGCCAGGTTGGGTTTTGCACTGTCTGGCCCTAGTGGAAAGTGTGGGTTGGAGGTGCAGGACCTGGGCAGGGCAGCAGTTGGGTGGCCGCGTGTGACCTAGGAGACAAGGATGAGTCTGAGGCCCGGTGAGGGCCTTGGTAGAGGGGATGGAGAGGTGACCATTTTTCAGAGCTACTTAGCTTGGTGACTGGATGCAGGTGGTGGTGGGAAGGAGGAGCCAGAAAGACACCTGTTTCATTTCCTGAACACCTGGATGGATGGCGGGGCCTCCCCTGAGTACAGGGTACAGGATACATAAGGAGGAGCTGGTCAAAAGTCGGGCAGGTGATGAGCTTAGAGGAAGGACAGGGAAGGTGGACAGGTGACAGGAATAGCCCAGTGAGCTGGTTTGGGCTCCATTGCCTCGGGCTGGGTAGGGGATCTGGGGGATGTGGGATGAGTGGAGAGCCTGGAGTCAGAGGTGCTTAGGGGAGGAGTGGAAGCCAGGGTAGGGGAGGAGGGTAAGAGGGGAGGGGAGGAGGGGAAGGGTAGAGGGGAGAAGGGGAAGCAAGGGGAGGTGAGGAAGGGAAGGGGAGAAGGGAAAGGAAGGGGAGGGGAGGAAGGGAAGGGAAGGGTAGAGGGGGAGGAGGGGAAGCAAGGGGAGGGGAGGAAGGGAAGGGTAGAGGGGGAGGAGGGGAAGCCAGGGGAGGGGAGGAGGGAAAGGGTAGAGGGGAGGAGGGAAACCAGGGGAGGGGAGGAGGGGAAATTGGGGAGGGAAGAGGGGGAAGTGGGGAGGGGAGGAGGGGGAAGCAGGCCAGGGGAGGAGGGGGAGTAGGGGGAGGGGAGTAGGGGGATTAGGGGGAGGGGAGGAGTAGAAGCAGGGTTGGAGGGGTGGGAGGAATGGAAGCAGGAGGAGGGGAAGCCTTCTCCCAGAATCAGAGAGGGAAGAGAAGGTACCCAGAGCTCTGTCTCTCCCCACATCTGGCATCTTCTTATCCTTCAAATCACAGCTGAAATGTGGTTTCTTCAGATAGGCAGCCTTTAAGAACTGGAACACTCACTGTGAGGGTCTGCGGCTTCATTCTTGAAGTCAGTGAGACCAAGAACCCACCAATTCCGGACACAGAATGAATGTGTAAACCCTTCCTTTTGGGTGTGGCCTTCAGTCACAGACCCAGCCTCCCAAGATGGGGTCTTCTTGTTTTTGCCCTTCCCTGCTAGAGGTTGGCAACCCCCTGAGTAGTGTTCAGAGCTGCTCTGTGGGTGTGGGGATGGCATGGGGTCAGGTGCAGGCAGATGGCTGGTGGGCAAGAAGGCACCTCTCTCTCAGCCTCAGTTTATCTGTGCAATGGGAATGGCAGTAAGACTTAATCAAAACATGGATGACATCAGCGTGGTGTTGGCACACAGAAGGCAGCCACTGCTGGTGTATATTTGTAGTGGTTTAATCATCAGTCTGGAGCTAGGCACAGTAGCATGTGCCTGTAGTTCCAGCTACTCGGGAGGCTGAAGTGGGAGGATCACTTGAGCCCAGGAGTTCAAGTCTAGCCTGGGCAACACGGCCAGACACTGTCTCTAAGGAAAAAAAAAACCTACTTGGGCAGGTCGGCTCGCTGGGCACCCCTTCAACAAGCTTCTGGAGGAGACAGAGCTGCATTCTCTAGGGATGGCAAGGGCCTGCCCAGGCTGGGCCATGTCAGAGCTGCTGGGGCATGGGCCACTGGTGTCTGCTGCAGGCCCATGAGACTTCGGCGAGTAGGGGACTGATCCGAGTTTGTTCCCCACAGAACCCAGACCTGGACTCAGAGGCGCTGCTAGCCCTGCCCCTGCCTCAGCTGGTGCAGAAGTTACACAGTAGAGAGCTGGCCCCTGAGGCCGTGCTCTTCACCTATGTGGGAAAGGTAAGGCCAGCCAAGGCCAGCCCCTCCCTGGGAAAGGTAAGGCCAGCCAAGGCCAGCCCCTCCCTTTCCCCTCCCTCTGTCCGCACAGGCTGTGGGGAAAACCTGGCCTGGAGTTAGTCCTGCTGGGGGCCATGGTGGGACCTACAGTGCCAGGGACTGCCAGGGAGGGAAGGAGCCAGAGCGTGTGCGTGTGTGTATGTATGTGTGTATGAGACACTGAGCATGCTGTCTTAGCTAGTAACCTGGCTTTTAGCCCAGACTTCCCTCTCCCTCCTGCCTCCACCCCATTGGGCAACAAGTCTGGTCTGTTCCCTTCTTTTTTTTTGAGATGGAGTTTCGCTCTTGTTGTTCAGGCTGGAGTGCAATGGCACAATCTTGGCGCACTGCAACCTCCACCTCCTGGGTTCAAGCAATTCTCCTGCCTCAGCCTCCCAAGTAGCTGGGATTACAGGCATGCACCACTACACCCGGCTAATGAAAAGAAAAAAAATTTTTTTTTTTTTTTTGAGATGGAGTCTCGCTCTGTTGCCCAGGCTGGAATGCAGTGGCATGATCTTGGCTCACTGCAGCCTCCACCTCCTGGGTTCAAGTGATTCTTCTGCCTCAGCCTCCTGAGTAGCTGGGAGTACAGGCACCTGCTAACACACCCAGCTAATTTTTGTATTTTTAGTAGAGATGGGATTTTACCATGTTGGTCAGGCTGGTCTGGAACTCCTGACCTCAAGTGATCCACCCGCCTCGGTCTCCCAAAGTGCTGGGGTTACAGCTGTGAGCCACTGCAGCTGGCCCCCAACTAATTTTTTGTATTTAGTAGAGACGGGGTTTCACCATGTTGATCAGGCTGGTCTCAAACTCCTGACCTCAGGTGATCCACCCGCCTCGGCCTTCCAAAGTGCTAGGATTACAGGCGTGAGCCACCATGCCCGACCCCGTCTTTTTTTTTGAGATGGGAGTCTTGCTCTGTCGCCCAGGCTGGAGTGCAGTGGCATGATCTTGGCTCACTACAACCTCCACCTCCCGGGTTCAAGTGATTCTCATACCTCAGCCTCCCGAGTAGCTGGGATTATAGACATGCACCCCCATGCTTGGCTAATTTTTGTATTTTTATTTGGCCGGGCTGGTCTGGAACTCCCAACCTCAGGTGATCCTCTGAAAGTGCTGGGATTACAGGCGTGAGCCACCGCGCCTGGCCTGTTCTCTTCTTTTACCCAGCCCTCTCCTGTCTCCATCCCCTTTGGCCACCCTGGCCCGCCACCACCATCTCCCGCCATGCCCAAGCACCAGCCTCCTGGTCAGGTGCCCTCTTGTGTCCCCAGCTCTTCAGGCCATCTCTTGTACTCCTCCTCTGTGTGTGGCATCACCTCTGGCCAAGGCCTTCTGGAGCTTGGGTGTCAGCAGCTCTGCACTGGCTTGGGTGGGGCTCCTTTACCTGGAAGGCTGTTTCCCTCTTCTTTGCCCCTGTCCGTGCCACGGGCTCCCCTGGCTGAGCCTTCGGGGCTCAGAGCAGGAGGCACCGTCTTCCATTCGCCACCTGAGGTAGGGTTTCCTCTTCCAGGCCTACTCTCATTCTAATAGCACATTTCTCATCACAGTGTCAGGCTTGTCTTCTCTATCTCTTTCCCATGGGGGGTCTTTGTGGACAGAGCTTGTCTCATTTGTCTTTGAACCTTAGTGCTCAACATGTTGCATTTCACGTAATAAATGCTCAAGAAATATGTTTGAAAAGAAAGGGAGGGAGGGAGGAAAGAAGGAGACAAATTGTGCTTTGAGTGTGGCCTGCATGATTTCTTGAAAGGGTGTGGGACAGTGAGTGTGACCCCTAGGCAGGTGAACTTGTCTGGGTGCAGTGTATGTGACAATGCTGTGGGGGCTGCAGCTGAGGAAGCGAGCGCATGCTGGGCTGGTGTCACTGAGAGGGGGCACGTACATAGTCTCAGCAGATGGTCTTGCTTCTTCCCTGTCAATGTCCCTGAAAGGCTCCTGCCCTTCCTAGTTAATCTAGTCTATCTGGTTAGATTAGCCTTCTCTGTTCCTGCCTCGGGTACCCCGGGGACAGATTTTGCACATGCCTGAATATGGCAACACAGCCCACCCTGTTTCCCCCAGATACTCCCCAGGAGCAGGAATATTTACTGAAAGCTGCATCTCACTCTGCCCTCACCTTTCCTTCTGTAGGACCCTGTGTGGTGAGGTTTGAGCATTCTAGGCAGATTTCCACTATTAGCATGTTCTTCCCTTTTGTCAAGCTCCTACTCCACATGGCTTGATTATCAAATTCAAGATTTCCTGGGTAAGGGGAGGCTTGACTGGGCTACATGTGGGGAAGGCGTGGGGTTGAGGAGAGACTGCTGGGCTCCGGGAGGCAGGAGTCTGGTCTAGTCCTGCTCTGTGGTTGCCCTTCAGTGTGACCAGTGATGGGGCGCTGCCCCTGTCTGGTTTCTGTCTGCCTCACTGGCAGAGATGTGGCTTGGGGGAGGTGAGGGAGTGGCCAGTGGTCATCTTCCTCCCAGCTCACCCCCTACCTGGGGGGCACCTGAGGCCAGTATCTTGCTCCCTTGAGTGTCCCGGTTGTGCCCTGGTCCTGGTTGAAGGCCAGAGACAGCCAGGATGAGGCCTGGGCCAAATGTCCCTAGTGAGGCAGATGCTGAGCCCTAGGTCATCCTCTGTGCCCCAGGCTCTGGGCCATGTTGCTGGTTACCCCTCTCCCTGGGTATACTTTAAAAGGCCAGTTCTACATGATGTATATTTCACCACAATTTCTTAAAAAGGCCAGCCTCCTTTTATCTTATGTCTACTTCCCCTTCCTCAGGCCTGGGAAGTGAACAAAGGGACCAACTGTGTGACCTCCTATCTGGCTGACTGTGAGACTCAGCTGTCTCAGGCCCCAAGGCAGGGCCTGCTCTATGGCGTCCCTGTGAGCCTCAAGGAGTGCTTCACCTACAAGGTATGCTCTGCCTCAGCGCCAGGCCTCCATCGTCCCCTCCATCCCTGCCAGCCTGCTCTGCATCTTGGGTCATTTTGGGCCCTTAGAGGAGGTATCAGGTCCAGAGGCCTTCCGAGGGGACACTGGTATACCTGTTTTGGCCTGTGTGACAGTTGTTGGAGTGGACCCTTGGCTGCCCACGGGCCCTGACTCACTCCCTTCTGGTGCCCATCCCTCCTCCCAGGGCCAGGACTCCACGCTGGGCTTGAGCCTGAATGAAGGGGTGCCGGCGGAGTGCGACAGCGTAGTGGTGCATGTGCTGAAGCTGCAGGGTGCCGTGCCCTTCGTGCACACCAATGTTCCACAGTCCATGTTCAGGTTGGGTCTTGGGGTGGGGCGGGGCGGGGCAGGGGCACCGGTCCCAGCATGGCACGGGCTGACCCATTCTTGGCTCCTCCAGCTATGACTGCAGTAACCCCCTCTTTGGCCAGACCGTGAACCCATGGAAGTCCTCCAAAAGCCCAGGGGGCTCCTCAGGGGGTGAAGGGGCCCTCATCGGGTCTGGAGGCTCCCCCCTGGGCTTAGGCACTGATATCGGAGGCAGCATCCGCTTCCCCTCCTCCTTCTGCGGCATCTGCGGCCTCAAGCCCACAGGGAACCGCCTCAGGTAAGGTGGGTGGAGGGCGCTTCTGGGCCCCTCGCTGTGTGACCTTGGCCTAGCTTCCAACCTCTCTGGGCTCCAGGCGGGGATTCGGTCTCCGGGGTTTTGCTGGGAGGAAGCATTACAGTACCACTGGCCGGGCGTGGGTCCTAGTTTCCAAAGCGGTGAGTGTTCAGAGCTGCTCTGTGGGTGTGGGGATGGCGGCGGGTGGCCATTTCCTGTTTCCAGCATCTTATGTTTCTTATCCAGCAAGAGTGGCCTGAAGGGCTGTGTCTATGGACAGGAGGCAGGTGAGGTCCGTGGTGCTCTCAGTGCCCCGAGGAGGGTGGGGGTCGGCCTGACCCGCTTCCGCCCGTGCTTCTCAGGTGGCAGGGCAGTGTCTGGCCCCCAGGCTGCTCTAGGTCTGGGTTCCTCGCTCCTTGTCTGCTTACCTCCCTCACCTCTCTGCCCCACAGTGCGTCTCTCCGTGGGCCCCATGGCCCGGGACGTGGAGAGCCTGGCACTGTGCCTGCGAGCCCTGCTGTGTGAGGACATGTTCCGCTTGGACCCCACTGTGCCTCCCTTGCCCTTCAGAGAAGAGGTGAGCAGGGCTGGGTGGGCATGAATGTGGACCGCTGAACCCAGACAGCCACCCCAGGCCTTGTGGGCAGGCCTTGGAGCCCCTGTCTCCTGAGAACCGTCCCCCAGGCCTCTGAGGCCAGGGCGGGTTGCTCCTCCACAGACGGCCACCAGATGGAGCCCTTGCCTGCATTTGGAAATCCTCAGGCTTTTTTTTTTTTTCCTTTTCTTTCTTTCTTTTTTTTTTTTTTTTTGAGACTGAGTATCGCTCTGTCCCTCAGGCTGGAGTGCAGTGGCGCGATCTCGGCTCACTGCAAGCTCCGCCTCCCGGGTTCACGCCATTCTCCTGGGTTCACGCCATTCTCCTGCCTCAGCCTCCCGAGTAGCTGGGACTACAGGCGCCCGGCACCACGCCCGGCTAATTTTTTTTGTATTTTTAGTAGTAGAGACGGGGTTTCACCGTGTTATCCAGGATGGTCTGGATCTCCTGACCTCGTGATCCGCCCGCCTCGGCCTCCCAAAGTGCTGGGATTACAGGCTTGAGTTACCGCGCCGGCCGGAAATCCACAGGCTTTCAAAGGTGCCCAGCCTCAGCTGCTGGCACCAGGGATGCAGGAATCATTTCCCAGCCTGCTGACCTTCAGCAAACAGCAGCCTTTCTAACAGTATTCCTGTCCACATTTTGGGAGCAGCACGCCACGCTGCCTGCAGACCCCAGCTCATGTAGCCTGTTCCTGCCAGACTTGCTGCTACGTGAGCCAGGGTCTGCAAGCAGCGTGGTGTGCTGCTCCCCAAAATACCACCACAGCAGCCTGTTGCTGAGACAGGCTGGGCTTGTTGCTTTCTGTGGCGAGGCAGCACTGTCTTGCAAAGCCTTAGGATCATCTCAGAGGGCAGGAAGGGTGGGGAGATCTGCTGAGATTTTGAAGTCTGGTTTAAGGTGGATCTTTCAACATGGGGGTTGGTTAAGATTGGTTTAAGTTGGTTAAGATTGGTTAAGATCCTTAATCCCCATGTTAAGGATTGGTGGGCACAGCAGGGTGTGGATTTTGAGGCGAGAGGTGTCAACCGATGCTTCCTGTTGAAGAGTTGGAATGAATCGGAAGGTTATTTGTGTTATGTGTGTTATTTGGAGGAGGTGGGGGAGTGGCCAGTGGTCATCTTCCTCCCAGCTCATCCCCTACTGCGGGGCATCTGAGACCAGTATTTTGCTCTCTTGAGTGTTCTGGTTGTGCTCTGGTCCTGGTACTCTCTCTCTCTCTGTCTCTGTGTGCGTTGGGGTTGAAGGCCAGAAACAGCCAGGTTGAGGCTGGGGCCAGATGTCCCCAGTGAGGCAGGTGCTGGGCCCTAGGTCATCCTCTGTGCCCACTCCAACAGAGTGCAGGAGCTGTAAAGTTAGATTGGTGCAGACAGAGGAAGAGTGAAGTCACGTTAATGTAGACAGTAAGCTGTGTGACGTAAGCCCCGTTTCTCAGCAGTCCAGCGATTGTCTATCTTGTACAGACCTCTTGCCCTCGCCCCAGCCAAGGTTGCCTTGGAAAGGCTGAGGGTTTGTGGACGGGAAGGAGAGTGGGCCTTGGTGTTTCTTGGGAGTGGGGCAGCAGGGCAGATCTGGGCTGGGTAGGGTGAACTCCCCCTCCCCAGGCAGAGGGAGATATTCTAACCGAACCCACGGGGATAGGCAGCCGTGAAGTCCTTCCTCGGAGGAGAGGAGGAGATGAGGTCCCTGTCTGGAAGTCTGGAACAGTTTATCATGAGAGCCAGGACAGGTGGTGGAGAGCCTCAGCTCAGAAGACAGGATGCCTGCATTCCAGACCTGTCTTGTCACTCTGCATTGGGTAGCTTTGGGCAAGTCCCAGTCCCACCTAATCTCCCTATTGAGACCTCAAGCCTCAGTTTCCTCATATGACCAGTAGGAATCCTTATCCTTGCTCTGCCCACCTGAGTCACTGTGAAGGTGTTTTATGAAAGGGTCAGATGCAGAAGGGGCTGGCCTCGCTGACTGCAGCCTCGCAGCTGTGTCTGGGGCTGAGTAGTTTCTCTGATCTCTAGGGGTCCTGCCTAGGGTTGTCTTCTCCTGACCTGCCCCTGTCCCCTGTGTTTTCCCTCCAGGTCTACACCAGCTCTCAGCCCCTGCGTGTGGGGTACTATGAGACTGACAACTATACCATGCCCTCCCCGGCCATGAGGCGGGCCGTGCTGGAGACCAAACAGAGCCTTGAGGCTGCGGGGCACACGGTATGACTGCAGGGTCCTGGAAGTACTGGCATCTCCTCCCCTCACGGGAAGCCTTCCTGGTACCCATGGCTACTCCATCCCTGGCATCCTGGCACTCTGACGATGTTGTCGTCGGGGTGAACTGTGACCCTGTGGGACAAGTATATAGAGGGCTGATCAAGAGTATTGGAGTGAGTGATTGATGGAGAACTTTAGCCCTGTGCTGTGTGATGTGTGAGCACTGCATGTGGGGAGGCTCTTCAGCTCTAAACAGTGGTGCACAGCTGTCCAGAGGCTCCCAGGGCCAGTGGGTTTTGGTCTGGTCATTACACAACTTTATGTGTGGCTCCAGACTTCTCTCATGCTGTGCATTCCACAGTGAGTTTTCATGGGTCAGTAAGGCTGCCTTTGTAGCTCTAGTGAGAGCTATCTTGTGGGCAGGGTTGGTCCAATCCATCCTCAGGGCCGCCCAGACAGCATGGGGATCATGAAGCCAGTTGTTAGGTCAGGAGGCCTTACACCCCTCAATCCCTGCAGCTGGTTCCCTTCTTGCCAAGCAACATACCCCATGCTCTGGAGACCCTGTCAACAGGTGGGCTCTTCAGTGATGGTGGCCACACCTTCCTACAGAACTTGTGAGTGATAGTGGGCTTTGGGGTCTTGGTGGGATCAGACAAGTAGGCAGACCTGGGGGAGCAGCAGGGTGTGGTGATGCCTGGATGGGCCTTAGCTGAATCCAACAAAGGCCTGAGCACTCTGGGCAGGGACCTCGCTGTCCCTCCAGCTGGGCACATTGAGCCTGGAGATCCCTTGCCAGGGTGCCAGCCCGAGGGGAGGCTGGGTTGAGTATCTGTGGCCTACCCCTGATCTGAGCTTGTTGTGAGGTAGGAGGTGGGCAGGAGGTTGCCTCTCTGTTTGGGAAGGATTTGGGCCAAGGGCAGGATCCAGGCAGGAGGGTGGGGGTTTGGACTTGATGCTGTGACTCCAGGCTCTGTCTGACTTGAGCCAAGTCTTCTTTTTGAGCAGGACCTCAGCTTTCTCTCCTGTAAAGTGGGTGGGTTGGACCAGACTCCCTTTAAGGGACTTTGCAGAGCTCATTTTTAGAGAAGTTCGTTCCTCTGGGATGCTTCTAGTCATTAAAGGTGTCAGGGGCAGAGAACAGGCCTGCAAAGGTGCCTCCTGGTGACATACCTCTGCTGGATGGACTGGAACCCTTCAGAACACAGTCCCCCTTCCTCCACTTCACTGATGGAGAACTTGGCCCTGCAGCCTGGAGCTTGGCCCTGCAGCTTCACTCAGTCAAGGGCCCAGCCTGTCATGTTCCTTTCCTTCCCCTAGCAGCCAAGTGTGGTCCAGGCTTCAGTGGAAGGGGTCACTCCTCACTCTGGCCCTGGGAATGAGTCCCCAGGATCAGCTGCCTGAGACCTTTCCCTGAGATCTTGAGCCAGAGATAGCCTCAGAGCCCTGCTTCATGGGCAGCCCACCCTCGATTTCCCCACCTGTGCCTCCAGGCTGTACCTCCCTAAGGGGAGGTACCCTCAGGGAGGCCTCATCAGGGAGATGTTGCCCTCAGTTCTTAGAGCTCTGAGCTGGGTTTGCTGGAGAGGGATACCCTGAGTCCTGCCTTGGGGAGCTCCCGTGGATGTGGGTTGCAGCCCAGGCATCCCAAAGGATCAGCAGAAACAAACGGCATGTTTGGAAGGAGGGAGCTGAGTCTGGTGAGGAGGAGGTGGACAGGATCCCTGCATAGAGAATGGGATTGCTGTGGGCCGGGCGAGCAAGCTGGGAAGGATGTGGGGATGGGAGTGCCTGGACCGAGCATTTTGTTTCCCAGCAAAGGTGATTTCGTGGACCCCTGCCTGGGGGACCTGGTCTCAATTCTGAAGCTTCCCCAATGGCTTAAAGGACTGCTGGCCTTCCTGGTGAAGCCTCTGGTGAGGGCACAAGGAGTGGAGGGGCTAGGATGGCTGGGGGGGAACCTAGGGCCTCCTATCGCATGATCCCCCATGGCCTCCCTCAGCCTCTCTTGGTTTGGGCAGGCATGGCCTCCTCTTCTCTCCAGTCCCCACCCAGACTGCTCTCCTCCTCTGTCCCCTGCGATCTTCAGCCAACCCGCATGCTGAAAGGGGTGCCGACCTGGGCCCTGGGGGGAGGCATGGAGGGAGGGGTCCCCAGTGGCTTGGCCTGAAGAAGGTTGACGTCTGCCGTGGCCCAGAGCTGAGTCACCGACCCTGCGTCTGTCCTGTGCAGCTGCCAAGGCTGTCAGCTTTCCTCAGCAACATGAAGTCTCGGTAAGGGTTCTTCTGTGTCTAGCTGCCGGCCCCTGCCTGTCCTGATCCGAGTCTGGGTCTGGGTAGTTTCTGACAGGAAAGGACTTGAGGGAAGTAGCCTCTGAGGCTGGAAGTGGCCCAGGCAGGGGGGCAACCTTTGTGGCCTTCAGATGGGACTTTGAAGTTGTCTTGGCAAGGTCCAGTTCTGGCTGGAGAGCAAAGGCCTGAGGGGGACAAGAGGATGGGGGAGTTGGAGGGGAGGAGGTTGACCTGGCTGGGGCATGAGTGGAAAGGACCAGGAAGTGGGGGTTGGCCTGGGCCAAGGGTGGGGCACCCGGGAGAGATGCCACTGTTAGAGATCTGAGCTGACCTGAGCTGCGCCAGGCCCTACTTGCCCCTTAGTGGCTGGGGCTGGAAAAGCAGGGCGTAAACCTCCCTGTTTCATGCCCTGACGTCCCATGGACTCACTCCTTCCCTTACCACCAGGCTTCAGGACTGGCAGCAGCTATGGCCTCTCCCGTGTCCTGAGGGTAGCGAGGAATCGGGCCTGGGCTAGTCCTGGCTCTGCTGTGGAGTCACCAAGTGCCAGCCTGTGCCCCTCTGGGGCCTGATTTTCTCATCCAGACAGTAGGGGTTTGAACTTCCCTCTCAGAGCTCCCATGGGGTTGTGAAGGGTCCACGGAGGGGTGAGATCTAGAGGGTTGGCAGTAGGGGTCTGATGTTGCTGATCTCCGTGGCTGTGACCATCATGGCTGGTGACCACACTCCTTCTGCCCAGTTCGGCTGGAAAACTCTGGGAACTGCAGCACGAGATCGAGGTGAGGCCAGAGCCTCTGGATTGGAGCAGGGTGGTGGGGGGAGGGTGGAGTTGGACAGGGTACCCGCTAGCAGTGTCTCGTGGCCACTGCCCCCATGGGGCTCCTAGACTGGCCTGTCATCCCCCTTCCACTCCCTGGACCACCACTTGGGCCCAGCTCTCTGACCCTTACTTGCCTAGATGCCCATCCTTTGAGGCTGGGTCAGCCCCAGGCTCCTGTCCTGGCCGCCTTTTTGCCCCTCTGGAGCTGCCTTTGTGTGGCTCCGCCTCAGCGGGAAGAGGTGTATCCACAATTCATTCTGGAGGCAGAACGACTGATGCCCTCTGAGAGGCAGCACTGCCTGCCCGGAGGACCTGTGTCCCACTGTGGCTCTGTTCAGATCCAGGGGCAGGTGCTGGGGCCAGAGCCACCCCAGCCACAGTCCCTGAGTTAAAGAGCCTGGGGTGGGCTAGGTCTGAGTGCTTTCACCTGGTGTGTTGTGTCCTCCGCAGGTGTACCGCAAAACCGTGATTGCCCAGTGGAGGGCGCTGGACCTGGATGTGGTGCTGACCCCCATGCTGGCCCCTGCTCTGGACTTGAATGCCCCAGGCAGGGCCACAGGTGAGGCCCGACACCCTGCCTGTCCCTTCTGTGAATCTGGCCATGTGCCCTGCAGGGCTGCGAGGAAATGGAAGAAGAGCCCTCTGGGAGGACCCTGCCCTCTCGGGGCCCACAGTCTGGCTGACTGGAGACATGGCAGTCATGTGGGTTGCCCTGGCAGGGATTGATTTTCCTGTCATCAGCACTATTCAAGTTGGGGATCTTGAGTTACAGAATCTAGTTTGGGGAGGTGATGGTTTGAAGTCCAGGTGGGATTTAGATAAATCAAGAAAATAGGGGCCAGGGCGGTGGCTCACACCTATAATCCGAGCACTTTGGGAGGCTGAGGCTGGAGGATCACTTGAGCCCAGGAGCTCAAGAGCAGTCCAGGCAACATAGTGAGGCTCCTGTTGCTACAAAAAATAGAAAAATTAGCTGGGTGTGGTTGCATGTTCCTGTAGTCCTGGCTACTCGGGGGGCTGAGGCAGGAGGATTGCTTGAGCCCAGGAGGTCAAGGCTGCAGTGAGTTATGATCACACCACTGCACTCCAGCCTGGGTGACAGAGTGAGACTGTCTCAAAAAAAGGAAAAGGAAAAGAAAACAGGAACAGCATTCCCAGTGGAGAAAGTACATGGGCAAAGGCATGGGGCAAACATCAGTGGGTTGTCCAGCCCGGCCCTGAAATCTGAATTCCTGGGCTTTGTCACTCAGACCTCAGTCCTGGGAGAGAGCCTTTCTCTGGCTGTAGACACAGGGTGCCATTTCATATGAGGTTTGACTCAGGCCCGGAGTTGGCACTGAAGATTCTCAGGGCCTGCTGCAGCTGCCTGTAATGTGTTCCAGGGGCCGTCAGCTACACTATGCTGTACAACTGCCTGGACTTCCCTGCAGGGGTGGTGCCTGTCACCACGGTGACTGCTGAGGACGAGGCCCAGATGGAACATTACAGGGGCTACTTTGGGGATATCTGGGACAAGATGCTGCAGAAGGTGAGGACTGACCTGCCCCTCAACTGGACTCACTCCCCACCCTGACTCTGGCCGCTGTGGAGGAAACAGTACCAGCACTGCGGGTTTGCCAGCCTTTCTTAAGCAAGACCTGAAGGACTATGGCCTGGCCCTACGTTGTGGCCTCTCTCTAGCTGGGTGCTTCCTGGGCCTGGGGGTGGGGAGTCCTGCCTTGCTAACCCTATCCTGATGCCTGTATCCCCTATAGGGCATGAAGAAGAGTGTGGGGCTGCCGGTGGCCGTGCAGTGTGTGGCTCTGCCCTGGCAAGAAGAGTTGTGTCTGCGGTTCATGCGGGAGGTGGAGCGACTGATGACCCCTGAAAAGCAGTCATCCTGATGGCTCTGGCTCCAGAGGACCTGAGACTCACACTCTCTGCAGCCCAGCCTAGTCAGGGCACAGCTGCCCTGCTGCCACAGCAAGGAAATGTCCTGCATGGGGCAGAGGCTTCCGTGTCCTCTCCCCCAACCCCCTGCAAGAAGCGCCGACTCCCTGAGTCTGGACCTCCATCCCTGCTCTGGTCCCCTCTCTTCGTCCTGATCCCTCCACCCCCATGTGGCAGCCCATGGGTATGACATAGGCCAAGGCCCAACTAACAGTCAAGAAACAGCTCCTCGTCTGTGTGGTTTCTGGGCGTCATCGTGAGGGTGGGGTTTGGAGCCTGTTGAGAGCAGGGCTGGCTTGACTGTGCATACCCAGGCTCCAGCCATGCCAGTCTCCTGCTCCACAACCTCCCCTGGTGCCCATCACCCACAGGAGGGGTGCAGGCTTGTATCCCCCAGCACTTCGGCCGTGCCCCTCCTCTCTCACCTACACTAAGCCCTGCTCTGCTGGACACTGCCCTTGGTCTCCTTCCTTCTTCTGCTTCTTTCCCTGCCTAGAAAGCTCTTTCTGTTCCTCTGCTTTCTATCCTTTGAGACCTGACTCAGATCCTTCTCTCTCCAGGACACCTTTCCTCCTCCCTCTGGGCCCTGGAGTATATGGGCTATTTCTTCCCAGTCTGCCCTGTGTGGTGGGCATTGGTGGGTGTGTCTGCCTGCCTTAGCACACTGGCTTTCCTTGACGGCAGGGAACCCATTGCCACATCTCTGTCTTCTGTGGCCAGCACGGCAGCAGGGGAAGCACTGAGTTGGGTTGCAGAGAGTCCGAAGTGCTGGCCCTGAGCTGCTGCTGTTTGGGAGAGGAGCCCATGGGCCTGGGGAGGCCGGCATGAGACAAGGTGACCTGGTAGAGTGTGCTCTCAGGGCTGGCCAAGGCCTGGATTGCCCTGGGAAGGTTTCCTGAAGGAGGTGGACGTGTGTTGAGTCTAGAAGTTTTCCAGAGACTGAGCTAGGGGTTGAGGACATCTCAGAGAGAAGGGACAGTATGCCCAAAGATCAGGGTGGGTTTGCTAAATGGCAGGCATGTTGAATGGGCACAGGGGAAGCAGAGATATAGGTGAGGACAGATCAAGGTGGACTTGGGCAGCCAGGTCAGGAACTTGAGTTCTGTCTCAAGGACAGTGGGACTCTGGAAAGATCATAGCTCGGCCTGAGGACTAGACTCGTGGGGCAAAACCTGTAGAAGGGTAAAGAAGCTGCTCCATGATCCCTAATTTGGGGAGAGGGGCCTAAAGCCTGAACCTTGGCCCAGGGGTAAAGAGGGGCCCTTTGGGAATTGACAGGATGGAGGTGAGCTGTCTCAGCTCGTCTGCTATCCACCTCTTACTGGACTATGTCACCTGGCTGGTAGAAAGGTGGCATCTGTAGCCGACCCTAGGAGTTTCCTTCTTTTTTTTTTTTTTTTAGCAGAGTTTCGCTCTTGTTGCTCAGGCTGGTGTGCAATGGTGTGATCTCGGCTCACTGCAACTCCGCCTCCTGGGTTCAAGCAATTTTCCACCTCTTGGGTTCAAGTGATTCTCCTGCCTCAGCCTCCTGAGCAGCTGGGATTACAGGCATGCGCCACCATGCCCGGCTAATTTTGTATTTTTAGTAGAGACGGGGTTTCTCCATGTTGGTCAGACTGGTCTTGAACTCCCGACCTCAGGTGATCCGCCCACCTCGGCCTCCCAAAGTGCTGGGATTACAGGTGAAAGCCACCATGCCCGGCTGACCCTAGGAGTTTCTTAACCCCATTAGCCCAGTTGCTTTGCTCTTCCCTGGCCCCAGCCCTAATTCTCCTGCTGGCTGGAGATGTTTCAGAGCCTGAGCCCTCTAGGTAGGGCAGGTCCACGGCTCCTACCTGTCTGTCTCAGATTCTTTCTAGAAGAGTTGCCTTCCCAAGACTTCCTTCTCCACCCTGGTTTTCATACTCCTCCAGAAGTGCTTTGCCCTCCAGGTTGCCACACCCATTGGCGCCTGCACCATCTCCCAGTGCCATCCCTGCCTCTGTGGGGCCATTTTCAGGGCAGAGGTGAGGTCCCAACCTACATGGGGACACCCAGATTGGGACATCTAGGTAGATGCTGCACTTTGCCCTGATTTCTTGTAACCACTGCTGTAATTTTGCCTTTTTCATAAAACCACTACCATCTGCCCCAGCTTCCTCCTCCTGCCCCATTTCTCTCTTTCAGTTACCGATATCTTTGTGCCTTCAGACACGAGGCTGCAGAGTGGAGGTGCCTTCACTCGTTCATTGATTCAGCCCTTGGAGCCTCAGCATGGCCATGTCCAGACCTCAGCTGACCTGAGTCAAGCCTGGGCTTCTGGGGACGTGGACATTGACACAAACACATCTGTTCCTCCTGTGATTAGGGCTGGGGGACAGGATAGACAAGGGGTCAAATGCTGCCAAGGGGAGGGGGAAGTGGTCACTGAGGCTAGTACATGGCCACTGTGTTTCATCTCCACCACCATGCTCTAGTCCAAGCCACCTCCCTCATCTGGACGCTGCAGTGACTTCCCTTCTGGGCTCCCTGCTTTCAACCCTGGCTGCCCTCTAATCCATTCTCCACACAGAGCTGGAATGATCTTTTAAAAGTATAAATCAGGCTAGGCGCAGTGGCTCATGCCTGTAATCCTCGCACTTTGGGAGGCTGAGGCGGGTGGATCACCGAGGTCAGGAGCTCCAGACTAGCCTGGCCAACATGGCGAAACCCTGTCTCTACTAAAAGTACAAAAAGTCTTGACAGGCATGGTGGCGTGCATCTGTAGTCCCAGCTACTGAGGAGGCTTGGAACGTGGCTCCAATGTCACCTTCCCTGCTCACCCATTTATAAAACGGCCTCCTTTATTTCTTTTTCTTTTTTTGAGACGGA
The DNA here is from genome assembly GCF_000001405.40 of Homo sapiens. Classification (NCBI taxonomy): domain Eukaryota; kingdom Metazoa; phylum Chordata; class Mammalia; order Primates; family Hominidae; genus Homo; species Homo sapiens. Next base: position 46,416,472 of record NC_000001.11, read on the forward strand.
GTCTAGTTCTGTTGCCAGGCTGGAGTGCAGTGGCGCGATCTCAGCTCACTGCAACCTCCACCTCCTGGGTTCAAGCAATTCTCTTGCCTCAGCCTCCTGAATAGCTGGGATTATAGGCAAGCGACACCACGCCCAGGTAGTTTTTTTTTTTTTTTTGAGATAGAGTCTTGCTCTGTTGCCCAGGCTGGAGTGCAGTGGCGCGATCTTGGCTCGCTGCAACCTCCCTCTGCCTCCCGGGTTCAAGCGATTCTATTGCCTCAGCCTCCTGAGTAGATTGAATTACAGGCACGCGCCACCATGCCCAAGCTAATTTTTGTATTTTTAGTAGAGACAGGGTTTCACCATGTCAACCAGGATGGTCTTGATCTCCTTACCTCGTGATCTGCCCGCCTCGGCCTCTCAAAGTGCTGGGATTACAGGTATGAGCCACCACGCCCGGCCTTGGTTTCTTGATTATCTCAAGCTGGGCCCTGCTTCAGAGCTTTCATGTTAGCTCTTCTCTCTGCTTGGAACACGCAGCTCCAATGTCACCTTCCCTGCTCACCCATTTATAAAATGGCCTCCCTTGTTACTCTCTTTTCTTTTTTCTTTTTTTCTTTTTTTCTGAGACGGAGTCTTGCTCTGTTACCCAGGCTGGAGTGCAGTGGCATGATTTTGGCTTACTGCAACCTCTGCCTCCCGGATTCAACCAATTCTCCTGCCCCAGCCTCCCAAGTAGCTGGGATTACAGGTGTCTGCCACCATACTCAGCGAATTTTTGTATTTTTAGTTGGGACGGGGTTTCAACATGTTGGTCTGGCTGGTCTTGAGCTTGTGATCTGCCTGCCTGGGCCTCCCAAAGTGCTGGGATTACAGGGGTAAGCCACTGCACCCGAGCCCTTGTTTCTTTCTTTCTTTTTTTTTTTTTTGTTTTTTTTTGACAGAGTCTCACTCTGTCGCCCACGCTGGAGTGCAGTGGCACAATTTCAGCTCACTGCAACCTCCGCCTCCTGGGTTCAAGCGGTTCTCCTGCCTCAGCCTCCTGAGTAGCTGGTATTACAGGCGTGCGCCACCACGCCCAGCTAATTTTTGTATTTTAGTAGAGATGGGGTTTCACCATGTTGGTCAGGCTGGCCTCGAACTCCTGACCTCATGATCTGCCTGCCTGGGCCTTACAGGCATGAGCCACCACGCCCTGCCCCTTGTTACTTTCTAATAGGTTACCCTTTGTTCTTTTTTTTTTTTTTTTTTTTATTAAGACGGAGTTTTGCTCTTGTTGCCCAGGTTGGAGTGTAATGGCAGGATCTTGGCTCACTGCAAACTCTGCCTCCTGGGTTCAAGCAATTCTCCTGCCTCAGCCTCCCAAGTAGCTGGGATTACAGGCATGCGCCACCATGCCCAGCTAATTTTGTATTTTTAGTAGAGACAGGGTTTCTCCATGTTGGTCAGGCTGGTCTTGAACTCCCGACCTCAGGTGATCCACCCTCCTGGGCCTCCCAAAGTGCTGGGATTACAGGTGTGAGCCACCTCGCCTGGCCACCCTTTGTTCTTTGTAGCATTATCACTCTCTGAGCTCTTTGATGTTTTTTTGTCTCCTCCACTAAACCATAAGCTTCCTGAGAGCTGTGCTTTGTCTTGTTCATCACTTGTTCTTGGCTTAGAGGATGGTGCTCCACAAATTCTGGGATGATAAAGTGTGGCTGTGTGAGGGGCCAAGGCACTGTGCTGGGTGCTGGCAGTGACAAATGAGGCAGCCCTGGCCCCTGTCCTCGTGGAGCTCACATTCTGGAGGGATTTGTTGAATGAACAGAAGGGGGACAGAGAGTTGTGCTAATGAAGACCTCTAAATATTTAATGTCTGGAGTGATAACATGACTTTTGATCCGGAAAAAAGGGGAAAGGGAATTCTAGACCACATTTACTGAGTACCTACTATGAGCCATCTACTTTCTGGGCACTTCACAGTCATGCCATTTAATCCTCTGTGAACCCTATGATGGGCATTTTTGCCCCCCTTTTACAGAAAGTTTACGTATCTTGCCCAGGGTCCCACAGCTAGAAGTTGGGGGCTTGGAACCGAAAGCTAGGCCAGTCTGTCAGCAACTGCATGAGGTCTTTCTGTTGATGCCAAGCCCCAGTGAGTACGATGGCCAGAAGAGTGAGAGCACAAATCAGCCTCCTCCTCATACCTCTCTGACCACCAGTGTGCTGGTGGCTACTGCCTGTTTTCATGGCCTTTCCCCTTCTCACCGGGTCCACTGCCACAGCTTCTTTTTTTTTTTCGAGACGGAGTTTCGCTCTTGTTGTGCAGGCTGGAGTGCAATGGCGAGATCTCAGCTCACTGCAACCTCTGCCTACCGGATTCAAGTGATTCTCCTGCCTCAGCCTCCCGAGTATCTGGGATTACAGGCGTGTGCCACCATGCCCAGCTAATTTTGTATTTTTAGTAGAGATGGGATTTCTCCATGTTAGTCAGGCTGGTCTTGAACTCCTGACCTCAGGTGATCTGCCTGCCTTGGCCTCCCAAAGTGCTGGGATTACAGGCGTGAGCCACTGTGCCCGGCCTGCCACAGCTTTTTGCCTCGCTTCCCTGGGCTCCAGACTGGACATCTCCAACAATCTTTCACATGGCAGTTAGGCAATCTCATGCTTAAAATCTTTGGACTCACTTGTGCCAAGTCCAGAAGCCTTGTTATGACCTGCAAGGCCATGATTAACCTGACCCTGCAGCTGGCCCCTGCGGCCTCATCTCCTGCCCTTCCTCAGTGCTCACAGCCCGGCCACGTGGCCTGCAGGTAATGTTCAGAACACCGAGTGATCTCCCGCCTCCACGCCCTTTGCTCTTGGTGCTTGCTGTGCCTGGAGTGTTGTTCCTGGGGTCTCCACCTAAAGACCACCTACTCGTCCAAGGTGAGGGCAATTGCTCTTCCAACTCTGTCAGGCTGTGTTGAAAGAGCTTCTTTGTGCTTCTGCACGTGGTCAAAAGCAAGGTCTGTGTATTAATAGAACCCAACATCTGTTAGGCTGTGGAGTTGAATACCCATTATCTCATTTGGAAAGTGGGCATTACTATTTCCATTTAAAAAATTTATTTATTTATTTATTTTTTGAGACAGAGTCTCTCTCTGTCGCCCAGGCTGGAGTTCAATGGCACGATCTTGGCTCACTGCAACCTCTGTCTCTGGGTTCAAGTGATTCTCCTGCCTCAGCCTCCCAAGTAGCTGGGATTACAGGCGCCTGCCACTGTGCCCGGCTATGTTTTGTATTTGTAGTAGAGATGGGGTTTCACCACGTTGGCCAGGCTGGTTTCGAACTCCCGACCTCAGGTGGTCCACCTGCCTTGGCCAAAGTGCTGGGATTACAGGCGTGAGCCACTGCGCCTGGCCTTTTTTCTTTTCTTTTTCTTTGAGATGGCGTCTTCCTCTGCCACCCAGGCTGGAGTGCAGTGGTGCGATCTCAGCTCACTGCAGCCTCCGCCTCCTGGCTTCAAGCGATTTTCCTGCCTCAGACTCCCGAGTATAGCTGGGACTCCAGGCGCCTGCCACCATGCCTGGCTATGTTTTGTATTTGTGGTAGAGATGGGGTTTCACTATGTTGGCCAGGCTGGTCCTCAACTCCTGATCTCAAGTGATCCGCCCGCCTTGGCCTCCCAAAGTGCTGAGATTACAGGTGTGAGCTACCGTGTCTGGCCCTATTATTTCCATTTTATACATAAGGAAACTGAAGTTCAGAGGGGATTGCTGACTTGTTGAAGGCTGATCATTATGGGTTACAGAGAAGACTTGAAACCCACACGCTCAACTCTAAACTTACTGTGACTTCCTCATTTGTACAATCATCACAAGAACATGCATTCAACATTCTTCGGACACCAGCCTCTGTGCTAGGCGACCACAACACTTTGAAGACAGAAGCAGTCCTGTGTACTGTGCACCTCTGCCAATATCTGTTTACAGGAGATAGCTGCCATGTCCCTGTCCACCCTCCCTTTTCTCTCCTGGCGATTGCGATATTGGAGTTTTAGGACACAGCCAGAGCACTTGTCATTTGTTCCTGTTGGACACCATTTTTAGGATTATCCCAAGAGCTCTGGCTGTTTCTGCTCTTCCTCCCAACATGTGCTTATCCACAAATCTGAGCACTGGACCTCTGCAACTTCATCCAAGTCACCCATAAACCTATGGATCACAGCAGACCAAGGAAAGGGCGTGACCTACACCCTTAACAGACAGACACATAACCGAGTTTTGAGCTTCCCAGCCAGATGTATCTTTAGTTCACATTTCTCTGGCTGGGCTTAGCTGGGCCCTCCCAAGTTTCCTACACATAGATTTGGGGTGGCGGCCCTGGGCACCTCAGGAAGGTGAAGCCACTTGGGATCGGGCTGTGTATGCTCAGCACCCAGCATGGTGCCTGGTACTCAGTGGGTACCCAGAGAAGGCTTGTTGAATGGAGCAATGGGTGACTTGTTATTAGGGAACCCATTTTGGTCCATTCTGATTACTTCCTCTTCTCACCTCCAATAGGGAATTTTCCAATCAGTCCCTGACCCTTTGCTCCTTTCACATTTATTGTATCTACCTCCATGATCTTTTTTTTTTTTTTTTTTGAGATGGAGTCTTGCACTGTTGCCCAGGCTGGAGTGCAATGGCAGGATCTCGGCTTACTGCAACCTCTGCCTCCTGGGTTCAAGCGATTTTCCTGCCTCAGCCTCCGGAGTAGCTGGGATTATAGGCGCCTGCCACCACGCCCAGCTAATTTTTTGTATTTATAGTAGAGATGGGGTTTCACTATGTTGGCTAGGCTGGTCTCGAACTCTTGACCTCAGGCAATCCACCTGCCTCAGCCTCCCAAAATGCTAGGAGCCATGATCTTGATTAGTGCCCATGAGGACAAATAATTCCCAGTCTACATTCAACCTATAGCTTTCTCCTGGTCTGTAGATCCTCATCTATCCACTTCTCTCATCCTCTTAACTCCTTCATCTCTCTCAGGCTGTTGAAAGAGCTTCTTTGTGCTTCTGCACTTGGTAGAAAGCAGGGACTGTGTCTTAATAGAATCCAACATCCGTTAGGCTGTGGAGTTGAACCCATTATCTCCTTTGTAAAATGGGCTTATTATTTCCATTTCATATATAAGGAAACTGAAATTCAGAGAGGGTTGCTCTCTGAACAACAATGGAGGGTTGCTCCCTCCATTCATCCTCCCATCCATGCAATAAAAATATTGAATTCTTCCCACAGTATGTTCAGGGTAACCAATCAGAAATAGTCCCTGCCTGAATGGAGCTTCCATTCTACCAGGAAACAGACATCAAATGTAGAATTACACAGAAACACTCGTTAGAAGTGCAATCAAGCAGAAGCCCTGGGTATTATGAGAATAAACCACGTGGGATCTGATCCAGCCTGAGATGTGTGTATGTGTGTGTCAGGGAATGCTTCCTGGAGGAAGTAACATTGAAGCTGAAAACTGCATTGTCACCTGAGCCAAGGAATGAGTGTGTTTCAAGGAGGGTGAAGCTGACAACTCTAAATGCTGCTGATTTACTCTTGAGGAGATCACTGGGATGATATAGGCACAAGCCAGACTTTGTTGGGTGGGGGAGTGAGTGAAAGGTGAAGAAGTAAAGGCAGCCCGTGTAGAAAACTGGAAAAGTTCAGGAAGCGGACAAAAGACGTGGTAGTAGTTAGGGAGGGTGTAAATCTGAGGGAATCATCCCTCATCCCCCAAGATAGGAGAGACTTAGCATGTTAAATGCTGCTAGGAAAGAGCTAGCAGCAACGCACAGAGGGGGGAAGTCAAGGTAGGAATGGAGGGCTCAACCTGCCATCATTTCTTCACTGAAGAGATACCATTGAACACATACCATGTGCCAGGTGTTTTGAAAAAGGCTGACAAGGTCTATGCTCCCCCAACCCCCCAGCTAATTTTTTTGCATTTTCTGTAGAGATGGGGTCTTGCCGTGTTGTCCAGGTTGAGCTCAAACTCCTGAGCTCAATTGATCCGCCCAAAGTGCTGGGATTACAGGCGTGAGCCACTGTGCCTGGCCTCGTCTGTGCTTTTACGGAGCTTATTTTCTAGGGAGGGAGGCAGGAGGTGAGTTACAGATCAACAAGAAAACTTCAGCTAATGATAAGTGTAATGATGAGATAAAATGAGGTATGTGGTAACGGAAGGGTGTAACCCAGGAAAAGGTGAGGTCACGAGGCCTAGAGTGCTGTGCCGTGGGATGTGGTGCGGGTGACAAGTGGCCTGGGGGAGCTGAAGATATGGGGGAGAGCTGGAGTTCATGAAGGTGGAGTGGGGGCTATGGAAGAAAATGGTCAGAAAAGAGGCAGAAGGACAGAGGAGGGCTGGTCTGGAGGCCCCAGGGAGATGACAGAGTGTTACAGAGTGGGCAACTTCAGGGTCACCCTTAGTCAACTGCTGACCTCGCATCTGTTCCTTTAGACCCTCGGGTACTCAGACTCAACATTACCAACCATGAATTCAGTTCCTTCCCACCCTAACCTGCTGCTGCCCTGGCTTCCTGGTCTGGAGGGCAAAGGCGCCATTCTCCTGGGTACAGTGACTTGCAGTCTCAGTGATGACCATTGAGATGGAGACTGGATGGAGGCCCCTGAGGAGAGCAGAATGGTTCCCACATCAGGGCCCCTCTGCACCACTTTTCCAGTCTCCTCATGTCTTCTCTGTTCCTCGTCTGGGAAGTCATCTCCCTTACCCCCACAACTCCCCTCCACCAGCAGGGAGAGTCAATAGACTGGGGAGGCTGGAACCCCGGATCAGAGTCATGGCCTTGCTTTGGAGTCAAGGGGGAAGCCCAGCTGGGCGGGCTGGTCTCATGTCCTGGCATCATCTCCCCTGGGGTGGATGCCTGATGAGCCCTGCCCGCTCCTCCAGGTGTTCTTTCCTTTCCTCTCTTCCTGTCCCCCAGAACCTCCACTCTAGGCAAACATGGCCTGTTCAGTTCCACCTCCATGCGTCTGCTTATGCGGAACAAAGGAGCTTTGGGAGAATCCTGAAGGCAATGGGAACCCCAGGAGCAACCCCATCCATAACTCCTGAGGGTTGGAGTAGGGAATCTGAGGGGTGGGATCTGAGAGGTAGGATGGGTGGGAGTAGGATGTGACAGAGGTGAGGTCAGCTGCCCAGCTGCAGGCTTGGGCCCTTCTTCAGGCTCGCCTGCTAAAGCCTCTTCCTCTGCATGGCCCGGGAGATAGGGGTTTTGTCGCCAGGAAGTCCAGATGGGGTAAGAACTAGGAGGAGGTTGATCACTGCCACACCCAGGGCCCGAGATGTGCGTGGGTGCCCTGGCAGCATCGCTGACAAATACTCCTGAGGAAACAGCAGCTGGATTCACACAGGTCGTGCAATACCTAAGGTGGCTTGGCTGTTTGACTCCCTGATGATGCTACTTCTGCTGGCCCTGCTGGGGGCTGGCCTACTGGGGGCTTCCCTGCTCACCTCGTGGCATGCTCCAGCCCGGAACAAGATCCCCAGGGCCCAGAAGTGGAGGGAGGTAGCACTGCAGAAGATGGAGGACCTGGCCCAGTGACTCCGGCAGCAGGTGAGTCGACACGGGTCCCGGAGGCCCCCAGCCACAGGGGGCCTTGGCCCTCAATCCCAACAGGAGGACTACACCTCAGGATGCCCCTCCCGTCCATGACCCCAGCCCCCGCAGACACAGGGAGCAGGTGGGCACTTCCCCACCCCCAGTTCTCCCCCCATGCCAGCTCTGTGTGTGGTTGTCAGTTCTCCTCCATCCCCGGCCTTTGAGACCCTGGAGATTGGGGGCAGTGTATTCTTTCTCTGTTCTCCCAGCACTTGGCACGTGGCTCAGTAACATGGGAGGTGCCCACTTAGGGTATTTGCGGAAATAAGATAAACTGATGGAGGCCATTGGAGGAGGGAGGCTCGATCTCTTTTAGCCCCTGAGCACTCCAAAATCCCCCAAGACAGGAACCCTAGTCTACCTGTCCCCTCCTACCTCCACCCCATTCAGCTCTGAAAACACTTGCTGAGCCCTGATAAGTGCAGAGCATGGGGGGCTGGGGATGGGGTCTCCCAGGAAGCTGCAGGTCTTCAGAGGCAGCTTTGGCAACTCGGAGTGGGGGTATTTCACTGGGATAGCCTCTGTGGCTGGCTGGGCTGAGACTGGCAGGCGAAGTGGCTGAGCCATAGATGTATCAGCAAAGCCTGCCCCAGGTGGCAGAGAGAAGGGCGGGAAGGAGGGACATGGAGACAAACATAGACTGAGCCTGGGATTTGCTGTGTGGCCTGGAGGATGTGACAACCCGTCTCTGGGCCTTGGACTCCCCAGCTGTCTGAGGGGGGATGGGCTCATGGTCTCTCGGGGTCTCCAGCTTTGGTTGATGATGGTGGACTCAGTCTGGGAGCCCGGAGGTAGGGGCTGGGGCTAGTGCCTGAGGTGCTGTTCCCATGCTTTGGAGTTCCTGAGTGTCCTCTGCTGTCCCCTGGATGGTGATTGATGGCCCCAATGGGCAGCTTCTCTGTCTGAGTTGCTGCAGTTGCTGAGTATGTGTATTAATATTAATTAGGGCTAATTAGTTGGATAAATCAATCTGCCCCCAGAGAGCAGCTGCCCCTCCCTGGTTGATGAGGAGGAAGTCTGGGCTAATGGGTTGCAGTGGTGAATGGGCATGATGGAGGCGTCCTGTGTGCGTGTGGAGGCCCCATCTGTGTGCGGTGGTGGGTATAGCTTCCTTTACTGCGGACGAGGGCCTGCTTTCTTGTGCCTCCTGCTGGCATTTCATTGTGTTGTGGTTGGTTGTGTGTCTGGTCTGGCTGTGTGGTTATGTGCCTGGCTGGGTGTGCATGTGTTGGGTTATTGGTTGGAGTGTGTACATCTAGCTATGTGTGGCTGGTGTGGGTCTGAATGTCTGGTAGAGAGTGTTTGTGTGTGGTTGTGTGTCTGATGTGTGGGGGCAGCTGGTTTGGTATGTGTCTGGGCATCTGGTTGGTGAACATGTGGATGTCTGGGCTGTTGGGCTGGGGACCTGGAGGGGGTATATGTCTGGATGGCTGGAGGAGTGGAAGAGGTTTTGGGGTGAGGTCACTCATGGTGTCTCCAGCCTCCCATTGTGGTTTCAGGCTTCTTGGCTCTCAGCACCTTGCTGTCTCCCCAACAAGCTATACAGGTCTGTCCTGGGCACCTTCTCAGTCATGTCACCCTCTCTCTGCCAGTGACAACCTCGAGACCTCAGGTGTCCACCTTTATGTCCCGGGGAGGTGCAAGGCTGGGACACAGGTCAAACCCTCACAGGCTCAGCAAACAAATTCAATTCTGCTGAGTTTAGTAAAATTTCCCAGGGAATTTCTCCAGGTCTTGCCCTGTGCTGAGCTCTGGGGACACATTCATTATAAAGATGAATCTGACCCCTGACTCACACTTGTGCTAAAAATGTTCCCAACCTGGGAGGGGCGTGGTGGAGATAGAGCTGTGCAGACTATGCAGGGCAGCAGCACGGCAGAGTGTGGTGAGGCCAGATGCCCACAGAACTGGTGACTTGGCAGGAGGGTGGCTGGTCTGTCTGGAGAGGATCATGTTGGGAGGGCTCCCCAGACGGGTGGTGAGTGAGCTGAACCTCATGGCACCTGTAGGACTTTTCTGAAAGGAGAAACGAGAAAGGCAGTACCAGGGAGGGAGAAGCCCCAGATGAGGCAGTGTTTCTGTAGAACGTATAGAAAATAATATTCCTAGGACCCATTGGGTAAATGGACCAGCTGCTCATGGCTGGAACTGCTCAAGCTACTCATGGCCAGGAAGCTCTGCTCACCTCAGGCAGAGCCTGGCCACCTTGAGAGTTGACGGTTTTTATGATACTAAACATTTAACCACCACATTGGAATTTTTTTTTTTTTCAGACGGAGTCTCACTTTGTTGCCCAGGCTGGAGTGCAGTGGCCTGATCTCAGCTCCCTGCAACCTCCACCTCCCGAGTTGAAGCAATTCTCTTGCCTCAGCCTCCAGAGTAGCTGGGATTACAGGCAAGTCCCACCAAGCCCAACTAATTTTTGTATTTTTCGTAGACATGGGGTTTCACCATGTTGGCCAGGATGGTCTTGATCTCTTGACCTCGTGATCCTCCCACCTTGGCCTCCCAAAGTGCTGGGATTACAGGCGTGAGCCACCGTGCCCGGCCATAAATATTAATAATACATTGATTCACTAAAAACTTTAAATTACATTTTTTTTGTTTTTCAAACTAGGCTGGAGGCAGCACCCTGAGTACAGAGAAGGCTGGATGTCCGTGGGGCTGTGGGATGGAGCTGGAGGGAAGGGTTAGCTCCAAACTAAATTACATATTAAAAAGTGATATAACTTGAGGCTCAATTTTTCATCAAATTATTCAAATAATTTGTTGATTTTTAGCTTTTTTTTTTTTTTTTTGGAGACGGAGTTTCGCTCTTGTTGCCCAGGCTGGAGTGCAATGGCATGATCTCGGCTCACCGCAACCTCCGCCTCCCAGATTCAAGCAATTCTCCTATCTCAGCCTCCCAAGTAGCTGGGATTACAGGCATGCACCACCACGCCCAGCTAATTTTGTATTTTTAGTAGAGATGGGGTTTCTCCATGTTGAGGCTGGTCTCGAACTCCTGACCTCAGGTGATCTGCCCACCTCGGCCTCCCAAAGTGCTGGGATTACAGGCGTAAGTCACCGCGCCCGGCCTTTTTTCTCTTTCTTTTTTTTTTTTTTGAGACAGAGTTTTGCTCTTGTTGCTCATGCTGGAGTGCAATGGCGCAATCTTGGCTCACTGCAATCTCCGCCTCCCGGGTTCAAGTGATTCTCCTGCCTCAGCCTCCTAGGTAGCTGGGATTACAGGCGCTCACCACCATGCCCGGCTAAATTTTTTTTTTTTTGGATTTTGAGTAGAAACGGGGTTTCACCATGTTAGTCTCGAACTCCTGACCACAGGTGATCCGCCCGCTTTGGCCTCCCAAAGTGCTGGGATTACAGATGCTCGCCACTGCGCCTGGCTAATTTGTTGATTTTTAGAATTTGTTGTGAGGATCCTGTGATGTGGCTATCATCTTTTGAAAGTTGTCCCTGTCTTTCAAAGCGCTCCTGATACATTGGAGTCATTAGGTCACTTGCAGTCTGATTAAGGAGAGTCTTTCTCTTAACGTTAGTGATATTGTTCCGTGGGTGGAGTCCTCTCTCAGCTTTTGCTGAACCAGTAGCAATTACACTCACAATTTTCTAGCTTTTCTAATACAGTGTTAGATTTCATGTAGTTAAGCATCTCTGTTGTCAATTAAGTAATAAACATTGTTATTAGAATGTCATTAACACTAATTAGAAGTTGTCTAGCATGGCAGCTAAGAGTGTGGCTTCTGTTGTTGGGCTGGCTGTTTGAATCCTGACTCTTGACACTTTTTATTTTGTTTGATTTTATCATTTTACATTGTCTTGAACTCCTGGCCTCAAGCAATCCTCCCACCTCAGACTCCCAAAGTGCTAGCATTACAGGCGTGAGCCACCAAACCCAGCAAACACTTACACTTAAATGACTACTCTGTATCTTAACTTCTTCATCTCTACAATGGTATGATGATTGTAATGATAGCACTCAAACAAGTTAATAAATGTTTACAGTGGTGCCTGGTACACAGCAAACACCATACAGATGCTCCTCGACTTACCGTGGGGCTTCATCCTGATAAACTCATCCTAAATTGAAAATATTGTAAGTTGAAAATGCACTTAATACATACAACCCACCCAACATCATAGCTTAGCCTAGCCTTTTTGAAACATGCTCAGAACACTTACATTAGCCCACGGTTGGGCAAAATCACCTGGCAACACAGTACCCTGTAGAGGATTCACTGTTTCCCTTGTGATTTTGTGGCTGACTGGGAGCTAGTCTTGCTGGCACTGTCCAGTATCGAGAATCAAGAGAGTATCTTACTGCTTTTTTTTTTTTTTTTCTTTTTTTTGAGACGGAGTCTGGCTCTGTCTCCCAGGCTGGAGTGCAGTGGCGCAGTCTCAGCTCACTGCAACCTCTGCCTCCCAGGTTCAAGAGATTCTCCTGCCTCATCCTCCCGAGTAGCTGGGATTACAGGTGTGCGCCACCACGCCCGGCTAACTTTTGTATTTTTAGTAGAGACAGGGTTTTGCCATGTTGGCCAGGCTGGTCTTGAACTCCTGACCTCAGGTGATCCCCCCACCTTGGCCTCCCAAAGTGCTGGAATTACAGGCGTGAGCAAACGTGCCCGGCCTTTTACTGCTTTCCGATGAATGTATATCAATCGCTTTTGCGCTACCGTAAAGTCAAAGATTGTAAGTTGAACCATGGTAAGTTGGGACTGTCTGTACAAGTGATAGTTCTCACTTTAGGAATGAAGCTACTGTTGTTGTCCATGGTGAGTGGGTATTTTGGGTGAGCAGAATATGTTCTATTAGATGGATGTGACATTCTGTCCTCCCAGGTCCCTGGAGCGCCTGCTGTGGTCTCAGCAGCCACCTGCAGAGGTCACATTAGCCACTCCCCAACCCCTGCCCTTGCCTGCTCTTCCCACCTCTCCCCAAGCTCCCTGAGAGTCAAAGTGCCCCAGAGGCTGCCATTCCCACAAATGGCCATGCAAGGACAGCTGCAGGGGAAGGCTAGCCTCAGGGGCCCAGAGGGACACATTGGGCACTTGCCCATGGGGTGCCACCAGGGGTGTTGTCTCTCCAGGTAGAAATATAGAAATGGGGGCTGGTGTGCAGCTGCTGATGTCTCTGGGGTGCGTCTGGGGACCTGTGAGTGCAGGGAGGTCCCTGGCGGGGCCCGCTAGGGCTCCTTAGGGTTGGAGGGCGCAGGGCAAGGGATGAACCCAGGCTGGCCCTCCACAGTCCCTATGCCTAGAGGGTCCCTGCTGGGCTGAGCATTAACTTTACTTGCTGGACTGTGTAGAGAGGGTGGAGTCCTGGGGAGGGGCTAGGACAACTAGGGTGGTGGGGGGTGCCCAGCAGAGCAGCTTTTTGCCAAGTGACTCAGAAATGTTTCAGTAGTTTAGCCACTGGCATGGCTGTGGTGGTGCATCCTGGCTGAATGCTAGCCCTGTCCAAGGGATCTGTGTCTGGACCCTCCTGAGAGTCCCTGTGGCACACCAGCTGGGGAGCTCTGAGCTGAGGCACAGCAAGGAAAGGGACTGGACAGTGTGGCTGGAGCAGCATGCATGGGAGAGGCTGAGAGAGACAGGCCCACTGGACCCAAGCAGGGAAAGACCCTGGTCCAGTGCCTGGCACCTTAAAAAGCCTCCCTTCCACAAGATGCCCCAAGAGCCAGGAGAGGGTAGTGGTTAAGGTATGGACGGCCTGGGTTTAAGCCCAGGCTCCCCTGTCCTCTGACCTTGGGCAAGAGAGTTAGTCTCTCCGGGTCTCAGTTGCCTTCACTGGGGAAATGGAAACAGTAATAACAGCACTTAGCCAAGGGTTTTTGTGAGGATTTAATGAAACGGTGCAGTAAAGGGCTTGAGAGGGTTTCCAGCCCCACAGTGATACTCTGAATACTTGGTCAATGGGAATTGTGTACATCGAAGCAAGAACCCATGTTACACATTTACAGTGAAGGCTTTGCAAGTGGTGCTGGTGAGAATGGTGCTGCAATGTTATCCTGAGGGCTACTGGGACCTATTTTCAGAGTGGGCCTTATAAGATCTTAAAAGGATTGCCCAGGCTGCAGTGAAGAGGCTGAGTTGGAGGAGTGGAGGCCAAGCCGTGGAGGCCAAGCCAAGGAGGCCAGTGAGGAGGCCAATGAGCCAACAGAGAGAGGTCCTTAGGCAGGCAAGAGGCCTGAGGGTCCGAGGTGGGAGATACGAAGGAGTAGAACCACCTGCAGGCAGTGTGTGCAGTTAAGAATGTGGTCACTGGTGTTGGACTGCCTGGGTCCAGCTCTGCCACTTACTGGCTGTGTATCCTCGGGCAAAGAGGAGGAGGTCTCTGTGCCTCAGTGTTGTCTTCTGCTGTGAAATGAGAAAACGATGTGACCTACCTCTTAGGGTTGTTACAATTAAAAATTGTAAATTTTTAATTTACAATTTTCTTGGAGACAGGGTCTCATGTCATCCAGGCTGGAATGCAGCAGTGAGATCATAGCTCACTGCAGCCTCAAACTCCTGGCTTCAAGAAATCCTCCCACCTCGGCCTTCCAAAATTCATTATAGGCAATGACTGATTATATGCAAAGTGTCTGGAATAGGGCCTGGCACTATTAAGTGTTAGAACACATCCTAGTGTGATTATGTTAGCTAGTGTAACTATTATCAGAACTTGGGTGTGAGGGAGGACCTAGGATGATTCTGAGGTTTGTTGCTTTGGTGACATGCATGTCATCAATTGGGAATTTCAAGAAGAACAGATTTGGCTGAAAGAAGGTGAGTCCTGGGGAGTCTGTGTATATGTGGGTAGGTAAAGGGGTCTGAGTCCTGGCGGAAGAGAGGCCTAGGTTAGAGAAACAGGTGGCCTGCTTATCCTTGGGGTGCACCTGGCTGCCGAGGTCACCCATGGAGAGTGGGCAGGCAGGGAGAGAAAAGGTCATGCCCTGAGGAACACCAACATTTCAGGCAACTGAGAAGGAGCCACCTGAGGGTGGGAGGAGGCCAGCAGAGTTGGGGGCATAGAGAGCTTTGGGAGGGAGAGTGTCAGACGCTGCTGAGGAGAGTGAGATGAAGACTAACCCGAATCCATAAGATTTAGTAACCGAGAAGTCTTGATGCCCTTGGTGAGAAGGGGCCCAGTGCAGAGGGGAGGACAGATGTCAGACTGGTTGCTTTGAGGAATGAAAGAAGACAGACTGGAGCCAGGGGATCCTAACCTCCAAGGGAAATTTATTTGTCTCCACCTTCCCCCACCTCCAGGACCAAGAAAAGCCCACTTCTTGCCCAACCCATACTCCAGCTTGGAGGCATCGGGGTCTTAACCAGAGCTGAGGGGGGCAAGAGGAAGAGAACTTTGCCTTCCTGAGTGCCTGCTGTGTGCTAGACCTTTGTCATGTCACACTTGCCCAGGGCGGCAGTCCTGAGGGCCTGGTATCAGACCTCCCCTCATATCCTGAAGGACGGGGCTCAGAGCAGTTGAGGGGCTGACTCAGGATGGACTCCTAGTCCTTCCCTCTCTGAGGAGACCTAGGCCATGGGAGGAGCAGAGAACCACCTCCAGTTACCCAGCTGACCAAGGGCGCGGCCAAGATGGTGCTAACTCTCTTGCCACCCATGCTGGACTCCTGCCTCCCTAAAGTCAGCTCAGCAGGGGGAGGACTGGGTAGGGAGGAGAGGTGGGATGCCTGGGATGCCCCTGAAGGCCAGCCACCCAGGGCTGAACTTCACTTCCATAACCTCCAGTCTCATGATGTCACATGTGGAGTCACCCCCACTCCAGTTGTGACCCTTCTGAAGAGCAGCATGAAGGGGCAGGCCCTTCTCCACGCCAGGCCCTGGGCTGGCCACTGGGGGCAGAGGCAGAGGAGAACATCGTGCCCTTGGAGGGTTTTCATGACAACCTGGAGACACAACAGATGTTTTTAGTGCTAAGCATGAGTGCCGGAACATGTACCGAGAGACATGGGCGTGTGTGCAGCTGTGCATAGGGGAGTCTGGGGTGTGATGTGGAGTGTGTGGGAGTGGGCCTTAGCGGGTCCATCTTGGATATCTGCCTACTCCATCTCATTTCTGCAGGAGCCAGATCTGGACCCCAAGCCAATCCTGGAGCTGCCCCTGGCAGAGCTGGCCCAGCAGCTTCGGACCGAAGAGCTGAGTCTGGAGAGCATCCTCTGTAGCTACTTAAAGCAGGTGGTGGCCAGGGCACAGGATCCAAGCCCGGGGCTCTGGGCTGGAGTGGGGGATGTCACTTGTCATTGTTTTACTCAGAGGAGCTGAGGGGCAGGTGTAACTCTGCCACTGACTTGGGAGGTGGCACATGCCACAGTTACCTCAGGGTGGCAGGAGGGGCTGGGGCAACCGAGTGCCCTGCTTTGGTCCTGGCCTCACCTGGGGCTGTTGTCTGCTGTCTTCACTGTTGTGCAGGCACTGAAGGTGCACCAGGAGGTGAACTGCCTGATGGATTTCCTGGGGGAATGTGAGGAGGAACTGCAGGCATTAAAGAAGCTTAAGAAGAGTGAGAGAGGCCTTCTCTATGGGGTCCCCATGAGCCTCAAGGACACCTATGACAGCATGGTGAGCCTGGGGTGTACATGCACACGAATGTGCATATGCACGCTTGTGCCACCAGCCTGGAGCTTGGTGTGTGACACTGGGGGGCTCAGTGTGTGACAATGGGTGAGTCATTTAAAACTGCACAGCTACGAAGCGGCAAACTGAGGTTTATACCCAGAATTTGGGTTCCAAACCCCAAATTCTCAGCCACCACACTCTTTTGCCATCCGTGAAGTGCTGCGCTTGTGTCCCCAGGGGTGTGAGAGTGTGTGTGAGGGGGGTGGAATGGGGCTGAAAATCAGCCAGCTGGCTGGTTCCACCCTGACCCCCATGGCTGGAGGCAATGTTCCTTCCCTGCAGGGCCATGACTGTGCATGCCGCCTGGCCTAGTTCCTGGAGAAGCCTGCGACCAAGGACGGGGTCATTATGAAAGTGCTCAAGGCCCAAGGAGCCATCCCCTTTGTTAAGACCAACATCCCACTGACGCTGCTCAGGTCTCTGAAGCGGGCTAGCTGGGGTCGGGGGCTGGGCTAAGCCCAGGGCTGAAACAGCTCTTTGAAGTCCTGATTCAGGGCAGAGGGTGAGGAGGGGGCTAGTCATACAGACTTCAAAGACCAGGGTTCTTGGGCCAGCCCCTTCTGTCCCCGGGGCTGAGTTTCTTTATCACAGAACATGTGGATGGACTCCACAGTCTGTAAGGGCCCTTCGGGCTCCAAGGTTCTGTAAAGCTACACTCTTTTTCTATCCCAGTTTCTCTCTCAAATTGTTCTATTTCTACCCAGGCTTCTCTCTTTGATTGTTCTCCCCATCGCTTATTCTCTCCCTTCTCTACTCAGCCTGTAGTGCATCTGTGTTTCGTGAGGAACATGTTCTCAGTTCTGATGGCAGAGCTGTGGGCTCTTTGGTCCTGATATTAGGAGTCATGGCTGGTGTCTGATCTTGGTCTTTCTTGCAGCAGCAGCCCCTCACCCCAGCTGGAAGGGAGCCCAGGAAGCCTCAGCCTTAGGGAGGAGCTCATGGAGCCCAGGAAGCCCTGGGGTTGACTCTGGAGGGTGGTTGGCCCCCATATGGGGAGAGGTCTGCCGAGTGAGGCTTTCACCCTCAGCTCATTTTCTTCTGCTTCCCTTAGCTTTGAATGCGGCAACTCCCATCTATGGCCAGATGTTGAGCCCACTGAACTTAAAGAAGACATGTGGGGGCTCCTCAGGGGGTGAGGGGCTCTGCTGGCAGAAAGGGGGTCCATCCTAGGCATGGGTACTGACACAGGTGACAGCATCTGCATACCAGCCAGCTTCTGTGGTGTTTATGGCCTCTGGACCACAGGTTCCCGCCTCAGGTACTCATTGATGGTGGTGGTGGGGTGGGCTCGGACCTGCCTAAGGGAACTAGAGGGTGGGGAAGTAGAGGGGTCTGCTCCTCCCATCAACTTTCATCTACCCAACTCAGTACTAGGGGAAGTGGGTAGGAGGGCTTCAAATAACTCCTGCAGTAGCCATGCTAAACATACCATATTTTTCCAGGTGGCAGTAGAATAGACCTTCCACTCATTAACTCATCAGCTCATTAATTCATTAATCTATACAGCTATCCATCCACATACCCCTTCTCTTACTCATCAATCTGTCCATGTATCTATCTGTCCTTCATCCATTCAATCACCCACATGGTCATCATCTCAGTCTCTATCCATCAATCAATTTTACCATTCATCCACTATTTATTTAAAAGATTTCTATTGACTATTTACTGTGTCAGACACAACAGCTCCTTGGGTACTAGCTACTTGGGTTACTTCGGTGAACAAAAGAGACAAATATCTCAGCCCTTGAAAAACTTACACATACTCTTCCTTCCAACCATTTATCCATCCATCTTTCCATCCATCCATTTGTGTATCCATCCATCAATCCACATTTGTATCTCTCCATCCATCCATCCATCCATCCATCCATCCATCCATCCATCCATCCATCCATCCGTTCATCGTATATGCATGCATGCATCCACCCATCTCTCAACCCCTCTCTGTGTACCCACACCATGGCCCCTATTCTGGGGACATAGACCACTCTTGGACCCAGCCCCTGCCCCTGCTGTGCTCTTAGACACACAAATGAGTTAGTCAGAAAGTGATCAGGTCTGTAAGAGAGGGTCAAAGCTTACAAGAGGAAGCTGACATTTTCTTTAACAGAGATTTATTAAAAGCTTATACTCTTGACTTTCAGAGGCAGGGCAAGGGAAGGGAAGGATTCCTGGAGGAGGCAGCATTTGAGCGTGGTTTTGAGGGCCAGACATGCCAAGATGATGTGGCGTCTAGAAGGCTGTAAGATTGTTTGTAAGCGGCTGACTTTGCCTGCAGCAATATGCACGTGTGGAAGGGCTAGAAGGGGAAGCCATGGAGAGTTAGAGTCTTGAAAAGCAGTCAAAGAGATCAGACTATGCTGTGGGCAGCAGAGGGTCAGGGAATGTTGAAGCAGCTCCTATTTTTGTGGGCTGCGCCCTGGGGGAGCACATCGCCTGGGTGCTCAAGCCTCCTAGCACCCAGGCCCCTCCCTTCACATGCTGAGCTGGGCTCTGGGTCGGAATGTTTTGCAGCTACACTGGAATTGCCTCTGCCATCAAGGGGAAAAAAATCGGGTAAGTCCTGGTCTGTGCCTGTGGCCACCCCATTTAAAGATGAAACTGCCAGTCTTTCTCCCAAGGACATTTTGCTCAGCTCATATCTCCAGACAGATCAGCCCCACAGATGATGACTGAGAGGGCAGACTGCATGGTTCCCACCTGGCCTCCCCTTGTCCAGTGACTCTTGGCCCTCTGAGAAGGGCTTTTGTCCTGCTATCTAGCTTTAATCTCTTCCTTCGTCCTGACCATGACCCTGGAACCCACCCTCTGAGGCCAGGCAGTTGGGATCCCCAGGGCACAACAAATGAGAGGTGCTTGCTGGGCGCAGTGGCTCATGCCTGTAATCCCAGCACTTTGGGAGGCTGAGGTGGGCGATCACTTGAGGTCAGGAATTCGAGACCAGCCTGGCCAACATGGTGAAACCCCGTCTCTACTAGAAATACAAAAATTAGCCAGGTGTGGTGGCGGGCACCTGTAATTCCAGCTACTGGGGAGGCTGAGGCAGGAGAATCACTTGAACCCGGGAGGTGGAGGTTGTAGTAAGCAGAGATGGTGCCACTGCACTCCAGCCTGGGTGACAGAGAAAAACTTCGTCTCAAAAACCAACAAACAAAAAACAAAACACAACAAGCAAACAAAACGAGAGGTGCCTGCCTCTCTCCCCTCCTCTTTGTGCAGTGACCACGGTGGCTGGCCCCATGGCCCAGGACGTGGAGAGCCTGGCGCTGTGCCTGCAAGCCCTGCTGAGTGAAGACATGTACCGACTGGACCCCACTGTGCTCCAGATGCCCTTTAGGGAGGAGGTAAGCCAGGTGGGAGAGCAGACCTGGGGGTTTCCTTGCCCCCCACCATCATTCCTCCCTGACCTGTCTGCCATCTTACCTTCCCAGGTGAAGACCCCCTTTCCCACCCCAGGCTGCAGTGAGTGAGAAGCCCACATGCTCAGTCCAGTTTGTTTCCTTCCCCTGCTGGACACCAGCTGCTTTGGCTTCTTGGCTATCTGGAGCCATAGCTTGTAAGTGCCCCCAAAGAGGGCCTCCAGTGCCATATACCCAACCCATGCAGTTAGAATACTCAGCAAGTGTGGTTGAGAGGGTGTGGCATCCAGTTAAGCTGGGTTTTTAACCCTCTAGGTAACCCTGGCCAAGTCACATCTCTTCTTTCAGCCTTAGCCTCCCCATCAATACAATAAAGAGGTTAGGCTGGGAGATTACTCCACACCCTTCTGTCTACAGCAGCCTTCATTTATTCGTTAATTCATTCAACAACATTTGCTTGTACCAGTTGTGTGCCAGGCTCTGCGTGTCTCATCCTAACACTCTATAGAGTGAGCAGTGCTCCTCCCATTTACAGCTGGGGAGACTGAGGGGAAGTGAAATGACTTGCCTAAGATCATGTAGTTAGTAACTGGCAGAGCTGGCTTTGAACCCAGCCCTATCTAACTGCAGAACCCTCTCCATAGGGCAGTTTCTGTCTACGTCCCGGCAATGTCTGTTCCTCGGATTCCCTACACCCCTCCTAGCATTATCAACCTGAGATCATTGTATATCATCCATGATTTGCCCCTACAAACATGTGTTGTGTGACGGGTGAGGGGCGGCTGCCTTTCTGGCAGCACCCCACTTCCCAGGACTAGGGGCCCTCCATCTCAGACCCTGGTCTGGGTATTTGTCCCTATAGATCTCCAGCCTCATATTCTCCTAACATTTCTTTAGCTTAAAGATATTTGAGTCTATGCATGACTTACTCACCTGCCCACCCACTCAACTCCAACCATCCATTCACCCACTCACCCACATATGCATTCAACCCTCTGCCCACCCAACTACCCACCATCTCATACATACATCCACCCACCCACCCAGGAGTCTGTCTACCATCTATCTACTATCCACCCCATCTGCCCAACCACCCATCTCATCCATTTCTCTTTCCTCCAGGGGTTTCCGCAGAGCACCTAGAGCCTGGAGAGTATATAGGGAGGCTCCCAGGGGGTCTTGGGGTGTCCACATGGATTCCCCCCTTTGTGAGGACAGCTGTAGACCAAGGCCCTGCCCTTAAAGTCTGGCTCCTGGATAGAGTGGGGCCACCTTGTCCCCAGCACAATCTCTCCTCCGAGCTCCATCCAGCCCCTTGTGCCCCTAGGTTTACACCAGTAACCGGCCCCTTCGAATTGGCTACTATGAATCAGATGGTTACATCCAGCCATCCCCTAGCATGGCCAGGGCTGTGCAGCTCACCTCCTGGCTGCTCCAGGATGCTTGACACCAGGTAGTCTCACCTGGTCCTGGGTGAGAGAGAGTCTGGGCCAGTGCGAGGATGCTGGGCGGGGCCATCCTTGGAGACAAAGGTGGCTACATCTGCGTTTGAGGTGCTGAGATAACTGTGTTCCCCCTATGCTTCCTGGAGAAGACTGATGGGATGGAGGTGGGGATAGGGTGAGCCCTACCCTAGAAGGAAGGCATTAAGCTTTTGTGCTTCCTCCTTCGGTGGTGGAGATTCAGGGACTCACTCCTATAATTCCTTCAGCTTGGGTCTCTGTTGCCTCCATCAAGTGGCCGTAAGGAGCTTTCTGTCTCCAAAATCCCTACCTTAGCCCTACCCCAAACTCCCCTGCCCCCAGTGGCTTGTCCTGGCCTCACTTCCCCTTTGAGATTCTACCATGTGATCTTGGGCTAGCCTTTTAACCTCTCTGGGCTTGTTTTCTACCCAATGCGGTGGCTGTGAAGATTAAATGTGGTTCCATAGATAAAGCACTTGGCACGCTGGCTGGATCACAGTGAAGCATGAAGGAAATGAGGGCTGCTCTCGTTCTGTTCTGTCACATCTGTGTGTGAGGGTGAGGGAGTGGGGTGGCAGGAGAGCAACCAGTGACACAGGCCTCCCATGCCATGCTGAGGCGCTGAGGTGGACGGAGATGCACGAGATGATGTGGCATCCTTCTTGAAATCTTGGGGGATGCAGAGACAGAGAACCAGGCAGGGTCGGGGAAGCTCCAGACACTGACTCTGCCTCTGCCTCCCCAGGTTATCCCCTTCTCCATCCCCCAGGCAGAATACGCCATCAAAGACTTGTACACGGGGGGATGTTTACTGATGGAGGGGCCACTCTTCTAGAGAAGCTATACGTTATCTGCTGGGACTCAGGGGTGGGGCATGGTGGAAACAAGGTAGGGGAGTGGGCTGGAGCCAACCTGAGTCCCAGGAGGGAAACTGGGGGCCTGGGCTGGGGTGCCTCTGCCTAATAGTGTGACCTTATGCCGCAAACCACACACTGGGCCTGTCTTTAGGATGCACCTGTTCCGGGGGTGGGGCAGAAGTACATCTTTGGGTTTGGCCTCCTTCTTGTCTACGGCGTGGAAGTTGGGTGGCTGTGGGGGCAGGCCACTGGCTAAGGGCTGTGACTTACCCATCTGCGACTGGTTCCTCAGAGAGGGGGACATTGTGGATCCCAGCATAAAGGGCATGGTCAACCAGCTCTGCCTGCCAGACCCCTTCAAATGTTTCTTGGCCTGGATCCCAAAGTACATAGTAAGTGCAGGCCCTAGTCAGGGAGGGCTTTGGAAGGGCAGGGAGCACAGGGAGTAGGAGGGGCTCAGAAAGCAGAGGGAGCTCACAGAAGGAGTGGAAGTGGGGTCAGAGAGGAGGATGAGGCCCAGAGAATGGTGGTAGCTCAGAGAGGGGTTCAAAATGGGGAAGAAGAATGAAGGGCTGGGTGCACAGTGGCTCATGTATGTAATCCCAGCACTTTGGGAGGCCAAGGTAGGAAGATCACTTGAGCCCAGGAGTCTGAGACCAGCCTGGGCAACATAGTGAGACTCCATTCTCTAAAAAGAATGGAAAAAAAAATAGCTGGGCATGGTGGTGCATGCCTGTGGTCCCAGCTACTCAGGAGGCTGAGGTGGGAGTATCACTTGAGCCCAGAAGATCAAGGCTGCAGTGAGCTGAGATTATGCACTGCACTCCAGCTTGGGTGACAAGTAAGACTCTGACTCAAAAAAAATAAAAAAAAATTAATTAAAACAAATAATGAAAGAAGGGGATGGGGCTAAAAGAGTAGGGTGCTCACAGAGAGGGGAGGGGGTTTCAGAGAGGAGGCTCAGAAAGGGGGAAGGGCATTTGGAGGGCTACAGGGCCAGTGTGAGCTCAGGGCTTGGTGAAGTGGTGTAGGCTTGTTGAGGATCGGAGGGTTCCACGTCAGTGCGTTGAGCAATGCTACCCTTCTTGGACCCCCTCCTGGGCAGGCTGACTGTTTCCCTGTGGGTTCTGAAGTTGGACTCCCCCTCTCAGCCCCCCTCTAGGATCCCCAAACTAGCCAGCATCTTGAAGAGATTCGTGGAGTGGGGTGAGTCTCCCTAGGGCCAGCTCTTGCTCCAATGGTTGTCCATGGGATGGTGGGAATTGAGGAGGGGCATGAGGCTAGAGCTGGTATCCACTAAGGGGGGATCTATTTAGATTTCGGACTCTAATTAGGGTTTTAGGATCATGCCTGACATTAGCTTAGATTGAGACTTTTGATTGGTGTTGGGACTTTATTTGGAGTTAAGATCTGAATTAAGGCCGGGTGTGGTGGCTCATGCCTGTAATCCCAGCACTTTGGGAGGCTGAGCGGGGAGGATCACTTGAGGCCAGGGGTTCAAGACCAGCCAGGACAACATGATGAAACCCTGTCCCTACTAAAAATACAAAAATCAGCGGGTGTGGTGGTATGTGTCTTTATCCCAGCTACTCGGGAGGCTGAGGCACGAGAATCACTTGAACCCAGGAGGTGGAGCTTGCAGTGGGCCAAGATGGTGCCACTGCACTCTAGCCTGGGTGATAGAGATAGACTCTGTCTCAAGGGAAAAAAAAATCTGAATTAAGGCTAGGTTGAGGTAAAATTTGGGACTGAAGTTGAGATTAGGTTTTATTTGGGGATGGGCTTAAGACTGAGGCTGGGGTTGGAGTTGGTTTGAGTTGGGGTTGGTGGGGCGAAGATAGATTTGGAAGAGGGTTGGGACTGAGGCTGGAGTTGGGGTGGGGCTAGAGTTAGGGTTAGAGATGAGGTTGGGAGAGGCTGGTATGGGCTTGGGTTTGCTGTTGGGCTTGGCCTGGTGGGGTTGGCATGAAGATGCTGGGCAGAATTGGGCTGGAGTGGACTGAGGGCTAACTGGGTGCCTCACAGATTAGGGTAAGGAGCCTGTGGCCTTTGAGGCAGCCCATGAGTTCCTGTGACTGGTGGAATGGGGGGTAGATTGACCAGAGGATGTGTGCTCTTGGGGACCTTGAGCAGGCAAGATGTCTTGGCCAGGGGACAAGACACGGGGTCACTCCCAGCCCATCAGCTGATTTGCAGCGTGCACTGAGGCCTTGGTTGTCATGTCCCCATTTGTATAAAAGGGTTCCCTCCCATGCTGACCTTTGAACTTGTCAGAGTCTTCCTCATTCTTTCAGGACACCCAAGAAACTGTGGGAACAGCACACAGCAGTGGAGGTAATGCCTGTCTGGGAAGACCTTGAGGGGCTGCTGGAGCTGGGGCTGCAGACACCTGGGTAGTGCCCTGAGTGGTCAGAGTTATGAACTGGCCTGCAGAGAAGGCCCAGCTGGACCTGGGTGGGGGGGCTTGGTGACCTCAGAAGTTATTCTAGTCCATCTCCCTAGAGCATTGTCCCCAAATCCTTGTGACCTGAAATTCAGCTTCCCATCCCTTCACCTCTGTCCCTGGGAAGATCCTGAACCTCCACAGGTATCTCAGGCTGAAGCTTATAGCCTGAGACTTCCTCCTGGTGTGCAACTCAGTGCTGCCTGGCAGCATCTGACCTTGTCTGGCAAACAGTAACCCCTGCCTTCCTACCCCTCCCATCCCTCACTGTCCCTGCAGGAATATGAGCAAGAGTTCATAGCCAAGTGGAGGTCCCTGGACCTGGATGTGCTGCTGGTGCCAGTTCTGGGCTCTGCCTTCTATATAGGCTCTTCCTCCCTAGCATCAGGTGAGAGCACACTGGGTCTTGGTGGGGTTGAGATTGGGAGTCCGGGACTCCTGAGTCCTGCCCCAGCTTCTGTGATCTTGCCCTCTATCTCCATTAACTTTTTAAAAATATTTCTTAAATTGAGATAAAAGTCAGATAACACAAACTTACCATTTTAAAGTGTACAATTAAGTGGTTTTTAATATTTCAAAATGTCGTGCAACCACCACCATTATCTAATGTCTGAACATTTCTGTTACCCTGAAAGGAAAACTTGTACCTGTTAGCAATTTCCATTCACTTTAAAAATGAACTTTATGGAAGTATAATTTACATGCAATAAAATTCACCGATTTTAAGTATAATTTGATGAATTTTGACAAATGTATACTGTTGTATAACCACCACTATAATCAGAAATACAGAACAGAATATATTTTTAGATTTTACAGATACATGTTCCATCACCCCCAAATTTCCCTCATGTCTCTGCAGTTCACTCTATCCCTAACCCCAGTAACCACTGATCTGCTTTCTGTCACCATAGTTTTGCCTTTTCTAGAATTTCATACAAATGGAATCAAAGGGTATGAAGCTTTTGTGTTTGGCTTCTTCCACCTAGCACATCCATTTACTGTTTTTTTTTTTTTTTTTTTTTTTTTTTTTTTTTTTTTGAGACAGAGTCTTGCTCTGTCACCCAGGCTGGAGCGCAGTGGCATGATCTCAGCTCACTGCAACCTCCTCTGCCTCCTGATTTCAAGCAATTCTCCTGCCTCAGCCTCCCAAGTAGCTGGAATTACAGGTGTGTGCCACCACGTCCAGCTAATCTTTGCATTTTTAGTAGAGACGGGGTTGCGCCATGTTGGCTAGGCTGGTCTCAAACTCCTAACCTCAGGTGATCCACCCACCTCAGCCTCCCAAAGTCCTGGCATTACAGGCGTGAGCCACTGTGCCCAGCCCATCCATTTACTCTTAACATGCCCTCTGCTGCCCTACTTCAAAAGGGGTCTTCAGCCCAGCCTGTCCAAAACATGGGCTCAGGACAGGGTAATATCTGGGCCATCCCTGGGTCCCATGCACAGGTACTGGTCTCAAAGGTGCTACCCAAGGCAGGATAAAACTCAGTTCCAAACCTGAGCCTGGACTCCTCTCCCCTGACCTTAAGAACATGTCCTCCTGGGTCCCCCGACTGTGGCCAGCCAAAGGCTCATCCCACGCCTGACTCTCCCTGCACACATGTGGCTGCTGCAGAAGAGCTGTCCTTTCAACTCCAGGTGGCGCTGTACACCCTTACTATCTTGAAGTCCGGTACACAGGAGGGCGTGGGCTGAATCCTCTGCCATCCACTAGCTGTGTAGCCTTAGAAAAGGCTAATCCTGCCCCTAATCCTGCCACCTCGATTTCCTCACTTGTACACAGTCAATAGTAATCCACACCTCACAGAGTGGAGAGGATTCAAGGGATCAGCAATGTGATGAGGCCAGCACAGTGCCTGGCACTGAGTGAGGCTTCTGCAATGCAGATTCCGTCCTTCCCTCCACCCTGGGGAGAGCATGAGGCCATTGTCAAGATGACCCCTGACACAAATTGGCTAGTCCGAGCCCAGAGCGCTGAAGTTCCCAGAAGGACCGGGAGGGGGCGCCCACCCACATTCTTCCCCACCTGAGTCTGCGCTGACGATTTCCTGGGCTTATCTGGATCTTCCTGCAGAAAGTCAGTCTTATGTGACCCTGTACAACCTCCTGGACTTTCCCGCGGGCGTGGTGCCTGTCACTATCGTGACACTACAGGACGAGGAGGAACTGGCCTTCTACAAGGGGTGCTACGGAGATAGTTCTGACAAAAATTTCTCAGAGGTCAGTTTCCTTCTCCGAGCCTCTCCCGGAGCGGGGACAAACCAGGGCTGGTTCTCTCCGGGTTGGGGCCCCTGACGGTAGTGGTGGAGAGAGTAGGGCGGGACTGGTCATTCCTGGTGTTCACCCTTTGGCACTTATGCTAGTTTCACCCCAACCCTGAGGACACATCATTTGACCTCCTTGTCAGCCCCATCCATGTCAGGGGAGAAAACTTTGCAAAACCAGTGGTTTTCTTTGTATTTCTTCTGCCTCCTCCTCCTCCCCCTCCCCCTCCCCCTCTTCCTCCTTCTCCTCCTCCTCTTCCTCCTCCTCCTCCTTCTCCCCCTCCTTCTTCTTTTTCTTCTTCTCCTCCTCCTCCTCCTCCTCCTCCTCCTTCTCCCCCTCCTTCTCCTTCTCCTTCTTCCTCCTTTTCCTTCTCCTTCTCCTTCTCCTTCTTCCTCCTTTTCCTTCTCCTTCTCCTTCTTTTTTGAGACAGAGTCTTGCTCTATCGCCCAGGCTGGAGTGCAGTGGCACGATCTCGGCTCACTGCAACCTCTGCCTCCTGGGTTCAAGTGATTCTCCTGCCTCAGCCTCCCAAGTAGCTGGGATTACAGGCACCTGCCACCACGCCCGGCTAATTTTTTTTTTTTTTTTTGAGATGGAATCTCACTCTTTTGCCCAGGCTGATGTGCAGTGGTGCAATCTCAGCTCACTGCAACCTCCACATCCTGAGTTTGAGCCATCCTCCTGCCTCTCAGCCTCCCAAGTAGCTGGGACTACAGGCATGCACCACCATGCTCGGCTAATTTTTGTAATTTTAGTAGAGACACGGTTTCACCATGTTGGTCAGGCTGGTCTCAAACTCCTGGCCTCAAGTGATCTGCCTGCCTCGGCCTCCCAATGTGCTGGGATTACAGGTGTGAGCCATTGCGCCCGGCCTTCTTTGCATTGCTGTAGGTAAAAATGATCTCAGAGGCAGGGAGGGCAGAGCAGGGCAAAAGCCGCTGGTTATGAGCTTACTGTGTATCTGCTCTGGATATGACCTCTCTTGGGACCTCTGTTTCTTCACCAGGAAAATGGGAATAAAAACATCTACTTTGTAGGGTTGTGCTAAAGGTTAATTAATTTGAAAAAGTGAATGAAGCAATTTGCATAAGGTCTTGTGTGTAGGAAGTGTTCGATAAATACTATGATTAGTAAGTCAGAGTGGTTTCATAAAAGAAAATATTACCAAATATTTAACTGCAGGGTCTAAAATAACACACCTGACTTTGGTGAGAGAGAGAAGGAGAGAGAGGAAGAGAAAGAGGCCGACTCTGAAACATATGCACGTATCTGAGTCAGACATTAAGTAACTTACTTTTTCTGGAAATTGATTTTAGTGCTAGAGTTACCCAGTGGAACTGCTGACCTGAATTCTGAGAAAATAACAATAATGACACTATCTCATGTGTCTTGAGCACTTACTCTGTTCCAGGAGCTGTTTAAAAGTGCCGTGTATAAATATTAAATCATTAAATTCAATAACTCTCCTGTGAGGTTTTTTAAATGAGGAAAATGGAGGCACAGACAGATTAAGGGACTGGGCCAAAGCCACACAGCCAATTGAAGTGGAGGAGCTAGGACTTGAAACAGGTGATCTGACTCCAGAGACAAAGGCAAATAAAGCCTCAAATGATATCATCACAAAGCAAAGAAAACAGGTTTGAATTCCTACAAGGACGTTTGGATTTCGTGGCAGGGACTCAGGCTTAGCCCCCATGTTCCTGGGCCTGTTTTGGGCCAAGGCAATGCTTTCACTGTGGAAGGGTAACCAGGCTCTGGATCAGGGATTAGCATGCTCTTCTTTCTCTTGCTTGAACATTGAGTGGATGCTCGGCTTTCTCTTTCGTCATTATAATCAGCATTCTGCACAGGGAGCAAGTTTTACATGTTAACCCTGAAGAACTATGGGCAATAAAATCAGAACAGTCTTTTCAGGTTTCACTGAGAGCTGAGGAAGCCTGGAATTCTGAGATCTAGGTCATTTTTACCTTAATATAGATTGGGAAAGGGATGTTTGGACTAAAGCATACCTAGACCAACCGTTGGTACGGAGGCCCAGAATAGCATGGGTGATGAACAGAGCCAGGCAAGGGGCCTGTGAAGCAGGCTCTGAGTTCCCGACCTTCTCTACTGGCAGGCGGTAAGAGGATCCGTCGGAGTTCTGGTGACTGTGCAGTGCATTGCTTTGCCATGGGAAGAGGAGCTGTGTCTCCGGTTCATGAAGGAGGTGGACACCTTGGTCAAGAATCAGAGGGGGCCCAAGTGATAGGCTCCTGGAATGGAGTAACAGCTCATGAAACACGGGGCTGGTTGTGGTGGCTCATACTTGTAATCCCAGCAGTTCAGGAGGCAGAGGCTGGCAGATCGCTTGAGGCCACGAGTTTGAGACCAACCTGGGCAACATAGTGAGACCCTGCTTCTAAAGCATTTTCTTGGTGTTACTCCTGTAGATCCTCACCCAAGTGTGCTCCTGATGCCCCTTCCTTCTCATGAATACCATGTCCACCTTATGTCTCCTCCTTCTGGAACCCCACCAGGTTCCTTTTCTTTGTTGGTCCCTCTGTGTGGGTGCTCAATATTCCTCAGATGGGCCCAGGATGGGGAGCAGGGTGAGGAGCTCAATAAACATTTTCTGACTGGCCCCGGCCTCATGATCTCTGGTCTGGGTGAGGCTGTAATCTCCTGGTGGTCTTCTGCCTCTAGCTGCTTTCCTCCAATTCAGTCCCCCTGATGCTACCCCAGACTGCAGTGGAGAAAGAGCCCCAAACAGAGAGGCTGGAGATCTGGGTCCAAGTCCTGACTCTGTCCGTGACTTGCTGTGTGATGCTGGGAAGTCCCTTCATCTCTCTGGACCTGAGTTTTCTCATCTGAGTTTCAGATTGAGGGGGTTAGATTTGATAAGGTCTATGGTACCTACCAGCTTGACCATTCTGTGAGCTGTGATTTCTAGGCACTGTCCTGATTAAGAACTTGCCATGATTCCCACTGACGTCTGGAGAGGGCTCCAGAGAGCAAGGCTGAGACAGTGGAACCCAGTCAGAGTGGAGCTTGGGTTAGGACCTAGACCCCAGGCTCACAGTTCAGTGCTTTTGCCACAAAACACCAATTCCTTGGTCTGACATCAGCATGTCTCCAGGATCCTCCATAGCCTCCTCTCCCATGGCTCCACCACAGCACTGCCTCCTTCCGTTCCCTCAAACTGGAGCCTTCTCACCAGCACAAGCCCACCTTATGCTTCTGGCTCCATGTCGCTATTCAGATTGTTCCCTCCACCTGAACACCATTGCTGCTTTCTGTGTCCTTCAAACCCTGTGTCAAATACCACTTCCTCCAGAAAGCCTTTCTTGATCCCTCCAACATACCCCCCCCATTATTTTCCCTTCATCTGAACTCTCTTGAGATCCTCCTCCCATCAAATCTCTCCCTTCCCCCATCCCATTCCTCTTTGTAGCCCTACTTCCGCCAACTATGCAAATTAACGAACTCACTTTTCCCTGTGCTTCATAGGACAGATCTTCTGAAGACAATGCAAAGGGATGGAATTCATCCATGCATGCTACATTTTTTGAGTACTCCCACTGAACACAAATGTGAAATTTCAGCCAGAAAAATCCTGACTTAAAAGAATTTAACTCAGATGAAGACCCCAGGAATTGCACAGCAGAGGGGGCAGCCCTGCCTCTGCCTCCCATAGAAGGAACCACTCGGGGTGTCCAGGTGCTGGATGGACAGGGCTATTGCTGACGTCACGTGTCCCCCCACACCAACTCTACCACAGAGTCTGAGATCTCTGCAGGAGAGGGAGCCTCAGAGTTTCCCCTCAGATTGGGTTAGTAGGGCTGGTGCCCTGTGTTCCCTGCCCTGTAAGAGGGAGGTCTGAGTAGCTTGGAAAAGGTAAGAGACCTCAGGTGTCTCCTGCCTCTTCTTCCTGCATCCCATTGCTGGCGCGGCATTCTGGGCACCAGGGGGCAGAATTGAGCTTCACAAGGCTCAGGCAGCCCTTGCCCTCTGCTCTTAGATCCACTGTCGCTGCGACTTCTCCAGTGAGATCCTTTGCTCAAACTCCATTGCGCTGATGGGGAAACTAGCGAGTGGAAGGACAGAGATAGAGGGATGCAGGAATTAGCAGGCACTTTGGCTTTAGGTTAAATATTTGCAGATTTTAAGATGGAGGTAGAATTCTATTTTGGCTGGAATTAGCCTGGGGAAAAGTGGTGGCAGATACCAGCTCGAAGGACTGAATAAATGGGAAGCCCTATGCTAGGCGCAGACTTCTTTTCGGCTTGGGCTTTCTCTAGTATCTCCTGAGCTGATGTTTGGAGTCATCAACCTCCCCACCTCCAGCGCCAGCTCCAGTGCTGACCCCTAACCTCTGACTCGTGACAACTACCTGCCAGCACCATCTTCATCTGAAATCACTCCGTGATCTGTGACTGTGGATGTCATTTGCTGTCTTGCTGTGGGGGCCTCTTTGAGGTCCATGTGTGGGTACATATGGAACCTCCTGGACCATATGTCTCCTCCTCCCCTTCCCACTCCTATTCCTTCCACCATGGAGGGTTTGGTTGGGGTACAACACGGGTCCAGGTTCTGGCTCTCTTTCCTCTGAGACATTGTGCAAGTCTCCAGCTTCTCTAAGCGTCTGTAACTTGGGGCTGAAGATCACGTCTGTCCAGCTGCAGGATGAGACAGACCCTCAGAAACCGAGGGAGCAGGTGGGAGGGACTCGGGCTCCGGCTCCCCAGTCGCTGTGGGGTGAGGGGCCTGCTCAGGTCTGGGTGTCTGTGCCCAGAATTCACGGGGAGGAGCCAGCCCCTCATGCGGGTGCCTGTGAGAGAGCAACAGGGTGGGTCACTCCAGCGGAGGAATTTAGCTGAGAAACAGGAGCATTCCCAGGGTGAGGGGCTCTAGAAAAGCTGGGACTAAGGGCCCTGACTAGGACGTTACGGGAAGGGGGTCTTGAATTCTGATCTCGTTTCTGCCTAAGACCTATCGCCTTTTTGAACCTCAGTTTCCCCTTTGGCTGCATAGGGAAGGGGTGCCCACATGCCCCCGCCCGCATTCAGTTCGAAGGACCAGCCAGTAGGCCCTGCGCCGCCCAGGGACCGCCCGGCCTTTGCGTCCGGCCCAGCTCAAGCCCCTTCCGCCGCGCGCGGCCTCGGGAGCGCTGGGCAGGCAGCCCGGGTGGGAGCGCCCACGTCTCCCGCGGACACGGACGGACGGATGGACGGGCGGCCGCGCAGGCCCGCGCCCCGCTCCCGCCCCGCCTGCCGCGCCTCCCGGGGCGCCCGCATTAAAGCGCATATGCAAGCCATGAATTATCAACTGAAAGGAGTCAATTACCGGCTCTAAAAACGAGTGTCTGCGCTCGCAGCGCCCCGGGCCATCCGCCTATTTACGGAGCGATCTACCCCGCCCGGCTGGGGAGGGGGCCTCGGGAGGGAGAGAGACGGAGAAACGGAGCCCGAGACCGGGAGAGAGCCGGAGAGGCAGGGACTGGAGAGTCTGGGACACGAAGGAGAGGCGGGGAGAGACCGAGATTCAGCGAGACGCGCGGAGGGCCGGACGGGAGCCAAGGCGGCTCAGTTCCTCTTCTCCCCCGAGCAGGCGAGGAGAGGTGGGGTCTCAGGACCTCCAAGGCCCTGTTCCCCTTCCATTGGCATTTGTGTAAGGACGCAGGCCCTCCGCACTGCTGACTGTGGCACTGGGCAGGGAGTCCCCTAGACTAGGGGTTTGGGGTTAGATCTGGGGCTCAGGCAGCGCTGGGCTGGGCGTAGTTTGCAGAGGGACCGGCCGTCCTGGCAGGAAACTGGGGAGGAGGCCGCGGCTTTGTCCAGGGTGGAGGTAAGAACGATGGTTGGACAGCATGACCACGAGTAAAGGGAGGAGGGCTTGAGGATAGGGACAAAGTGATGTGGAGCTTATGTAGGAGATGATGCGCAGCCTTTCAGCATTGAGAGAGAAACCGGGAGACCAGCCAGCCTCAGTGGGCCCAGGAAGTCCTGCTTCCTCCCCACCCGCTCAAGCTGTTCCCTCCTCTGGAAATGCTTTTCCTGCCTTCCCTCTACTCATTCTGTGATTCCTGCCCTCCCCAGCCTCTGTGCTACCTTAGCCTCAACACAATACACTCATTATTATTATTATTATTAGTGACAGGGCCTCACTCTGTCACCCAGGCTGGAGTGCAGTAGTGCAATCATAGCTCACTGCTGCCCTAACCTCCTGGGCTAAAGTGATCCTCCCACCTCTGTCTCCCAAGTAGCTGGGACTGTAGGCACATGCCACCATGCCCTCCTAATTTTTTAAATTTTTTGTAGACATGGGTCTTGCTGTGTTGTCCAGCCTGGTCTGGAACTCCTGGCCTCAAGCAACCCTCCCACCTCAACCTCCCAGTGTTGGGATTACAGGCATGAGTCCCACGATACCTGGCAACACACCCCATTCAATTCCATGATCCAGACCTGACTTTACCATAGGGCCAGACCTTGTCCATGTTGCTCAGTATTGTGCCCTTGGAAGAAGGTCCTTGAATGTTTCCTGAAAAAATGAATGAAGGAGTAAGCTGAGCTGGAGGACACATTGGCCTGGACAGAGGCTGTGACAAAGATGGCAGGGCTGGTGAGCCCAGATATGGGCCTCCCATACAGATCAGATGGAAGGCTTTAGGCAACCACAGTACTGGGGTGAGGTCACAGAAGCTGAGTCCAGCCCTTGCTTGGGGAGACGGGTACAGGAAGTAGCAGGGGCAGGGAGGGAAGGGGTAGATGGAGAGTTGTCATCAGCACCAGCAAGTCACCGCAAGAGCCCCGGGGCTTTGATTTGAATGCTTCACGGCCCCTGAAATCCTAGGTCTCTTCTGGGGGAAGAGGTTCAGGGAACCCCCAGTGACTTTGAGGAAGGAATGGGGCCTACACTGGGGCAGTGAGAAGATTCTCATCTTGGGAATCAAACAGAGCCTTTCTCTTCTAGCTGTGGGATCCCAGGCAAGCCTCAACTTCTGAGCCTCAGGTTCCTCATCTATGAAATGTTGCTGGCCAGGGGAGGTGCCTCACGCCTGTAATCCTGGCACTTTTGAGCTCAGGAGCAACAGACTTTGTCTCTATAAAAAAAACTAGCTGGGCGTGGTGGTTCATGCCTGTGGTCCCAGCTACTCAGGAGGCTGAGGTGCCATTTTTGAGGCTACAAAATACCAAGCACTATGATAATGGATTATCTCTCTACTCTTCACAACAGCTTCTTTCTAAGATTGCTAAGTCATTTTGCAAACAAGGAAATTCTAAGACAGGCAGGGATTGGGAAATGGCAGATAAAGTTTTGAAGCCAGTTCTTACTCCAGAGTCTCTTTAACCTGTGCACCATGAAGCCTCCTAGACCTGGTCCATATACCCCCTGCCCTGTTCCCTCAGCCCTTCCAGCCTGGCTGAGTCCAGACTGGGGGAAGTGGGGGCTGCACAGCAGGCAGGGCAGCTCAGGTCCAGCAGAGGTGGCCCCTGGGGTCTTGTTCCTGCCATGGCGTGGGGTGGGCGTCTGTCCAGCTTGATGAGTCTCCAGCCCCGCCATGCCATTAGCGGGCAGCCAGAGGGGGTGTCTGCAATCGCCAACACTGGGGTTCCCACTGCTGCTTGCCTATTAGTGGCTGGTGGCTTCATGGTGATTTATTGGGGCTTCTTCATTTCCCCTTGGTCCGCTATAAACATATTTATACCACCAGAGTGACCGATAAATTTCCCTTATGAATCCTGTTATCTCCCCTATTAACCATCCGTCACCTTTTATGTGGCCACAGTGGGCCAGGCCAGGGCACCAGGGCTGGGTGGGAGGCCTGCAGCCCACAGCCCCGGAGCCCAGTGAACTCTTCACCTCCCCCACTGCTCCCCAGACAGGGCAGCTGCTGCCTCCTCGGAGCTGCCTCTAGGATAAGGATATGGTCCTGGGAACAGACTGAACTTACGCGGGGCCTTTGAAATGTGGCTTCCTCCAGGGTCTCAGTATGGGAAGTCCCTCTCAGGGTTAACCTGAGTCTCTCCTACTGTAGCTCAGCCTTCATCTCTTCTAAGTGATCAGGAGCCTCCTGAAGCTGCTACTGCTGCTGCTCTTCCTTCTCTCCCCACCCTCAGCTCTCATCCTTATCCTCTAAGTGCAGCAGAAAACTGAGACACAGTTAGATGTAGCATGGGGTTGGGGGGAGATGGCAGCTGGCATTTGCTGAGCATCTCCTCTATGCCAGTCACTTTGCATTCATGACTTCATGTGATCGTCACACAATCCTAGACCCAGGCATTTATGGCTTCATTTGCCAGATGAGGATGAGGAAATAAGGCTCAGAGACATTAAATGAAGAGCCCAAGATCACCCAGCCAAAGGGCAGAGCTGTGATTTGGGGCTTTTCTGGCCCCAAAGCTGGTGCTTTCAACCACTGCACTATACAGCCTCTTTGAATGCTCTTGGCTGGGAGAGGTTAATCAAAGAAAGTTTTCCAGAGTGCTATGGAGCAGGAGAGGGAAGTAAAGAGAGGGGAGGAGAGGGGGCCCCCTGTGGAAGGCTGATCGGGAGAAGTGGGCAGGGATGTGGAGTAGGGAGTAACCTCTTTTGCTTTCCAGTCAGGGAAACTTGGACAACTGTTCAGTCAGGCCCCATGTTGCTGGGAGTAGGGGGTAAGGTCTCTAAGAGCTGGAAGCCACCTGTATTGCCAGAGCCTGGGCTAGAGGACTAGGGCCTGGCTCAGACCTCCTCAGCTGTATGCTTGGGACAGAGCACCCCTCATATTTAGGACTCAACCTTCTCCTGCACCTGGGCTTGGAGGATTCTACCTCTTGACTACTTGATATACCAGCTTCCTTGGGAGATGGCTGGGTGTGTATATATATTGGGATGCCTGGGAGTCTTGTTTCCTTTAACATCACCCACAAAATCGGCCACAACTACTGACAACTCCTCTGGAGTTAAGATGACCCCCATGGTCCAATGAAGAATTCTGAGACTTGAGGAGACTGAGGTCTACCCTCTGAGTCCTGGCATTGCTTCTCCAGCTCCAGGATGATGGGCATAGAAAGGCATTGTTATTCCCATTTTACAGATGAGGCAACTGAGGCCCAGAAAGGGAGGAGATCTTAACAAAGAATGGAGTCCCAGGGCAAGGGATGGTGACTGGGGTGGGGTGGGGACTCAGCAGCATGAGAGACAAGAGGAAGCAGAGTGGGGCTGGGGGTGGAGTATCGTCTGTGGGCCTGGGTGGCCATGGGTGGAGGTGAGGGGCTCAGCATTCTGGAGGATGTCTAATTATTCATGTCCTCAGCAACAGAGTCCCAGGTGGTCTGATGGTGGCTATGGAAGAGAGGATTATGGGCTTAGCACCCCAAGGAAACAGATTCTCTTCTGACTACCAGAGGATATGGAGAGGTCATTCTGGCCATTCCCCTGCCTCCCATGGTCCAGAGGGAAGAGCTGTTGGAGGGGCAGATGGCTACAAGATCTAGCTCCTTTACCTCCTGGCTCCCCATACCCCAGCACCTGTGGGACACGGAGCCTAAGCTGGGAGGAAGTTCTAGGTTCAGGCCCCATGTGGTCACTGACCTGCTATGCAACCTGGAGCATGCCTGGCCTCCTCTGGGCCTCCCGCTTTAGAAAATCTCCAGCTCAGACTCTAGCTTCCATGCTACCATATGCCACAGGGACATCCTCCCCTCAGAGCAGAGCTCCTGAGAGGGGGCCAGGGCAGGGAAAAGCCAGACACTCTGGGTGTCTCTCCACAGTGGTTCTCAGCCTTGCTCTGTGTCCTGGGCTCACCTGCTCCTCTCCCTCCCCGCCTTCCACCTGCCATCCCTGTCCTACCATCTGTCATCTGTCTGTCTGTCTGTCTGCCTTTGTCTCTGGTCTGGCTGCTTCCTCCCACTCCCCCATGTCCTCTCCTCTCCACAAGGTTGGTCTCCCTTGGAGGGAGGGGTAGGGCCGTGAGTGTGGTGAGAGCACACGCGAGCTCCCTCCCTCTCCCTTCCCGCCCCTCCTGCCCTCTCCTCCTCCCATACTCACATACACGCTCTCTCTCAGTCATTTTCAATGTCATAAATTTCCACGTCTCTCTCCTCCACTCGGCTATTACCTGCGCCTCCGTCACCGGGCCGCGCTCTCGCTCCCAGATGGGCTAGGCCATCTCCGCTCTGCAAATGACTCAGGGAGAGAGAGGCAGGGAAGGAGGGAGAGAAAGGAGCAGAGATGAAGAGAGATTGAGAGAGATTGAGAGAGAAAGCAAGCGAGCAGAAAGAGACAGAAGCAGAGAGGGAGAGAGGCAGCCCGGGGTAGGGCTCAGCCCCTCATCCTCCTCCAAATGCAGAGGTCACTGCCAACAGGGAGCCTGCCTGCCCTGGGCTGCAGGCAACAGGGTAGGATTGGGAGCTGGTGCTGAGCCTGGGGTGGAGTCAGGTCACCCAGGTCTGCCTGCACCCATTATGGGACTCTGTCCTTCCCCTCCACTCACATTTCCTGTGCACCACCCTTGTGCCAGCCCTGTGCTGGTATTTTCTCATTTCAGGAGGCCGGCCCTCTGCTCTGCAGTGCAATAGGACCCCGTGGGGACACTGCTGTGCAGTGCAATAGGACCCCTTGGGGACACTGCTGTTCAGTGCAATAGGACCCCGAGGCGACACTGCTGTGCAGTGCAATAGGACCCTGTGGGGACACTGTCAGGTGTGTTCAGAGTTCCTACAGCTGGGGGTGGGGCTGCCCTGGGAGCTGTGCCTCTTTCTCCAGAAAAGGACTCTGGGCACAAGGGACTCTCTGCTCAGACCAGGGCTTCTCACCACCAGGTTGAAGCTCCCTTCTTCTCTCCTATCTTCATAGGAACTCCTAGCTTTTGCAGGACTGGTTCTTTGGATGAGAGCAGAGCAGAGCAGAGCTGGGAAGATCCAGGTGGTCTGGGGAGAGAGCATTTCCAGGTAACCCCATGCGACAGAGAGTGGAGCTGAGGAAGGGTCACTCTCCCAGGCAGGAGTAAAGTAGCAGGACTGGGAGAAAGTGGACAGGGAACCCCAGGCCTCCGAGATGCGTCTGGGAAGCACCAGCTGGTGGTATTAGTGATGGCTGTGATATATGCACACTGCTGCTATTGCTGGGAGGGTATGAACCCTAGGCCTGGTGTGGATACCAGAACTTCCAGAAAGGTTTACCAGCTTCTGTTATCCATACCTCCAAGTGTTCCTCCACCTAACAGAGTGATCTTCCTGAGGCAGGAAGATCGGCTTGAGCCCAGGAGTTCCAGGCTGCGGTGAACTATGATTGCACCTGTGAGTAGCCACTGCACTCCAGCCTGGGTGACAGAGCAAGACCCCATCTCTAAATAAATAAATGAAAGCAAAACGATGCAAATATGATCATGACACTCTCCTGCTTAACCCCTCCGGTGGCTCTACCTCCCATGGTGAACAAAACCGAAGCCCCTGCTGGCCCCAGCCTCTCCTCCTGTTTCTCCATGGACCTCTGTCTCCTGACAAGACCAAGAATACCTCCAGTGTCTCCGCTCTTTCTGTTCCCCTTTTCCCACAGAGCTGGCTCCTCATTCCTCAGCTCAAATGTCACTGCACAGAGGAGCCGACCCTGATCAAATGCCAGGTCATTCCATGAATCTCTATCATGGTCTTCTGAACACCTGTTTTGTGGCCCTTTTTGCACACTGTCATTGTGTTTCCTCATCTGTGTACTTGCTCAGTGTCAGACTCCTCTGATGGGCTGTACCTCCATGAGGTCAGGAGCTGTGTTTGTTCTGCTCACCAGAGATGGCACCTGCCATGTTATGAGCCTTCAAGGAGTGTCTGTTGACTGAATGATGATGTTGATGTAGGTGCATCCTCTGACCTTGGTTTGGATGGGGACTGATGTTGGGATGGATGTTGAGGTTGGACTGGTGGTCTCAGGGTTGCTGTCCGTCTGGGAAATTTGATAAAATTCCAGTGTGATAGGATCTATTCCAACAGGGAAAGGCATCTTGCCCTGATGTTGGGAATTTAGCCTATGACCAGGGTCAGGCCTCATAAAAGAGAGTTTTTCTTAACTAACGGCCACACTCTGGAGTCCCTTCATCTGTGGGTAAACATACAGACACAAACTCACACACACAGACACACATGTGTGCTCACCACAGGCATCTCCATGCACAGAGTGGCCTCAGGCAAGCCACACTCACACACATACAGTCCTCAGAGATGCTGTACACACACCTAGGCACACAAAGTGACAAACCCAGTTATGTACATTCCTGCACATGCCAGACACAACCCCACAGGTGTATTTGTGAGCAGATGTACACATACATGTACACATACCTGCAAGCATGTACGTATGTGTGCAGACACAGTCAAAAACCCAACATAAACACTTAGAATGACATCAATGGAGAAGACACCTGTTCACCTGCTTGTTTGCTGGGGCGTCCACACCATGGAGTAACAGACTGGGCTTGGATCTCCCCTCTGGCAGTGGGGTGCATTACACTGAGGGGTCCATGTTCTCCAGCCTCCCCTCTACAACCACCCACCCCCACCCCTGACCCCCCTCCTCTACCCGTGCCCTCATGGTCTTGTGAGAGACTCAAGCTTCTGCAGACTCACTCTGTGGCCAGAGGCAGGGCTCGGCTGGAACTGGGGTCAGGGCTTGGTCTGTGGACAAGGCCAACGTTCACTGGGTGGCTGGGGTCAGGCTCATCTGGGACCAAGGTCAAAGGTGAGTTGGGGCTGAGGTTTTCTTGCTTTCTGTGTCTCTGCTTACAGGTGTACCCACCCCAGTGTGTGCCACCCTCAGGAGCCCCTGGCAGGACCAAGACTCAGGGTCCTCATTGTGGGCCTCTGCAGCTTGTGGAAGGTGAAGGGGGGCAGGTGGGGGGCCAGGCCTGGGCAGATAGCTGTGAGGTACGTTTCCATCTCTGCGGGTCGGGCGGGCGAAGCCATTTCCAATCTGCTCTCTATCATTTTCAATATCATTAATCCCAGACACTCTATTTTCCATGCCTGCGCAGCCAGGCCCCCGAGTGTGCGCCGTGTAAAGTGACACATATTCATCACCAGCTCGTGGCGCCGGCGCCGACGCTGATACAATATTAGTGTTGCCCCCCCTTTCGGAGCCCGCTCCGCCCGGCTCCCCGATGGCACGAATCCATCACCTGGAGCCCGTGTCACTTTCCCCAGCAGCCACATTTGTTTGGGCACTTAGGAGGTAATTGTGGCACATTAGCCGGGGCGGGGAAGGGCGCTGGGCCCCGGGGAGGAGGGGGAGGCCAAGGCGTCTTCTTCTATAGCCACAACCCATCCTGGCCTGGTCCAGCCCCTGGGTTCTGGATTCTTGCTCATTCTTGAGGGAGAGGATCTTGGGAAGGAACCCATGTGGAAGAGGTCAACTCGGGCCTCATCAGGAAGTCTCAGGTGGTTCCCCAGCTCTCCTGTAAGCCCCAACATTGGGAGTTGCTCCACAAAGGCGCTGGCTTGGAGTTGATGGATTTAAAACCTTTTCTTGCCAACCAGTCCGCATCCCAGCACTGAAACTCAGGATGTGGCAACACCAGCTCTGCTGGCCCCCTTCCAAGTTCCATATGGGAGCGAGGAGTAGAGGGAAGCAGGAGGGAAGACACCCCAGCCCTTGGGAGCCCAACTCAGGGAAAATCTGGCCCTGCCCTAGAAGCCTGGGCTGAGACAGGAGGCCCCTCCTCTGAGAGGGGGTGACATGGCCCACCCCTCAGGAATCCTATCTGCATTCAGGTGGAGGGGACATCACCCAGCCTGACTAATTGAGGTGGCCCAGGTCAGGGTGCTTTTGGGAAGGCTGCCTGGAGGTGGTGAGCTAGACACAGGGACAACCTCTGGATACACAGAGGCCCAGAGTGGCTGCAGAGTAGAGAGGAGCAGCAGCCGGGGTCATTGATCTGAGCAGAGGCCAGACTGTGCAGGGGCATGGGTTCTCCCTCCCTAGTCCGCAGGGCTAACACCCATTAACCTCGTCAGCAGACAAATTGCCCGTCTTGTCAAATTCGCATTTAAAATGCAAACTCGATTTGACAGAGTAAACGGAGCAAAGGTGGGAGTGGATAATCCAGTGGAGGCTCATTAGCGAGGCCCAATGAGAGGGCTCTGCTGGGATGGCCTAACGGACCTGTCATGATGAACCTCTCAGCCTCTTAGCATCCCACCACCCGCTCAATACCCTGACTCATCTGCCCTACTGCCCAACCCCTCACGGAGTCTGGGGACCCCAGCTGCCTACCACCACCTCTGGGAAGGGGCATCTGAGGGCTTTGGAAGCAGACAGAGCTGGGAACCAGGCCCTGCTTCTCTGCCTGTCCACTCAGTGGCCTTGGGTAGTGACAACAGCAACCATTCCCCCAGAGATCTCACTGGATCACAGTGTTTCTATTCTCCTACAAGGCCCACGCTGTAGGGGTCCTGTGAGTTGGCATGATTAACTCACGAATGAGAAACTTGGGGCTCAGGGAGGTTGCCTGGCTAGAAAGAGGCAGGTGGAGTGCGGAATTGAACCCCAATCCATCAGACTCCAACAGTCACACTTGTAACCACTGTACTACTCTGCCTTCCTAGATTGTAAATGATTGTCTTCCTTTCTGCCTCCCTGGTTTCAGTGCTGTCACCAGCTGTGTGGGTCTAGAAAAAGTGACTTCCCTTTGAACTTTGTTTATTTCATCTGTAAAAAATGGGTGAACAACAGTTGCCCAGGGCAAGGGTTAGGGTAAGGAGAATTTTAGTAAGTATTTGGCTTAATGAATACTCATAACCACCCCTGCAATATCTGCAGACAACTTAGCCTGGGGGGTGGGGGTAGGAAGGGATGGGGCTGAAGGGGAGAGAAAGATGCCAGATTTTCCCAGGAAGCAGCTCATGAACAGACCACAGGCCCTTCCTGGTGCTTGGGACCTGGACACCTCTAGACTGGCACCTTCCCCTGCCTTCCCAGCTCCATGCCTGGACACCTCTAATAGGAAAGAAGCTCATGGCCACTCTCAGGGCCTGGAGTGGGGCTGATGGGTCTCCCAACTCTGGGAAGGGGTGTCTTGGGCAGGTGAGGGTCCCGCTCCCAGGCCACTCCTTCCCATCCCGTACTGCAGCCAGGCTCTTGCTGCCTGTTCTTAGTAGTTGGAATAATAGATGATTATGAGGCTCTGGAGGGCAGCTGCTGAGAGGTAATGGGCTGTTGCCCTACCTTACCTTTCCCTAGGTGCCCCCAGCTCTGCTCCCTCACAGGTGCACGTTGATGCCCCCATCCCCCAGGCTCAGGCTGCACCTGTCCCTGCTGCCACACAGGGTGTTGTGCTGCTTGGCTGCCTGGGAGCTGGTGCTGGGTGTTCTCTCGGGGTCCCATTGCCGTTGCTGACATCACAGCAAGAGCCTCACCCCAGCCTCTGCCTGCCTCAGAGGACGGCTTGCCAGACAACCAGAGGGAGCTGGAGAGTGCCACCCACTCCTTTGCCCTTCCTCCTTTGCAGCCCACCCCAGCCAGGCTTCACAGGCACCAGACCAACTGCTCTGAATCCCACCATGACTCCTCAGCATCCCCAGGGGAGAGCCAAATCCCTCAGCTGGCATTCAAGGCCCTACACAATCTGGCCTCAGTTTGCCTTCTGGTTTCTCTCCTGGCACACTCTCCTGAGCTCCACTCTGTCTGCCTTTGCCAAGCTGTGGGTTACCCTTGTATCCTTGCCTAGCACCCCCTCTAGATTCAGCATCGGCCTGAGAGGTGGGGAGCCTCTTCCTCTTCAGCCCCCTCTGCCCCGTCCTCACCTGGTCCTAGCAGGGAGCTGGTAGGGATCCTTCTGGGACCCTGGTCCCTGGCTGGGGGTGGGGGTGAGCCACAGAGGAGGAAAGGCTGAAGGGTGGGTGGTGCTCTCAGCCTTCCTCCAGTTGTCTGGCAAGCCATCCTCTGAAGCTGGCCTAATTCCCTTCAGAGCCCGGCTCCCATCTTCAGGGTGGGGCTTAGGGAGCTGAGAGCCCAGCGCTAATGCCTAAGAAAGTCGTGGGTGGATTAGAAATCGAGGGGGATTAGGGCCAGAGCTGGTGGCTGATGCAGGAGCGGAGCCCCTCCCTCTGAGGAAGAGGAGGCTAATCCTGCTTAGCGACTGAGGAGCTGTCATGCTGACGGGGGCTTCTTCCCATCCACTTGGGCTGCCCAGGCCCAACAGGAGCAGCATGAACACCCATCCACTCCCTCTGTCCTCCAAACTTTTTGTCTCGTGTCCCTCCAAGCCATCCTGCTCTGCCTTGTCCTCCACAGAGCCCCAGCCCTCCACATAACCTCAAAACTTCTCATGCTGCTGTGCCCACCAAAACTGCCCCATCTAGCCATGTCCACCAACATTCATTACCACCTACATCTCCATGAACCGAGCCATCGCTAGGGCCCATTCATCCCTCTGCCCAGAAAGTCTGCAGTGGATGCTGTGGTGCTGCCCAGATTGCCCTTGAGGGCCGAGACATTCCTGCAGTGCTGGGAGTGTTGGCCGCTGTGGCCTCACGGTTGAGTTCCTTCCCGGGGAAGTGTCCTCAGCTGCCTCTCCCAAGGTTATGTCCCCTTGTTGGGGGCAGTCCACAGGCGACTGGTCAATGCGGGAGTCTGGCCTCCCCACTTCAATCTGGGACATCTCTGAAAGGCCA
Source organism: Homo sapiens (assembly GCF_000001405.40). NCBI lineage: Eukaryota > Metazoa > Chordata > Mammalia > Primates > Hominidae > Homo > Homo sapiens. Next base: position 46,459,702 of record NC_000001.11, read on the forward strand.
TCCCAGCAGCAGAATGGGATGTGAGACTGGCCAAGGCCACTGTTGCAAGGGCAGCCCAGTTCAACCTCTCCCTCTGGCTGTTGCGGTGTCCCTACTGCCTCACCAGGCCATTGTTCCCCAGAGCATTCCAAAGACCCCACTGCACACTCCCTTCCTGATCTCTGCAAGAAATCTCACCTTTCACTTTCTTAAGTCCCAGGTTCGAGGATGGAAGATTAGATTGATCAGGGAAGGGTCTGGATTAGGAACTTCTGACCTGGATATTGAGTGAGGACCAGCAGTCCCTTCCCTGGGGATTAATCCTCCTCAGGGCTCCTTTAGTTTTAGTGGTGTAGGTAGCAGCCCCATGGGCTGAGAAGGGAGAGAGGTGCTGCCTTGGAAAGCCAGTCTGGGATCCTGGCCTCAAGGGGGAGGCAGATTCTGTCTGGGGAGCTGATTAAGGAATGGGAGCTTCATCTGAGAGTGGAAACAAATCGTGCCTCCCTTCAACTCCCCATGAGTCTGGCTTGAGAGGAGAGGCAGAAGTCTGACTTGGGACCCTGCTCTGAGCAGGGAGGAAGGACTCTATAATGAGAGCTGAGTCTGAGGGTGCAGGCTGGCCTCTAGACCAAGAGAAGAGGCCGGTGCCAACCCAAACTGCCTGCTCTACTGGGTCCCTGGCCCCACCATCAGCTGGGTCTTCGCTTGCCAGCCTTGGCTGGCTCTTCAAGCAGGCAGCCAGTGTGATGCCTGCACTGGGGGAATGGGTCTATGTGTTAATAATGGGAGGGCATTGGAGAATAACTAGAGAGGGTGTTGGAGAATAGCTGGCTCCTTGGTGCCATCAGGGTTGAAGCTCTGTGGGGATGGAGACCTTCCTGCATGCAGGGCCTCTGAAAAATGCTGGTCCCAGGGTAACTTGAGAGCAGGGGCAGGGAAGGGGATGGATTGACCTTTGAGAGTCAGTTTGGGATGTGGGGTCAGTGGAGGGGGACCACTCCCACTCTGTTCCCTACCTTTGATGGACAAATGCTAATGACATTACCAGCGATTGACTAGAAACGAATAAATAATTCAGTCTGGCCTGAAAATGGGAGAAAAGTACTTAAATGCTATTGACAAGCCAGTCCCTGGTCTCATTACCCATGCAGACTCAGGCCTCCACATCGACCATGTCCCCCGATTCCTCCAAACCCCACTGTGGGCAGCCTCAGGCTTCCCTCCCACCAACCTGCCCCAAGTAGCGTGTGCGGAGGGTTACCTGAGGAGACCAGGTGGAGGGCTGAGGCTTGTGGCTCAGACCACAGGGACCCCACTGCCCAAAGGACAGCAGTCCCCCAAGTTCTTCCCCTTTTCCCAGATACTGGCAGCAGCGTCTCTTCACAGGCAGGGCGGTCCTGGGAAGTCCCTCTGTAGCCCCGCTCCAGGTGTACATGCACAGGGGTACAGGCGGGCACTCACAGGGACACACAGAGCCCGCCCCACAGCTGCGGCATCCTCTTCCAGGACACAAGAAGAACAGTGACCCCCAGGGCGGCTGTCAGTCACTGTGCTCTCTGGGAATACAAACTCATTAAACGTTTCCCTGCCTTGTCCCAGGGGCCCTAGTCCCCGAGTCAAGCCTGAGGAGAAGGAGGAGGAGGAGGAGGAAACAAATGTGCAGCTGATCCTTTCAAAGCACATCCTGTATTTCTGACCCTGGAGAAGAGATGAGGGGATTACTGAGGGTGAGGATTACCCCTGGAAGGCCTTCTCTGTGGGTTCCTGGGGAGCTAGCATTTCTAGCCCCTATAACACACCCACAACTCCTCCAAACAACAACTCTACAAAACAAAACCTTCCATTTTCTTTAAGAGTCTCCCTCTCTCTCTTCCTTAGCTGCCTGGGCTTGACACCCCTTCAGGGTGCCTCCTCTGGTGTTAACAATCGGAAGCCAACAACACCTGCTGGTCAGAGATAGGGGAGCCTCAGAGACCCTTTAGCCCAAGGGATGGGTCACAAACAAGGACTCAGTGGAGGGGAATTTGAGAGAGCAGGCTGTGGCCTTGGACCCGGGCACTGCATGATGCTCCAGTGGATATGAAGGGGTCTATTCCAGCCCAGCCCAGGAAATCATTCTAAAAGGGACCCTATCTCTTTGCAAACCAAATAACCTTCTCTCTGGGTGTGGGCAGAGGCCCTGGCAGCCCCCCAGTGCCTATCACTGGTAGACCTATCTCCTCCCTCCCTTTGGAGACCAGACCCTTCACCTTGCAGTCTGTAGGGTTTGGGCTGGGGTTGCCAGTCCCTGCCTCCCTCCTGGTCTCCTCCCTACTGCCTGCCAGAACTCTGCCCCAACTAGGCTTGGCCTCAGAATATACCTGGACCAGCCCCTCCCTTTCACTGTCCCTGCCCCACAGAAGTCCAAGGGCTCCTCAGCTCTCCATGCACAGCACCCCCCACCTCTGGAGTGGGCTGAAAAACTCTGCTGTCCTGCTCATCATCCAGAAGGCCCTTCTTGTTCTGCATTTCCTCCCACCGTTGTGTCCCACGGGGAGTCATTTATCTGATCGACTGGCTCTCCTCAGTGCAAACATTCACAGGAGCATTAACAAGCCTAAAACCCAATTAGCCTTCAATTACTCAGGCCTTAGTCAGATTTTCTGTGGTGGGGACAGGGTTGAGGAATGTATTTGGACACTGCCTGGGTGGTACTCCTGCCCTTTGGCCAACGCCCCCACCCATGCACTAGCACTCCTGTTGCAGCCAGCCTGCTCTCCTCTGCGCTCCCTCCTGCCCTATACCACCTTCTTTCCTTCTTATTCTTCTCTCCTGACCCCTTTCCTACACCTCTCTAAAAACAATCATTGTTTTAAAATGTACATACCCAATACATGGGTTTGCAAAAACTCATAAAAACATAATGCAAAAGAAAAGAAAATGAAAAGCTAAATCCCGCTCTACCTCCCATCCTGTAAATCCTGCTGTCAGTAATTGGGGGTTCTCATTCCTTCCCTGTGTTGGATTCTATACATTTACAACCCCCCTCAACATAGTTTTAAGTGTTCTTTAAACATCTTCAAATTGGGATCACACTATATATGAATAGTCATATAACTATTCATACCTACTCTTTTTTCTTTCTTTCTTTTCTTTTCTTTTCTTTTTTTTTTTTTTTTTGAGACAGAGTCTTGCTCCATCACCCAGGCTGGAGGTGCAGTGGTGCGATCTTGGCTCACTGCAGCCTTTGCCTCCGGAGTTCAAGCGATTCTCCTGCCTCAGCCTCCCCAGTAGCTGGAATCCTAGGCATGCCCACCATGCCTGGCTAATTTTTGTATTTTTTCGTAGAGACGGGGTTTCACCATGTTGGCCAGGCTGGTCTCAAACTCCTGACCTCAAATGATCCGCCTGCCTCGGCCTCTCAAAGTACTCGGATTACAGGCATGAGCCACCATGCCCGGTCCATACTTATTCTTTTCACCAACCAATGACATCTTATTTAGTTCGTACTTCTCTTTTCCTTCATCTACTTTCCCTCTGTACCTCTCCTGCATCTTTCTATACCTCCTCCTTCTCCTTGGACACATAGTATTCCATGGTTTGGACACCCTCTGATATATTTAATCAGCCCCTTCTTGATGGACATTTAGTTGTTTCTAATGTTTGGCAATGACAAGCATCATTGCAGGGACCAGCTCTGTACTTACATTATGTGCAGAAGTCAGAGTTTCTGTGGGACAGATTCCTAGAGTTGGAATTATTTGGCTACAGAGGATGCATATTTAAAATTTTGATAATTATTGCCAAATAATTAATCAATAATTGCCCTTTATCTCCAGAACCTCCAAGGTTGTACCAATTTGTACTCCCAAGAGTCTCCATTTCACCCTACTTTCATCAGTATTTGGTATTATCTTTTTTAAAATAATATTGGCCAGGTGCAGTTTCTCATACCTGCCATCCCAGCACTTTGGGAGGCCACAGTGGGTGGATCACTTGAACTCAGGAGTTCAAGACCAGCCTGGGCAACATGGTGAAACCCCCGTCTCTACAAAAAATACAAAAATTAGTTGGGCATGATGGCTTACGCCTGTAGTACCACCTACTTGGGAGGCTGAGGTGGGAGGCTGGGAGGATTGCTTCAGCCAAAGATTGAGGTTGCAGTGAGCCATGATTTTGTCACTGCACTCCAGCCTGGACAATGAAGTGAGATGCTATCTCAAAAAAAAAAAAAAAAAAAGATTACTATTTTTATTTTAATCTCATTTGATTTGTACTTCTTTTTCCTCATCTCCTTTCCCTCTTCACCTCTCCTTTACTTTTGTGCCTCACCACTTCCTCAATTCCCTCCCTCCTACCTTGCTCCTGTCTCTCCTTCAGCCCCCTCTTTCCTCACCTCCTTTGTCCCTTCCACACGTTCTTCCCCATATCTTCTCATTCTTTCTTTCCCCTCCTCTTCTCCCTCCTCCCTTGGGTACTGCAGTCCCCGGGGGAGGGCAGCCAGAGAAGCTATTAGCTCTGCCCCCCTAATACTCTGAGTCCCACTCGCCTCTTAACACCTCCCTGAGCCTGGGCCTCTAAGCCCCATCTCACTCTCGTCTCCCTCTAATCACTAAGGCTTATTTCTGATTTTCTGAAGTGACAAGGAGCTGGGTTTTGGGGGAGGGAGGGCTGTCAGCCAGCATCTCCCAGGATTGAGGGAGGGAAGGATGCAGGGAGGGAGGCCTGGCTGGTGGGATGGGGTGGTGGAGACTCTGGCTAGGCCCTCCTCACTCTGAACAGGGAGGCCAAGTTCTCCAGCCCCTTCTGCCTTGGCTGATAGTGCATATGCTTCCAACCTTAGGATGTTCTTTTAGGCTAGATTCTATTTTCTCTGGTTTCCTCTGTAAAAAGGAAAGCGACTTCCTCCCCTCCCTTCACTCAGGGGAGCCTCTGTGGACAGGGCCTCTAATGCCCTTCTCCCTCCCTTGCCACCACCCTGCTAGGAGAATCCTGCCCTCATCTCTCCCTGCCTCACCTCTTTGATCCTGTAAGTGGGAAAAGCCTCCAGGCTGCAAAGCCTATGTCTTCTGCTTCCCACCTTATAGAAATCCCGGTCTCCCCTCCCCTGTCCCAAATCCATCCCTCCAAAAGCTCAGTGAATTGGCATAAATTTAATTAAGGACAGCAGCAAATCTCTCGTCGTTTTAAAGACATTTAAGGTTTAAAATACATGCTGAGAGTGGAGGTCTCAAGAGAGGTGGGATGAGGGGGCCAGAACTAATTCCGGGGAGGTACAGTTGGGCCTCTGTTCTAGCCCTAGTGAGTGACCCTGGGTGCTCCCCTTGGTGTCTCTGAGCCTTGATTTCCTCATCAGCCCCCTAAAAGTTCTGCAAGGCCCAGCAGGACTACCTTGCTCTCGCCTGGAAGTGTTCTTGCTGTGCTAATTTAATTACATGGCCTAACTGGGCCCAGGCTGAGGAGACAGTTAATGGCAGCTGCAGAGACAGTGAGTAATCAAGAATTAATTAAGCGTTTCTGGGGATTCCCAAGTCTAGGCTAGGGATTCCTGGGAGCCTGGCTATGGCTGGGCAGGAGTGGGGCCCCTCTAGCTACCCCCTACCCTTTCCTGGCTCCTCAGGAGTTGGGGAAACAGCAGGCCCTAGGTGCAGGAAGGTTCTGAGTAAAGGGCTGTCCATCCACTAAGGCAACCTCAGATCAATGGGATATGGAACCACACAGTGGGGGCCGGGCACAGTGGCTCCTGCCTGTAATCCTACCACTTTGGGGGGTTGAGGCAGGAGGATTGCTTGAGCTCAGTAGTTAAGACCGGCCTGAGCAACATGTTGAGGCTTCATTTCTACAAAAAATCAAAAGCAAAAAATTACCTGGGCATGGTGGCAGCTGTCTGTACTCCCAGTTACTCAGGAGGCTGAGGTGGGAGGATTGCTTCAGCCTGGGAGGTTGAGGTTGCAGCGAGCCATGATTACACCACTACTGCACTCCAGCCTGGGTGACAGAATGAGATCCTGTCTCAAAAATAAATAAATAAATAAATAAATAAATAAAATAAACCCTCACAAGGGCCAGCAGTGGGGTGGGCTGTGTGGAACTGAACAGGTGCCTGTGCCTGTGGGTCTGGGACATTTTTGTGAAGGGCTTAGCCTGTGTCGAGGCTGGGATCAGTCCACGCTGGGTGAGTGAAAAAAAAATGTGGCATTTCAGCCTCTGGGCTTTGGAGTCAGGCAGCCCTGAGTTTCAGTCTCTGCATTACTATTTGCTAATAGTGTGCCCTTGGCTGAGGGCTCCCCCCAAAATGCTTTACCCTCTGCCCCAATGCTTGTCCTCTAGACATTCCCAGAGCAGGTTCCTTCATGCCATGCAGATTTCAGCCAAAACGCACCTCCTTAAGAAGCCATCTTTGACCACTCAGTCTCATTTACCTCCCCTTCCCCTACAGTCACTGCCACATCACCTTGCTTTATTTTCCGTTCATTTATTTCTTGTTTCCTGTGTGTCGCCTGCCTCCTTCACTAGAGTCAAATTCCACGGAGGCAGAGACGGGGTCGGTGTGGCTCACAGGGGTATCTGCCGAACCCCAAACAGCGCTGGACACACAGAAGGCGCTGGGAGAAGGAAGAGGCCTCTCTGAACCTGTTCCCTCACCTGGAAAGTGGGGCTAATCACATAACCCTGCAGTCTCTGAGGTGGTTGTGAGGGGGATTCAGAGAGGGGACCCGGGGAGCTCTGAGCGCAGTGCCAGGCCCGGACGTGGTCACCGCCTTGTCACTTGCGCATTTCATGCTCTGGCCTCCCAGGCCGGGCGATGCGGCCGCGGGGCTGCAGCTCCCGGCGAGGCCCGCCAGGCCCCCGCCCCGCCCCGCCCTCCTCGGGCCCCGCTCCTTCCCAGGCGCCCCCGCGCCGCCGGCGCTTTGAAGTCCCAATCCGGCAAATAGAGTCAATCAATTATGAAGGGAACAATCTGGCGGCCCCTCGGGGAGCGGCGGCCGAGCGATCCCGGGGGATTAGGCCGCAAATCGCGCTGAGCCTCCCTAAGTGACAGCGAGAGAATCGCGCGCGGCGGCGACGGCGGCGGCGGGAGCGGGAGGGAGCGCGGCCGCTAACCCGATTATGCAGATCCGCGGGGGGCGCGGATTAGGCCTCGGGGGCGGCTTCGCCCTAAGCGGCTCTCGGATTTGGGAAAAGTTTACTCGGGCGGAGGGGGCGGAGACTCCCCCGGGCGGGCGGCCGGGACTTCTCCCAGCCGGGTGAATGGAGGACCCGCCTGCAGGAGCAGCCGCGAAAGAGTGGAGCGGGCGCGCCTGCTGAGCCACAGCCACAGCAACACTTTGCAGGCGTGCACACTCACACGCACACCCAGGCCACAACAGCCGTGTCTGCACCAGCCCACGGGCGCACGCGCGCTGCCCACGATCACCCTCCCAAGCCACAAAACACTCGCGAACGTGCGAGGCCGCACCAGCCCACATAGCCAGACCCACGCCGGCTCACACGCGCACGCAGCACTGCCTCGTGCTCACACAAGCATGCACGTACTCACAGACACGCAATTTGATGTTCGGATACCTGCCTCCTGTGGTTCCAGCAGAATCCCTCAGTGACACAAGGTGTCCCTGCCAGCCTATGTAGACGTAGGACTGGTGCACGGCCCTGCACCTGTGCTCTCCCACGGACCTCCCTGCAGCTCCTCTCCTCTGAAGGACCTTGAGGACAAGTGTGTGTTAGTGTCTGTGAGTGTGTGTGTGTGTTTGAGCGTGGCCTGTCTCTGGAGTCTGGGCCCAGTTTTGGCTTCTGCAACTGGGGCCTTCTCAGGGTAGGTGGAAAAGACTGAGGCAGGACGCTGGGATGGAAACAGGCCGAGTCCTCTTGGTGACTCTGGCTAAGGGGTCCTCTCCGCAGGGCTGGGGATCCAAGACATTCCTCACCAGGCCCCTCTGGGCCAGCCCCTTCCCTGAGGTGCTATCAGGGAGGAGGCAGGGGAGAGGGAGAGTGGCTTCCTTTTACCCATCTAGGAAAACGACACAGAACCCAGTTCCAAGCCTACCCAATGCAGGATGTGGGAAAGGCTCAGTCAGACTCGTTTCATTTGTAAAACGCCCATTGTGTGTGATCAGTGTGTGTCCATGGTCCATACATGTGTTCATGCTCAGTGTGTGTCCACAGTCTTTGTGTATGTCCATGGTAATATATATGTTTTTATACAGCATGTGTTTGTGGTCAGTGGAATGTGTATCTCTAGCCTCACACCCCTTGCACAAACATCACATCACACACAATGACTGTGGACACACACTGACCACAGACAGGCACTCATCATGGACACATACAATGGCGATGGACACACTGTTCTCTCTCTGACACACACACACACACACACACACACACACACACACAACTCCCGATAGAGACCAATCCTTTGAATGGACAGATGGTGGACATTGAATTGTTGCCATAGTGGCACAGGGCATTGGGTGTGGTGGCTTACACCTATAATCCCAGCATTTTGGGAGGCTGATCAGGTGGATCACTTGAGGCTAGGAATTCGAGACCAGCCTGGGCAACATAGTGTGGCCCTGTCTCTATAAAAAAAAAAAAAAAATTAAAAATAAAAAACCCAGAGTGGCAGAGGGTAATTGCTGTGGCATGGAGGGCACTCCACCCCATGCCCTAGGCAGTGATGGAGTGACCCTGTGGCTGACTGGATCAATGAGGAAAGAGGGGTCAGGGTCAATAAGTCTTTAGCAAGCAGGGAACCGGCTGTTGCCTCCAGCCCCCATGCTGCGTGCATGTGTATGCCTGTGTGTCCATCACACCCACCACTCTTGTCACACACACAGAGGGTGTGTGTGTGTGTGTGTGTGTGTGTGTGTGAGTTATCTCCAGAATCTGGGATCCACCTCGAGGTGGCCTGGGCTGGCCCCTGGGATCCCGGTCATGGTGGGATGGGGTGCTCTATGGCAGGGTGAAGATGTGCGCTGGGTAGTTTAGTCTACTGGGGTCAGTGAGAGTGATGGGGGAGACAGGCATGTGCCCCTCCCTGTGTAGCCATAGCTAAGCCCTGGCCTTGTCTGGGCCTGGTTCTCTCACTGGCTTTTCCTCCTCTAGCCTTTCTGGTTCGGAGTCCCTGGGAGGAGAAGCCAGAAGAGTCAGACCCTTGAGAAGAAATCCCATCAAACCCTCTTCTCTGGGGCATCCCTGACCCACTGGACAGGACCCACCAGGCAGCCTCACCCCCCCATTAAGGTGTCTAGCCCCCTATGGGGCAATCGGGCCCAATTTCACGCTTAGGAAGGCTTCCTCTGGCCACCAATGGGGCAGATCTGATTAGGCGGCTGCAGAGAGTGCTTGGTCACAATTAATCAGCAGCCAGGGGTGGGCAGAGGCCCACCCACGCAGGAGCCCCATCCCAGGGGTGCACAAGTCAGGCCTATGGAGCTAGAGGGAGTGAGGATGGGAAAAAGCAGGCCCCCACACACCCAGGGAACCTCCAGGTGGGGGCTGGGCCATGGCCTCCTTCCCCAGAGCCCTGCCCTGGTCCAGATCCTGCTGCACCCCTTAGTGGATGTATATCCTTGGGCAAGATACTTAGCCTCTCTATGCCTCAGGCCTCATCTTTAAAATAAGGATGAAAACAATACCTTCCTCATAGGACCTATAAAAGAAAATGTAAAGCAGGTAGCAGAGTGGCTGGCACCTAGTAGGTGCTCAAGCTGTAGGAACTTCTATTATTGTTACTATAGTTTTTAGTTCAGAATAGGCAGACAGGCAGACTGCAGAAAGAATCTAACAGCCAATGAGCTCTTGAAACCCCCTCCCCCAAAGGAGGATGGCTGGGGAAAAGGGAGACTTTTGGGATCCACTGCAATTTTCCCCACCCCATTCAGGCTCATCACTTAGGAGAGCACAGAGGGGATGGGGAGCCAGTCTGGGGCAGCCTGCCCTGTGGGGAGGGGAGCCTGAACTCCCTCCTCTCCCTCCAGTCTCCAAGTGTGTGTGTAGGGGTGGGTGAGAAGAGGAGAGGCTGAATCTGAAGTGGCTCAGTGGCTCAGTTGTTTCAGGCCAGAAGCCATTACCTTCCCGGAGAGAGAAGCCCACAGCCCATCTGAGGCTGGGGCAGGGGCAAGCGGGGGTACAGATCGGAGTGAGACTCCGGGCCCGCCCTGGGGCCTCCTTGCCTTCCCCGTTCCCCTTGTCTGCCCAGGTGAAGAGGCAAAGTCCCTGCTCTTCTCCAGTTTGGGTCTGCTTGGCACTGGCCCAGGGGGTGGGGTGAGAAGGGGACCAGGAGGAGAGAGGGGTCCCTGCCTGCAGTGCCTTCTGTGATTGTCATTGATTGTGCCTACTGTGTGCTAGGGGCCAGGCATCTCCTGTTTACTTTGTACCCTTGACACAGCTGGAAACCAGCAGGGACCTTTTCAAGAAAGTCATCCGATTATCTAGCCTGGGGGCGTGACTGGACAGTGGGAATGGGAACATTTCCATATGAGGGACGTTGGAGTGTGGACTGGAGGGATGGGGGCTTGAGACTCTGCCTGCTGGCTTTGCATAGCAAACGTGCTGTCTTATGAAGATTGCCTGCCTATTTAGGACTGCTCAGGACTGCTGGTAATTGAGGGAAGGGCTAGTGCCGCCTAAATCACCCGGACACCACTGGGGTTAAGCTCAGGGAAAGCACTGGCCTACAAAAGTCCAGGCCCAGAAGTCATTTGAGCTCAAGATGGCAGTCTGTTGGGTCATCCCAAAGGTGGATAAAGGGCGTCAGGGATGGGCTGAACCCCCAGGCGTGGGCTGTGTGCACGTTCTTACCCAGGAGTGGGACTGTAGGTTTGTGTGCAGCCCACATGCAGGGCATCCTGGAAAGGGCTTATTTTGCCTCTTCAGCAAGCACCTCCCCCATCGCTGCTGGGTGCTTGGACCCTCTGAGTGCGACGGATGCCACTGGGTCCTCTTCTGCCTCATGCCCTCCTGGCTTCTATCCTCTTGGCCTCTCTACTCTTGGCTGCTCCATGTCCCTGTTTCTACCTCTTAGTGTCTTGTCAAAGGCCTGTGAATCTGTGTCCCTGTCTCTGTCTGGCTGTATCTCTCTCTGTCTCTGTGATGATCTCCGGCTCTTCCTTGTCTGTCTCTAAATCTTGGTGTCTCTCCATCTGTACCTCTCTGCTTCAAGGCTCATCTTGCCCTCGGCAAGCCTCTGTGTGGCTCAATGTGGTCTCTGTGCTCAGGTTTTGTTTTTTGTTTTTTGTTTTTTTTGAGACAGAGTCTTGCTCTGTCACCCAGGCTGGAGTGCAGCGACATGATCTTGGCTCACTGCAACCTCTGCCTCCCAGGTTCAAGCAATTCTCGTGCCTCAGCCTCCCGAGTAGCTGGGATTACAAGCATGTGCCACCACACCTGACTGATTTTTGTATTTTTAGTAGAGATGGGGTTACACCATGTTGGCCAGGCTGGTTTTGAACTCCTGGCCTCAAGCAATCCATCCGCCTCTGCCTCCCAAGGTGCTGTGATTACAGGCATGAGCCACTGAGCCTGGCCTATGCTCAGGTTCTAAGGATGCTGTAGGTCAGGAGCTGAATGGAGAGAAGAGGCTGGGAGACAGGGTGTCCTGGATGCCTAGTGTCCCCTCTGAGGGGATTTATTCTTCAGAATCTGCACTTGGACTCAGTCTAGGTCAGTCCAGGAACACTCTGAAGGCCCCAAAGACTTCGCTTCCCACTTTATACTGTGTTTCAAGGGAAGAGCCTTGCCTCCATTCAGACAGGCAGCCAATTTCTCTGCAATTTCCTCCTTTCTCCATTTTTTTTTTTTCCAAAATGAGAAGGAATAGAGCAATGATTTTTGGAGTCAAACAAACTCAAGTTCAAGTTCTGGACTTGCTAGTAGTAAGCTCTGTGATAAGGAGTAAGGTATTTGATCTCTCTCAGCCAGGGACACCTCATCATCTATAAAATGGCGATAGGAACAGTCCCTATCTCTCTGGATTGTGGTGAAGTAAAATGTGTAAAGCACTTAACACAGAGCCTGACTCAAGAACTGGAAGCCATTTTTATTGCATTTCCTTGATTTTTTGTTTACAGAGCCCAACACATGCGTAGACCCATAGGAATCTTATTGAATGAATGCAGAGTTCTCTGTTGTTCGTTTCCTTATTTTCCTTCTGGCTCCCTTTCCTTCTATGGATGAATGGGCCAGGAGAACCTTTTGAGCATCCCGTATGCACCCAGCCTTGAGCCTGGTTCTGCAAATGGTGACAGGCTCTGTAAACAATAATGAGATCTATATGTGGGGTTTGGCTCTGCAAATAGGGTCTTTGTAAAGTCTAGGGTTCTGAAAATGGTAACATGTTCTGCAAATTATCATTGGATCTGTGACAGTGACAGATTCAGAAATCAGTGATGGGATGTGCTCTGCAGATGGTAGTAGGCTCTGCAAATACTGATGAGCTTTGCATATGATTTCAGGCTCTGCAAACAATGGCAGGCTGCAAACTTTAAGGCTCTGCAAACAATGATGAGCCTTATAAATAGGGAGAGACTCTGTGAAGGGTAATGGGCTTTGCAAATAGTGATGGCAAGCCGCGATAGGCTCTGAAAAAACTGAATAATCATTCTTAAAGGACAAGAGATCCCTCCTGTGGGTCCCTAAAGAATAAAGCTCTGTCTCAGTACCATGGACAGCAAGCCCCCCCTCCCCTCCACCGCCCCCAGCCGCCCGCCTGCCCCCCTGCCAACACACACACACATCCCATTCCCTTCCAGGCCTAACTAGATCGCCTCTGTCCACTTATTCACTGATGTTGGGTATGTGTTGTGGGGTGGAGGATGTAAGTGAGAAGTAGGACAAGGAGAAGAACAAGGCCATGTTCCCACTCTCAAGGCTTTCAGTTGGTCGAGAAGACAGACTTCTAAGTAGCCAAATAGAAGGATTGTGTCTGTGTTGACAAATCTGTTCTCAGCGTAGCTATTTGTGAGGTAGAAGGTATCTTTCCACATCAGAGGCTCTCAGAATGCTAAAAGGGTGTTTAAACTACATTGGGCCTCCTAGGGGAACTGAGAAGTCAGCTTTGCAAAGCATGTCTTGCAGGCTCCAGCCGACCTTAAATTCTAGCTGGCACCTGAATAGCTTTGTAGCAATTTAAATTTCTTTGCCTGTCCTTTCCAGATCTGGCCACATTAACAGGTCTGTATCACAGGGCACATGCATACCTCTCAGAGTACAGGGCCTAGGGAGGGTAAAACAAGAATCTGTTTTAGATGGGCTGTGAGTAAGGAGCAACGGTGCTGAGGGTCTGATGGTTGTTGAGAGTGGGATGGAGACGATGACATCATCGAGGTGGAGATAGTTGGATAGCCATGGAGGTGGTGGTGGTGCTAACATGCTGGTGGAGGTGGGGGAAGAGCTGGAATGTTGACAATGATGAAGGTGACAGGGAAGTGATGGATATAGTCAAAGTACTGTGGGCAAAGTAGGCCCTAATGGGAGATAGGTTGACTTCTGGTTCTGACATTAGCCGTGTGACCCCAGGCAACTTATTTAACTTTTCTCTGCCTCAGTTTCCTCTCCCATAAAATAGGGATGCTAATAATGCCTACCTCATAGAGTTCTTGTGAGGATTAAATGAGTTAATAAAATCTACACAATACTTAGACTAGTGCCTGGCCCATAATAAATACTATCTAAGTGATAGCTGCTATTACTTGTTTTTTGTTTGTTTGTTTGTTTGTTTTTGTTTTTTTTGTTTTTTTTAGATGGAGTCTCAGTTTGTCGCCCAGGCTGGCATGCAGTGGCGAGATCTCGGCTCACTGCAACCTCACCTCCTAAGTTCAAGTGATTCTCTTGCCTCAGCCTCCCTTAGTAGCTGGGATTACAGGCGCATGCCACCACACCCAGCTAATTTTTGTATTTTTAGTAGAGACAGGGTTTCATCATGTTGGCCAGGCTGGTCTCGAACTCCTGACCTCAGGTTATCCACCCACCTCCTGATCTCAGGTGATCTGCCCACCTCAGCCTCCCAAAGTGCTGGGATTACAGGCATGAGCCACTGCGCCTGGCCTGCTATTTCTGTTAAGGAGGGCAGTGGAGGTGGTGATGATGAAGGTGGGAGTGGTGGCAATGAAGTTGATAATGGTGAGAATAGGGATAATAATAATGAGGATAAGATTTATTGAGTACTAACTATGTACCCTGCACTATTCTAAGTACTTTATATGTAATAACTTGTTTAATCATGACAGCCCTCTGAGGTGGCTAATATTACCCTCATTTAAAGACTATGAAACTTAGACACCGAGGGGTTAAAATATGTGATCCAAGGCGACACAGCTAGTAAATGGAGGTGCTCCAGAGCCTGTGCTCATAACCATTGCTAAGTGGGGATGAGGATGGAGTTGGTGATAGCAGTAGTGATTATGGTGTCCTTGTGGAAGCAGGGTTGGGGGTGGAGACCATGGTCGAGGTGGCCTGGGCAGCAGTGGCTGTGGTGATGACAGGAGGAGGCGGCAGTGAAGTGCTGATGGAGGAGGTGAAGGTGATGGGGTCTGCGGGGGCAGTGAAGGCCGGCTACAAGAACACCCACTGCCCAGCTCCCAGCAGGGCTTTGCAGCTGCTGCTATGAGGCTGTGCTCTGAGAGCAGGGAGGACAGCAAGGAGCTCACTTTCTGTTCAGCAGCTGGGGGTTGTAGGTCCCAGACAGTGAAGTGGAATGGAAACAGGCAGACTCAGGGTAGAGGGGTAGAGGGGTAGAGGGATGTGCAGGGTTTTCCACTGGCTCTCCACCCTTTCCCCGCAATTTGGCATTCTCTGACCCCATAACTACCAAGTCTGCACGCTCCATGCCAGGGCCTGATCTGCACTAATGGAGCAGACAGCAGCAGAGGTAAGCTGCCCACCCCATCTGAGAACCTCCCTGCCTCGCGCCCGCCCAGTGCCAACTCTGGTCTGCTTCTCGCTTGCTGCTGCGCTGAGGGGAAGCCTTAATAGAGAATCCGCCTCTGTGCCGCCGCCCCCCACCCGCCAGCCCATCCCTATTATCAACACCATCAACGGCGGCAAATGACACTCTCGGAATCTTGACTCCAATCTGATGCCTGGTCCCCGGAGCCGCAGAGAGGCGCAGGCCAGCCAGGCTGGGGGCGCTGGGGAGGGTATGTGCAGTAATAGGATGTGGCCGAGGATGGTCTATTAGCAGCAGCGCAACCGCTGATGAGCCCCCTCCCTAGCCCCTTGGCGTCCCCATCCCCGCTCAGCCAGGCACAGCAAGAGGCCTGGGGGCTGCTGGGGTGGGGAGCAGGAAGGAAGGCAGCTGCGGGGGTGGGGCTAGGCTAAGCCATCCTCAAGTCCAGACATCAGGCTCTCTTGGGGGGACATGGGGATAGGAGGGGGAATCTGAAGAAATGAGGCCACTCAGACACTTCCTTCTGACCATGTGTCTGGGGAGGAAGAGGAGTAGGGGAGCAAGTGGTCTGTCTGAAGGTGGGTGATTTTTCCTGTTGCTCCCTGGGAGCAGCCTGGGGTTTCAGGTCTAAGGAGCCTCAAGGAACATGCCATCCAGCCTTCCTTCTCTGGCCTCACCTGGAAATCTCTCTGGCATGGGAAGCTCAGCACCTCCCTGGGCTGCCTCTCTCATTGCTAAGTGCCTCCTCATTTGGAGTACTGATTGGTCTTTCAGGACTTACTTTAGATCAAGATTTACCTTAGACCAAGACCCCTCCGAGGCCCTCACCCCACAACCAAGACAACCTTCCAGGGTTTTGGAGCCAGAAGGTAGGTCTCATTTGCTCACCTGGGCCCTCATCCCTCCTCCTGGCCACAGATCTTCTGATTGATGTATAGTATGTGTGTGGAAATGTTATAAGAGTCTGGGGGTGGATGGCTGGACCCACTACAGGGCCCTAGAGAGGCAGGGGAGATAGTGGAAGGAGCCCTGGGTGAGTGCAGGACACCCGGGTTCCAACCCAGATCATCTGCTGGTGACCATGGGTGAGTTACCCACATGGCTCACCCTAGTCTGCCTCCCCACAACAACCCCTCAACAAAGGCCTGCCAGGCAAGGTGGCTCACGCCTGTAATCCTAGCACTTTGGGAGGCCGAGGTGGGTGGATCCCTTGAGGACAGGAGTTCGAGATTAGCCTGGACAACACAGTGAAACCCCATCTCTACTAAAAATACAAAAATTAGGCGGGTGTGGTGGTGGATGTCTGTAATCTCAGCCACTCAGGAGGCTGAGGCAGGAGAGTTGCTTGAACTTGGGAGGCAGAGGTTGGCCACTGCACTTCAGCCTGGGCAACAGAGCGAGACTCCATCTCAAAAAAACAAAACAACAATGCAAAAAAAACAAAAACAAAAACAAAACAAAGGCCATGGCTGAGAAAAGGGGATGATGAAGTCAGCTTCTCTCCCTCAGGGGACTGGGTAGATCAATGCTTTAGGGGGTAAAAGTTATGAATTTGGGGCTGGACAGTCTATAAGCATAGTCTAATTAATACTCCTTCCACCCATGCATACACAGCACCACGTGGATAGAAGAAAATGAGGCAGAGTAGAAAGTGGGATTGGAGCCGGGCACAGTGGCTCATACCTGGAATCCCAACACTTTGGGAGGCCAAGGCGGGAAGATTGCTTTAGCCTAGGAGTTCGACACCAGCCTGGGCAACATGGTGAAACCCCGTCTCTACTAAAAATACAAAAAATTAGCCAGTAGCTGGGACTATAGATGGTACACACTTACAGTCCCAGCTACTTGGGAGGCTGAGGTGGGAGAATCACTTGAGCCGGAAAAGGGTAGGTAGGTGGGGTTTGAGGCTGCCAGTGAGCTGTGGCTGATTGCACCACTGCACACCAGCCTGGGCAATAGAGTGACATCCTGTCTTAAAAAAAAAAAAGAAAAAGAAAGAAAGAAAAGAAAAAGAAAAAAAGAAAGAGGGCTCTTGGGCCTGACTGTGTGTGCTGGGGTACACCATGGAGGGGCTGGAAGGCAGGGTTCTGTCCTGTCCTGAAGGGTGCCTGGTAGGCTAGGAGCCTTGGCACTTGGGCCAGCTGGACAAAGCTCCCTTCTGGGCTTCACAACAGGAGAGAAAGGCTGGGCCTGCCTTAGAGAGGACCCTTGGGACAGGCCAGAGAGGGAGGGAGAGGAGCCAAGCCTGGCTCACAAACCTCCCCTGACCCCTGCCAGGTCTGGGCCTCAGACCACGGCACTGAACTCAATCTGTTCTGCCCACTGCCCCCACCATGTCTCATAGTCCAGAGGCTACAGATGTCCAAGCTGTTTGCCTCTGCTGAGTGGCCACCCTCAGTGCCCCCAGCAGGGGCCTAGCCATCAGTCACAAGGCTGCCAGTCCTCAGGGCTGGACATGCAGAGCTGGATGTGGACCAGTGGATGGCAGGCAGCAGGGGGCACTGACTGCTACGCATGGGCTGCCTTGGAGGCCTCCCTATGCCTTCCCTGCCCCCTTTTCTCTCCCCCAGCCCACCTGTGCCCTCACCTGTGCCCATATCTCCATTCCCCTGTCACCTGGGTCTACTTTACCTGCCATGTCTCTGGGCCCTTCTCACCTGTGCCCCTCTGATTTGTCCCCTCTCTCTTCCTTCATCAGATCCCTCTCCCTTACCCCTCCTCTCCAGTCTCAGGGCCACTTCACCCCAGACTGACTTCTCCTGTTTCCTGTGTCGGTCTCTCCCTCCCGCTCCGTACCTTAGGGGTGGAAAAGTCAAGATTCAGCCTTTGAAACTCCATCTTTCCAACCTTGCTGCCCTTACCTCAGCCTGGCCCTCTCCTTTTCGAGGCAGCTGCCAGTGGGGGAATTGGAACATCAAGGCAGAATGGGTTTTTTGACCCAACCACGGGCATGTGGAGGTGAGAGGTGAAGGCCTTGTGTGATTGCGGGAGTACATAAAGAGCCTGGGAGGGGCACCCAGGGGAGAGGGTGCAGTTCTGAGAGCCAGACAGCAGGGGGCGGCCGATCCTTGGTGACGTCTGGTTTGTTCCTGTTCTTCAACCCCCTGGCTGGAATTACCCAAAGGGGTAAGTGTTGAGTACATTGTGGGTGGAACCCTAGGGCCCTCAGAAGGGGCAAGCTTTCTCCCAGTCTGAAGTTGGTCCTGGATTGTTAGCTTTTTAAAGAAACCCTTATCTGTTACCCCCAAAACCCCTCTCTATTTGAAATCCTGCAAGGGATGAGTGAGCTTGGGGTTTAGACCCTTGGAGGAAAGGGAGGGGAAAAACGCATTTTGGTTTTCCTGGGGAGCGCTATCTCCTCTGTCCTCAATCCTCAGGGAGGCTGGCATCTTGCCTCTTAAATGGTCCTATTTTGGGTTACAGAAGGAGTAAGAGTCTCCCTCCCAGCCCCCAAAGAATCCCCCTCTCTCATCTACAGGCAGCGTCCTCGCTCCACGGAACTCTCATACCTACACCAGCTCTGGAAGGGAGCAAGCCCAGGGCGTTCCCTATAGACCTCCTGTCCTGTGCTAATTGGCACAGAGGAGGGAGAAGGGTCTGGGAGGAGTGGGCCCTCCGTATGTGACAGTGTGACAGCAGGTGCATTCACCGTGTGTGCACAGGTGTGTGTGTATGAGAGAACCACAGTCCGGTCTGTTCTGTCGGTGAGTCCTGACATGAGTGTTTCAGTGCTCCCTTACCCCACTTTTGAGGAAGGAGCTGAGCCTGAGTGTGAGGTCACAGCAACTGTGTGTGACACTGATGCCAATTAGGTGGAGTAGCCCTCTGGGGCCTGCGTCACCACCCTCTTTGTCCTCAGTGCCTGCAAACTCACTATTAAAGTTTTTATCCTCGGGAAGGAAGGCACTGCCTCAGATTTTGAATAATATAATTATTATATTACATTAATAATGTGATGGGACAGCATGAGAACCCAATGTACTGGAGGGGACCCAGGAAACTGGACACAGAGGGTGGCAAGGGAGACTTCCTGAAGAAGGCTAGACTTGATGGGGAGGGGTCTTTCAGATATCCCTGTGACTGCAGACAGGAGGAACGGCCTGGTGCAGTCATTTTAGGTCCCGTAAACACCTTTCTGGGCCTCCCATGATGCTGGGAACTGGAACTGAGATCCTCAGGGTAACACGCCACCCCTCCCAAGCAGGCCATGGGAGGTTGGTAAATATTGTAATCAGATTAGTGGAGTGGAGACAGCAGAAACTATGGTGGGAAAATGCTCTGGGCTGGCCTGGCCCCCACCTCTCTCCTGGGAATCCACCCTCTTGCCCTGCCCACCTCCTCCCCTGTGGGCCCCAAGGCCATCCTGGCTCCTCAGTGACCCCTGCCAGCCTGGGTGACCCACCTGGCACCTGGCCCTCTCTGAGCCTAGTGGAGGTTTCTGCATCCTGGGTCTCCTCAGCTTAGGAGAGCGATGGGGCAGTAGAATGCCCAGCCCTGTTAACACCCTCTTCCCTAAGAAACTAGCCCTTTGGGCTGCTTTTCTCAAGCCATGGAGCCCAGGAGAGACCCCTGCCCCTTCCTCTGGCCGTGATGCTGCTCACCTGTGAGACCGGCATGAAGCATCAGGAGTTCAAAGTGGTCATGGGTGGAGAGAGTGTCTGGTACACGACACAGGTTTAATCAGGGTCGAGTCAGAATCACTTCCCTCTTCCGTCTTCTCATGGCCAAACTGAGCACAGGTCTGGGTCCCTGGGGTACTGGGAAGCCTGGTCAGGTGGAATGGCATAGGGCAGAGTGAGGCAGATGCATCCCACGGAAAGGTAGGGGTGTCTGCCCAGCTCAGGAGGGGAAGGGCTGGGAGAACAGGGCTGGCATTCTGTGGAGCCTGGGGTGGGGAACTGGGGGAGAAAAGCTGAAAGGTTGTGAGATGGAGAGTTAAGGATTGTGGGCTGAGAATCAGGAGAGGTGGATATTGGGTGGCTGAGGGGCTGGGAGTCTGGGGTCCTAAGGAATGGGATGATATTGGGAGGGGCTGAGGATTTTGGATATTGGGAAACTTAGGGGCTGAGAATTAAGAACTGGGGTCCTGGGGGGGGCTAGGGTGGTAGGGCCTGAGGAGACCAGGTTAAGGTGTTTGGAGGCTGAGGAACTAGCAGGCCAGTGTAGCTGACACGGGGGGAAAGGAAGTGGAGAAACATGCTCATGGACAGAGAAGGGTGTCCATGGGTGGATGGCAGGCTGTGCCCAACAGTCCTAGGCCAGGCCTCCCTCAGCCCCTGTGGCCGTGCTGGGGCCATGGGGGCGGGCAGCGGGCCTCTCCTTGTCGGGCTGTCAGAGCGGGTTAGGCTCGGGGAATTGGTTCTCTGGATCATCTCCCGGGAGCCAGCCCCTCCTGGCAGCTTTGTTTGGCAAAAGCGCAGGGATTAGCAGGGCTGCCCCCACACCACCTCCCGGCCGCTAGCTCCTGGCGCTTTCATCCCTGAAGGTCGCTAAAGCCGAAGTGCTTTGAGATTAGGCCCCACAAAGGGGCCCCTTGTGCTCCAGCCAAGCCTTAGGGGCAGGGAGGGGAGGGGGTCCCGAGAGCTCAGTGCAGGCCAAGCCCCTGAGATAAATCCTTTTCTCTGTCCCTGTCGCATCCCAAAGGGTCCCCCAGGCCAAAGGCCAAAGACCCCTCTGACCCCCCTAGCCCCAGCTCAGAGACTGTATCCCCAGTCGAACCTGGTAAGGGAGCATCCCAGGCCCAGCCAGCCTGGCCCAGAATATCAGCATCCACCTGTGGTCATTTCAGGGTGGAGGTGGACGAGGGAGTAGAGCAAGAAGGGCTGCAGGTCTCAGGGTAGCAGTTGGAGTGGGTCTAGATCACAGAGTGAGAAGGAACATCAGTCTGCACTGCTCACTGAGCAGATGGGGAGACCAACCAGGGCTCAGGATAAGAAGGGGCTTGCCTCAGGTCACACCAAGTTGCTGGCCAAGCTGAGGCAGGAATGTAGTGAGCTCCCCCTTTTCACCAGGTGTTTGAACCCAGGCTAGAGGTCAGCAGGTGTTCTTGATGGGGAAGGGGCAGTTTTGTGCTTTCTATGTAGAAGAGAATGGTGTTTCACATGTTTGCATTTCATGGGCCAGCAAAAAATGTTTTAAATATGAGTTCCAGAATAAAATTGCCAGCTATTAATTTTGCCATATAAGGGCACAGATGGAAAACTACTAACTGCTGTCAGCATCATTTTATTAAAAAGAGGATATTTTAGAATCAAAAAAGTAAAAAAGACATAATCCCAGAATAGAGAGGATAGATCTTCAAATTGAATAGATGTAGCTTTATGAAAATTTTCCTATAAAAACCTTATTTTTCTTATTTATTGGTATTTGGATGAAAATGTTTTGGGGATCCTAGACCGAGCAATCTTGGAGAGGTTCCCCACCCCAGAGGGCTAAGGCTCCTAGGCCCTATGCACTCAGGTCTCCTAGATTAGAGCTCTGCCTACTCCTCTGTGTCGGGGTGGAGTGGGGGAGGGGGTAGTTGTTTCAGGTCTAGTGCTGGGAAGACTGGGCTGCTGCTTTGGGGGCTCTGCTGAGAGGACAGCCTTGGCCTTGGCCCTCTCATTGGCAAGGAGACTTACGGAGAGGAGGGGGAGGGAGCAACCCTGACTGTGGGTCGATAGACGAAAATTTCTCCCTGTCCTCTTGCTCGTAAAATGTTTGTGGCCAACATATTGCACAACATTCCCAGAGAGGCCACAAAAGGCAGTGCTGGGCTGGCAGGGTCAAATGGTGCTCACGGAGCCCAGCCCCTCTTCTTGGCCCCCTGGCTGGGTCAAACTGTGGGGCTGGTCATAGGGAGGGGTCCACAGTAATTGGGGAGGTGGTGGTGGGTATATAGGATTAGCCTGAGGAACATCAAAGGTGCTCAAGAAATCCCTTGTGAGAAAGTGTTCACAGGGAGGGGGTTGCCAATGACAGTGAAGAACTGATAGTATTAGCTGATACTTATGTGGCATTTCCCACATACCAGGCATGGTGCTAAGTGGTAACTCATTTAGCACAATCTTTATAACAAACCGAGGGGGTAAGCATGATTATTTCCCCCATTTTCCAAATAAGAAAACTGAGGCACAGAGGTTGACTTGCCCAAGGTCACAGCTAGTAAGTAGCAGAGCCTGGTGAGGAAGCATCCCTCCCTCATCCCCCTGAATTTGAACCCAGGCAGTCTGGCTCCAGAGTCCATGCATTTAATTACCATGCACGCTATAATGCTGTATTGTGGTTCTAAGCAAGAGATACTTCAGAGTTCCCACCATCCCTTGGCCCTACCCTTCCAACTTCAAGATAGCTCCTCCTGGGATTTGGAGACATCAAGAGGTGCTCGTCATCTTGCAGACACTGGGTAAAATGGTAATGTCTCCTTGCCTAGTTGTGGCAGTTTAAAAAAAACACGCCCACAAATTCTTTGATAACTTCTTCCTTTGAGAGGTGGAGCTTAATTCTCTTCTCCTTGAATATGGGATGGACTTGGTGACTTGCTTATAATGAATAGAATATGACAAAGTGGCAGGATGTCACTTTTGAGATTAGCCTATAAAAGACTACAGCTTCTGTCCCCCCCGCCTCTGTCCCTCTCTCTCTCTCACTCTCTCTCTGTCTCTTTCTCTCTGATCCATCTCAGCCACCATATAAAGAAGTCCAGGCTATACTCCTAGAGGCCACATGCAAGAGAACTGAGGCATCCCAGCTGACAGCCAGCACCAACTGCCGGGCATGTGAGTGAACTTTCCTAGAATACGACCCTCCAGCTCCCATCAATCAAGACTGAAGATGATATAGCCCTGGACAGTGCGGCTTGACTGCAGCCTCATGAGACACCCAGAGTCAGACCACCCAGCTAAGCTGCTCCTGGATTTCTGACCCTCAGAAACTATGATACAATAAATATTTGTTGCAAGCCACTAAGTTTGGGGGTAATTTGTTATGCAGCAATGGATAACTGATAAACCTCACCAGTCTCACTATTGGGAATCTCATCATTAGAGTTTCACCCTGTGAGTGGGTTAAGTCACAATCTCCCCCATGACTCTCCCAACCCTGAGGTAAATAACAACTGGGCTAATGCAGATTATCTGAATCAGATAATGGCTAGAGGACACCTCCAATCCAGTTAGGAGATGCCATGCTGAGGATGGCATGTTGCTGCTTAATCATTCGTAATTCTTAATCTTGATCATTCTCAACTCACCCAGGGCTGGGCCAGGTGTCACAAGCAGGTGTACAAGCAGCTTTGATAGAGTCATACTTCATAGCTTTCCTATATGGCTGGTTCCTTCCAGGAAAAACCATCCCTTGCTTTAGTTGACAGTGAGAGGGGCAGGGCTGTCTTGGGGATGAGGAATTGAGGAGCACTGGGCTTTGGCCATAGTAGGGCCCAGGCTCCACAGATCCCATCTTTTGGGCTCTCTCCATTCTCTGCTTGTAGTGGCCACAGCTGCATTTGTGGGACTCCTCAGCATCTTCCAACCTCCTTTCAGAGTCCCAACCCCTGGTTGCTCAGTGACCCAGTGTTGGAAGTTAGCACAGTGTGACCGTGCACATCTCAGTGTCCCAGTGTGTATGCGTGAGTGTGTGCAGACATGGAATGGGAGGTATCTGTGTGTAGTGTGTGCTGGGGGCCTTCAAGTCGCATGCATTTGTGTGCAGGTGCATCTGATTTGTGGGTTTCTGGGTTGGAAGGAGTATGTGTGCAGCTATATTTCTATGTGTATCTGGAAGAGCGTGTACATGTATGAGATATGTGTATCTGCATGATGGCTTTATCAGGGTGGGGGCCCCATGCACTTTGTGTTTGCGTCTGTGTTTGCTGCGTTTGGGATGTGTATCTGTGTGTCTGTGTTTCCATGGCCAGGCACCAGCCTGAGGTGTGCCTGAGCTGTGGTCCTCAAAGGGTTAAGGGAAACCAGCGCCACCATAACTCTTAATCATAGCTTTGCAAGCTTAGCCAGTGCCCCTGTTGAAAAATGTTTCAAAAAGCAAAATAAATGATCTTTTAGTTACAGAAGTATTGATTTTGCCCACATCTAGTAATAAAGAGCAAGTCACCTGTAGCTAAAACTCTTGTAAAATATATTTTAGACTCTAATAGTCTGCAGATAGAGTCACCCGCTGAGCACAGATGACAAATCTCCCCAGCGCGGCCTGCGCCCCCATATTTCACGTCAGGGACGTGGTGGTGGCGCAGGCAGCGACAGAGCTGGGCCTCGCCTCGGGTGAAGACGTGGCCTGGTTGGCTGGAAGAAAAGAAAAAAGCCAGACTCCTGGCACATGGTACATCCCCCTGCCTCTACCCTGGGCCCACAGCACCAACCTGGGTGGAGATTTAAGACCAGCCGCCCTGAAGATAGAGTGGGCCTCCTCTGTCTGGACCCCTCAGGAGCTCCTCCCAGGTTCTCAGAGGGCCATGCCTCTCCCCAGCACTCTGTGGGGGCTGACAGTTTGGGAATGCTGAGGCTGGATTTGAGAGAAGAGTGAACAAGGAGGTGGGGGCTCTTTCCTGGTTTGAAGGCCAGTTACCCCAGGTGTACACAGGCATGTTCACACATGTGCCACACTCAGGCCTTTCCCAGGCCTCCTTGTACACACAAGGGGCACACTTAGTCCTCAGTGCACACAAACATAAGGCAATCTCTCGGCACATGTATGTAGGGGGACACACTTGACCCCCCTACCATGTGTGAATGTACACAAACGTATGACACTTGGCTTTATGCAGTCAGACACACACTTGCGTGTTCCCCAAGTGAAGGGGTGCACATCCAGTCCCTTCACACAGACCTGTGTAGTACATCTAAAGCACCAGGCCACATCCTCTCTACCCAGAGAATTCCTTCAAAAAATTGACTTCTGTCTGGGACCATCAAATAGTCACTCTGCCTTTGGGGATGAGAACGTGTACCATACTCATATTACATATACAGATTCAGGCCGGGCACGGTGGCTCATGCCTGTAATCCCAGCACTTTGGGAGGCTGAGGCGGGTGGATCACTTGAGGTCATGAGTTCAAGACCAGCTTGGCCAGTATGGTGAAACCCCATCTCTACTAAAAATACAAAAATAAATTAGCTGGGCGTGGTGGCAGACGCCTGTAATCCCAGCTACTCAGGAGGCTGAGGAGGGAGAATCACTTGATCCCGGGAGATGGAGGTTGCAGTGAGCCAAGATCGTGCCATTGAGCTCCAGCCTGGGTGACAGAGTGAGACTCCATCTCAAAAAAAGAGAGAGAGAGAGAGAGATCCAGATCCAGCCAAAAGCCCTCTTACACATCTGCCTCTCCAGGTGGGAGGAGCATTGCTTAGTGGGAACTCCTTATCTCTTGGTCTCCTTTACTTCCCAGAGCAAGTGCAACCGGAGAGGAAGCCCAGGCCTTGGCCTTCCTGCAGTCAGCCTGCCTAGACGTGGGTTGGGGGGCTGGAACTATGCTCAGGAGCGCCTGAGCCATTGCCCCCTAGCTGGCACGGGGTGAGTGGAGTTGAAGGCCACCTTACCTGCCCTTCACAGTACAGTTACTTGTGGGCAAGAGTGGTCAGAAGAAACTCAGCATGCTCAAAGGCACTACAGGAGACCCCCCACTCCAAAGCTGCGAATAAATAGGGTTTTCCAATCTCTGCTGGGGGTGGCTGGCGGGAGGAGGGTGGAGAGGGCAGAAATGAGGAGGTCCTCTGGGTGTCAGCAAGTTCTCGAGGTGAGAAGGAGATGGGTCAGGTAGCATTGGGGGAAAGGCTGGGAGTATTGGGGGAAAGGCTGGGAGCACGTGCGGTATTTGAAGAACCGGGGTTGGAGGGTGGGAGTGGAGCAGGTAGCGGCTGGAGTAAGGGAAGGAAGGAACGTGCATGCAACTAACAGGGTGTGTGTGTGTGGTGGGGGCGGGGGTGACTTTTGGGTGGTCGGAGAGGGTCAGGAACAAGCGGGGGTATCTCTGAGCGGTGAAGGGGAGTAGCCGTCGGAGGGCGGGGACAGAGCGGTAGCTGCCTTGCGCTGGGATTGGGGGTGGGGGTGGGAGTGGGGAGGGCTCTTTAAGCGGCGGCCGCGCTAATAACCTGTCCAGGAGATGGCTCGTGGCAAATTGCTTTGTTAGTCTTGTCAGCGCGGCCGGGGCCGCCGTCAGCGCGCGCCATGGATCAAGATGATGAATCGCTGCGGACGGCGCAGATGCGGGCGGCCCGCGGCCGGGCCCCCGGGTAGGGGTGGGAGGTGGAGGGGGCCGCGGGGGGCCCGGCCGCCGCCATTAACTCCGGAATTAGGTCTAAGCCGCCCACCACCCAGCCACTGCCCCGGGGAGCGCCAGCCGTTGGGGCGGGAGCGGGCCCAGGATGGGGACTGAGACCCGCGTCCCCCACCCGAACCTGGACCTAGCCTCCTCTGAACGCAGAGGGCAGTGGGCCGCCCGGAAGGGGCGGGGAGGGGCCCCGGCCCTCAAGCCGCACAGCCAGGTGTTCCCGCTCTTCGAGGACATCCCCTGCCCGCCTGGAGGTTGAGAGGGCGGCCGCATGGGGCATTCGCCAACCCCTCTCACCCGCCCCAAACCCTCGCTGTGAGCTGCTAGGGAGCCTTCGTGGGGGTGGAGGGGGAAGCTAAGGAGAAACAGAGAGAGAGGGACAGACAGACAGACAGACAGACAGACAGACAGACAGACAGACAGACAGAGTTGGGGTGTGAGTAGGGTGGTTGGGTTTGACATTGCTACTCTAAACTGAGCTCAGAGACCAGCGATGGTGGGGCTGGGGCCTGCCCTGGGACTTCAAGGGGACCTAGGCCCCTAAAGTGGTTCCGGGCAGACAGCTGGGACCCTGCGTTCTTTGCATTTCCAGACCAGTTGGAAACGGTGAGCACCTAGTTTTCCCAAGTTCCTAAATTAACTCACCCCTTACCCACCTCCCCCTTGGTCCAACTTAGAAACATCTCCCCCCAAAACACACACACACCACACGCACACCTAGGAATTTACAAACTCACACAATCCACATAAGCACAGTCTACATTCACATGTAAACGTGTATACGCATATATTACACACAAATATAGGAGTATATACTTAAATGTATTCATATACTCATAGCACAGGAAAATGAATTCGAACAAATATAAAACCACATCCAGAAATGCACCACTGCCTGCACTCCTAGTCCCAGCAGCCCAGGAAAGTCTACTGGGGACAGGTCCCCAGTTCCTCAGGGGATGCCTTTCTTTTAAGCCCTTTGAAGGCGTCAGCAACAGCCCTGGGCAGGCAGGTGGGGAGACTCCAGGAGGAAGGCCCTGAACTATTTCCACTTATTGATTCCTGTCTAGACGGTGGCACTTTCAAAATGGCTTTGTGAAATCACTAAAACCCACCCACATTGTGGCACATCAAGCTTCCCATCACTCAGGCCTCCCTAAAGGACGTGTTCCCTTTCCCTGTTTGGTCCTGTTTCCCTCCGGACTTTCCATCTCAGCAAGAGAGCTTGCTAGGGATTTTTGTTTTTCCCTCAAACTTTGTCCCCACACCCAGAAATCTACAACCAGCCGTGAATGCAGCCCTTGGGCTGCAATGTCTGTGAAAGTGTGTGGGGGTAGGAAGTGAGTGAGTGACCGCAGCTCTTTCTGTCCATGGTGTCCCCCTATATGGAGGTCTGTGTGTCTCTGTGAAGGTGGGTCTGGCCTGGTAGTGTGGGCTTCTCCAGGTATCTGGGGATCTGAGTCTGTGGAGGCCTGGTTGTATCATGAGGCTCAGGGCATACCGCCCACCCAGCCACACACCACCTCCAGACCTTGGGGACGGGGACAGCTGGCACAGGTGGGGGCCTTGGTAGCCTGGGATAGGAGGCAAGCAAGGATTCCCCCAGCTGGACTCAGAATCTGTGTGGCAGACAAGTTCCTTCCAAGAGTGGGTGCCTGGTTGAGCCTGCTGCCCTGCTGCCTCAGTAGTCCTCAGCCAACGAACAGAACTTGTGCTGTTCTCAAGCCCCCTTCCCCCAGCCCGGGCAGGTCTGGCCCACTCAGGCCCGGGCTGAGTTGAGGTCATCATTCCTCCAGCCTGCCCAGCAGCTCCTGTGCTATCTGAGGTGGGGACCTAGGGAGGAGGTAAGTTGGAGTTGAGTCCCTGGGCAAAGAAACATGATGCCCCCTCCTACTGGAAGGGGAGCCCCAGTTGGGGATGGGGGGCAGAGAGGATAAGGCCTACCTGAGCAAGCCTTCTCCATTCTGCCAGTCGGGATGGCAGGGAGGGACTTTGGTGCCCCCTCATTTGTTTCTCCATATGTGACCCTTCCACATGTGCACCTGGCCCCATGTCTGTGTGTGTGACTGAATGATGCTATGTGTGTGCAGGGGGTTATAGCTTTCTCCAGAATCATCTGTGTGCCTGTTTGTGTGTGGAGGGCAGCCAGATGGGGGCGCATTGTCCTTCCCACCATCTCCTCAGCTTGTGTGGAGCTCTAGCCGCAGTCTCAATTATCTAAGCCAAAGAAACAGCCTTGGCTCCCCTTCCCTCCCCTCCTCTCCACTCCCCTCCCGCACAGGGCCAGGATCCCTGAAGAGAAATTAAAAGGTTATTTAAAGCCCCCGCCTCCGCCTTTCTTGTCCCTTTAAATCGAGCCTAAACGGTTTTGCTTTGGCAGAAGAAATCTTTTCTGGAGCTTTGGGGTGGGGGTGGGGGATCCTGGTGGGAGAGAAGGGTCTAAGCGGCCTAATCCTCTTACCGCCCCCTCCTCTCCTCTCCTCTCCCTTCTGAGGCCCACTGCTCCCCCCACCCCCCCGAGGCACCCAGCCCCTAACTCTGACTGAAGATCGACCCGGACCCTCAACTCTGCCTGTGGCCCCTTCTGCCCCACCCAGCACAAAATTCCTGACGCCCTCAACCCAGGCTGGGGCTCTAAAATCTACTGGCAGTATTGGCCAGCCAGCACCAGCTCCTCCCGGTGCCTGAGCCCCTAAGCAAGCAGCCCAGCTCCCAGGAGGTAGACCTGAGAGCTTCGCTTATAGACCAGAGGGACTGCCAGAAGCAGGGTCCCTCTGCTCTGGTCCCAAGACTCTGTGCCCATCCTGCGCGCAGCCACCTGGATTTGCAGCTACGTTTGAGCTGAAAATTGCACAAGGGCTCGCTACACACACACAAAGGAGTCACCACCATATGAAACCCCACAGCTGCACATGGATTCGTGGTCACGGGAGCACCAGTCACAAGGGCACACTCAACATGTGAGTCACAGTTGCAGCCACTGAGGCCAAAGGCTGGTTGCACAGTGTCCCCTCCCCACCTACCCCACACCCCCCCACACACACTTGGCCAAGGCCTCTCCAGCCACCTCCACACAGCCACATCCACAGAGCCTCCCAGAATCTCTATAGAGCAACTTGTCACCCCTGCATCCACTGGCAGTGTGGGCGTACACCTGCCCCCTGGCACACAGCTCAGACACACACCTTTTGGGAAGCCGAGCCTCTGCCTGATTGAGAGCCGGCCCCAGAACGTCCTCTTCCTATGAGCCGGTTCCCGCCTGGAGGGAGCAGAGCGCTGGTAAGAGCAGGACCATCTCAGGCCCAGGATTTTCCCGAAGTGGACCGGTCGCCGAGTGTGTTTGTTCCCCCAGTCCCGGCGACAGGTGCCTGTGCTGTGTGTGAAGCCGCGAGTTCCAGCCCGCGGCCTCCCGGCCCAGAGGCCAACATCCAGGTGCTAGACAGGTGAGCGGCTGCTAGGAGCGCAAACCAGCGCACCCGCGGGGTGTGTGGGCGGCGAGTTCAGAGTACTGGCTGTGGCGCTGCATGGTGGCGCGGGGGTGGCAGTGTTGTTGCAGGTGGTGTGGAACTGATGGGAAGAGGTATGTGTGCGCGCGTGTGTGTGCGCACAACCTTGAAGGGACAGTGGGGACGGGAGTCCGTCGGGGCTCCCCCAGGTCACCTCTACGGACTCCAGCTGCCAAGCGTCGGGGTGGGACCGGCGAGGGGGAGGTTTCTCAAGACCTTTCAACACCCCAGGGATCGGCCTGCGGCTTCCGCGGACCCAAGAGAGGCAGAGATCCCTGGACCGGGAGCCAGAGCTCGAGGAGCAGAGATTCGGGAGAGGTGACGGACGCGAGCCCGGCGCACAGACCCACCGACTGTCGGGCCACCTTGGTCGGGAGCTGGGCTGCGGCACCAGCGGGGCGGGGCAGGGCGGGGCGGGAGCGAGGCGTGATTGGCAGCCACCAGGGCCATTAGGAAGCGCCCGGGCCCGCGCCGGGCGCCCGGGAAACGCAGTTTAAAACTCCAGCCCAGGCCCCGTCGCGCGTAGATGGCAGCGGAGGCGGCGGCGCGGGCCGGGGTGACCAGGTACGAGCGGGCGGGGCTGGCGGGCCGAGCCGGGAGTAGTGCGGGACAGTCGCTGCAGGGAGGACGCGGGCCGTGAGAACCCGGGGACAGCCTCCCCTCTTGCGGTCCTGCAGTCCCGGACCCACTGGGCGGATCAGAAAGTTTGCAGGGAGCCAGGGACTAGGAGACAGACAGACAGCGCAGGGACAGAGAAAGCGGAGGGATGCCAGAAAGACCGAGTCGGGGACAGACAGAGAGACCCAGGGTGAGACAGAGGAAGAGATACCCGGGGCTGAAAACGGTGGCAGAAAGTGAGCAACTTAGGGAGACAGAAAGAGCGCAGAACTCGAAATTCCGAGGCAGAGAGAGCGGAGGGCAAGCCGTGGGTAGAAACGCGCCGAGGCGAGGACGAAGGCCTTGGCCCGCGGAGACGCAGGCACCCGCGGAGAACGCTTCGGATCCGTCACGGTTTTGCCTCATTTGGAAGATATTACTTCGCCCCTGAAAAAAAAAATACAAAAAAGGTTTGGATATTAAGCGGAGACAAATCCTTCTCAGTTTGGAAGGGGGCGGCGCGGGGAGGGAGGTGGCCGGCGTAATGCGGACCAGATGCGGCCTGGGGAGTTGCGGAGCCCTGGGCGGGGGCTGGGGAGGGGGCGCGGCCGGCAGCCCAGTTCCCAGCCTGCGGAGCGCAGAGGCCGCCCACGCCCTCCCAGCTTCCTGGTCCACGCGAACCCCGCAGTGCTCCGGGCATTGCCCGGGTCTGGCTTTGGTCTCGCCCGCGCAGATCCCGTTCAAACTCAGCTGCCACCAAGTGCGCCTTTTCTCTCTGGATTGCGATTCTGCACGAATTTTCCAGTTGAGGGTGGTTCGGCGCTCAGCCAGCCTCTGCCCTCGAAGACGCGGCCTTGGTCTAGGAACCTTCAGGTGGGTGTTTGGGGCGCAGTGGCCCTAGTTCCCTAGAATTCGTTTTGCCTCCCGCGGCCTCAGCCGGCGTGGGTCAGGCGAGCTCCGGCGAGGAACGGCAGGCTGGGGCCAGTCCCCGGAGCGGCTCTCGGGGCGCTTCTAGGGGAGCAGTCAAAGGGTTGCGAGGACTGCCAGGGTCTTTCCTCCCTAGGCTTCCCACACTGGATGGCCGTAACTCAGTCGTTGACGGCGACAGGCCAGGGGCCCTGATGGACTGTGCAGGGTCCCGGGCACCACCGGCTGAACTTTCTGGCGGTCACAAATTCCCGGAACCTGCGCAGGGGCTTCGTTGGCACTGGTGGTTCACTTAAGGAGCTTGAGGGAAACCTCCTCTTCCCCAAATTCGCACCAAATCTGGGGCCCCGACTTTTCCTGGATTCCAGCCACACTCGGTTTGGGAGGCAGTGGGCTCCTCAGGCTTGTGATTTGCGGCAGGAAGGAGTCCCGGAATGGAAGAACGGGGAGGACGAGATCCGAGGCCTTTTCACCCTCTTTGCAAGCATGCAGTTCACCAAAGCCGAGAACCCACCGGGCCTGGAGCGCAGCCTCAGCGCTGGTTCCGACCCGGGCCCCAGAAGGTCTTTTTCGTTTGAGAAAAGTCCTCGGAGGCCGGGGCAGGGTGCGCCGATATTGGTTTACTAAGGGCGCCTCCAGTTTGAGGGCGTTGGGGAAAGAGGAGGGCTTTATTGACTTGATGGACCTTGGAGGAAAGGGGCTGTCTGTACCGCAAGGGTTGTGTGCTCCACAGCCGAGGAAATTGTGCAAGTTCCTACCTGGCTGTGGCGATGGCAGGGCGACCAGAGTCCTTTCCCCTCTCTAGTGCTAGGGATTCTGTGCGCTGCAGGCGGGTCAGCTCTGTCCAACCCCTTTCTAGAAAGTTCTATGGTCTGTTAGTTTTAGGTGGGTGTAGTGGGGGTTGTTTTCAATTTTTCGGGGATTTGTGTTTCACTTACCCACATCCCTGGTTCTCCCCTCGAATGGAAAGGCACTCTGGCCTAAGGACGAATGAATTTAGTTCCTACCTCCCCTTTCTGCAAACCAGCTGTGTTTATGTGTGTCTAGGTGTTCAGAAAAAAATCGAATTTGCTGCCTAGTGAGAGCAAATTCTCTGGATAATTGGCTCAAATCTCTCTCCTGTATGGCTGGGGTAGACACACTTTTGGGAAAAGAAGCAGGGCATTGCTACTCAGGAGGGGGGTAAACACCTTACCCCACCCCTGCAGTATTTGGGGGCGCCTACTCCTGCAAGGAGGCGGGAATCTGTCAGCCCAGACCCCGAATGGAATGCAGAACAGAAAGGCAGAGGTGCAGAGGAGTGGAAACCCGCCCCAGGCGAAGGCCATGGCGAAGGACAAGCACTCGGGCCTCGGGATGGGCTCTGCCAGATAGTGGGCTTACGGGTCAGCTTCACGGGCATCGGGTGAGTGTCTGGAGGATCCCTGCACCCCTGTCCTAGCCACTTTCACATGCACAACCCCAAGTGGTCAGGAAATTTGAGCTGTTTCTCTGTTCTCAAACATAACTTGCACTTGACACCCTGTGGGCACACACCCACGCACACACTGTGGATTTTGAGCAGGAAATAAAGTTTCCACCCTCTCCTGGGCGTCAGTGCTCTGGGAGTGTACAGCCTAAAATGAGGAGTCCACCATAGCCCTTAGTGCCAGCCTCTTGGAAGCCAGGGTTCTTCTGAGGAGCAACCAATCTGGTTTGACGATTGGAGCAAGGGGACATTGTCGGTGGTTTTTGAGGGAAAGGGAGAAGCAGACCCAGAGGCGCAGTCCCCTATGTCTGAACGAATTCTGTGTGCGCACACATATTTGCCAGCTGTCTAGATTGACGGTCACACACAGACACACATACAGAGGCTGACAGGCACGCAGAGTGGGACTCCTGGGTTAGAGTCACCTGGGCTATGGGTATCACACTCAGACACACTTTGAGAAGTCACACAAGAGGCATGGGCAGATCCACTAATCACGTAAAACCCCTCTGATAGACACAGTTCCATACTCACAGGTTAAACTCACGCAGACACTCATGCTCAACACATGCAGACACCCCGTAGGACAACAGTCCCAAGTGTCACAGCCCCACCTTGCGCAGAAGCCCCAGGCAGCCCTAGGGAGGGTGCGTCTACATTTTTGCTTGGCCTCTGCGCTCCCTATTCCCGCCACTCTCTCCAGGCCTCGAAGTTACTCCTCCTCCTCCGGCCAGTCCCAGTTCCTCAAGGAGCCAGTCTTCACCTCCCCCACCCCTGCCTTCCCATTTCGCCCCCCACCCCACCCCTTTCTCACAGTCCCGCTCGGCCGCCCCGCAGTGCCCATGTAAATGACAGCAATAAATATCTAATCAAGGCCCCGGGCGACGCCACTGCTGCCCGCCAAAGCCCATTACCGAACGAGTAGGGAGGGGCGCTGGGGTGGGTTGGTGAGCTTTCGGCAGGGTGTGTGTTCTGGTCTCCACATTCATCCTGCACTGAGTGCCTCTCCTGTCTGACCTTGAGCGAGTCTCAGTTTCCCTTTCTGTAAGAAGGGCACCGAGCTGGGCTCTCCAATGTCCAGCCCTCCCGCCGTTCAGTGGCCTCTCTTTCTATTTAGTCACCTGTCCGTTCTTCCAAGCTTATTTGACTCTGCCCCAGTGTTGCCTGATGGGTGGACATCCCAGATTGGACAGACCACAGATCCCAGCTCTGGTGGCTCTGGCCCCAACTGTTCTTCGGACTTTAGCCAGGTTTTTGCTGGCAAAGGGGAGTTCCCTGGATATGACAGCGGCAGGAGGGAGCACATTTCCCAGATGGGGTCACTCCTTCCCTCTGGTCTACAGCCACTGTGGGCGCTGCTTCCATGAGCCCCGAGGCCACTGGAGCCCACTGGGTTTCCCGGCCTGTTCCAGCCTCCACAGCTCTATCTCCAGGGTTGCTTGTGCCCCGGATGAGTTGTACATCTGTCAGTGTGCAGAGCAGGAGCCGCAACCGCGCTTTCTGCGCCCGCAGGACAGACCCTCCTCCGAGTTCCTCCAGCCGTTTGGAGGCCCTAACTTGGGCCTAGAGCAGCTCTGCTCCTCAGGGTACTCTGTAGTCCCTGTTTCCCAGCCCCGGCCTGGATCTGGATGGCCAAAAGTGGACCAGGTCATCCCTGACAGACTTTGGGCCAAGGCTAACTGAGCAGGCAGGGCCACCACTTCTGTACCCTGGAGAGGCCAGGAACATCCTGGGGTCTTAACCTATGCCCTGCTCCATCTCGGCTCCGCCCAAGTCTCCTCGATCTCCAGTGTGCTAGCTGTATCTCTGCCAGAAAGGAAGCAGAGAATCAAGCAATTACCCAGACAATTCTACTCTCAAGACTTGCAGTCAGGTCCCTTGGCCTACCCCGCCACCTACCTGCTCTCAAAAGCTGATGGATGCTGGGCCAGATTCGAGAAAAAGCAACAAAAAAGTGGCCTCTCCCATCTTCTTTCCCTTTCCTGGCTGCATTTTGCTGCCTTAAAAGAACAAAAAATTAACTCCAGCCGCCTGATTTCTCTGCACCCCCAACATTAAGGACCTCGGAAAACTGGAGGACTGTAGGCGGAGGGGCCTCCCTCAGTCTCGGCCCATTAGCCTGCGGGGGGCTAATTACCCCAATTAGTGGCTGATTTATAATTAATGGCTCGGACCAAGGGATAATTGGATGTTAATGGATAACAGTTTGTATAGGGAACTAAGAGCCCCGACTCCTTCAAAGGGCCACTGGCCGGTGGTTGGCCCTGAGACCCACCGGGACCCTGGAACTCTCCCAGTGGGTTCTTCTCCTATCCACTGGGCCCCCATCCCTGAGCCAAGAGGGGAGGTGAGAATCTCCTTTGAGGAATTTATGAGCTCTGTGTGCCCGTTATGAAGTCCAGCACCTCTTCCAATCTGACCCTTGCAAAGCCACATACTTCCAAGCCCACCTGCCTGCCATGCATAGCTCCAACTCCAGGTTCACTTTGGGGGCCCTCAGTGGAGATGAAAGGAGGATGAGCAGATTATTTGACCCCCCACAGCTCATCCCCTTCCCATATGGATCAGGCAATGCAGGGTTAACGGTGGCGATGTGGGGGTCATGATACCTATGCCACTGGCTGGGGGAGGGAACATGGCCAAGGTGAGGGCAGTGACCAGGGCTCATGTAGGATGAGGTTAGAGCTTAGTCTGTGACAAGGTCAGGGTCACAGCTGTGGCCAGAAGGTGGCTTGGCTTCTGGTGAGGACATTGGATTTTCCCTGCTGGGGCAGGGCAGAGCAGGCAGGGTGAAGAGGAAACTTTGGACATTGGCCCACTCTCATCTCCCAGAGCTGGTTTCCTCTGCCCTAGGGCATGTGACCATCTGCAATTCCCCTAGAATCTGAGCCCTTCAAGCTGGAATTCATGACACTACCCCCAAAGTCCATCGCTCAACAGGCAGTGGCTCCATCTTTATTTGTGGAATGAATGTCTGATGTCCCTTGCTCTGGGCACTGGGTCCTGAGTACTAGCTGGGGAAGCAGACCCCGCCCTGGATCAAGGTTAAGAGCTCTGGTGGGCACTGATTTCACAATTTGGAGTTAGACTCCCTCGATTCCATCCCGGCTAAGCTGCTTAGCTGTGTAGCTTTGGACAAGTGATTTTACTTCTCTGGGTCTCAGCTTCCTTATCAGTCAAATGGGGATTATGAGGTTGTGAAGATTAAATGAGATGCTGCCAGTCAGGTCTCTATGAGGATAGCTGGTAATAATAGTTATTTATTATAAAACTCTGGCAAAAGGTAGGCAAATTGGCAACTACAATTTGGTAAGGATAGGAATTTAAAGAAGTCACCGGACCCAACTGGTGACTTCTGGACCGAACCACTGCTAAAATTGGATGATTTTAGAAAATTATCCAATCTTTCTCACCTTCCATTTCTGAATCTGTAAGATGGGGATGGCAGGAGAGGCTTCCTGGAGAAAGGCGTGTGCAAGCTTAATGCAAGTCAGGAGTTCTCCAGGTCATGCTGGTGGAGGGACAACATTCCCGGAGTGGGAGGCAGCCACATAGTAGCTTTGGAGAGCCATGGCTCAGTGGTGGGTGGGAGTGTACAGGAGGGAAGGAAGGGGAGATGACAGATTTGGATATGGCTCTTAAGAAATATGGCTTTGAAGGTATCAGAGAGAACTGGTCTGAGAGATGGGTTCATTTGTTTCAAATGAGGCCTGGCCCACCCCACCCTCTGGTGGAGAGCCCTTGTTGGGAAGAATCTGGCCCCTGGCAGGGGGAGGAAGAGGCTGATCCCTGGGCTTTCTGCACCTTTGAGTGCCTGATACTGACAGGAGATTTGGGGAGCATGGAGGGTTCAGCGTAACCCAGGAATGGATATGGGGCTCTTGGAGGAGCCCCTGTAAAATAAGCGGCATCTGAGAGGTAGTAGCTGGGGATGTCATCATGTCAAGCTTGCTCTCAAACTGTGTGCCTGCAGGGTCCTTGGTCAGGGTAGGATCGGGATCTCCACAGCCCTCACATCCTATCCTCCCACTGCAGATTCCTGGCAACTCAGAACTAAGAACAGATGTGGGAACAGGGTACTTACTGGGATGGGGGCTTAGCCTTCCCCATTCCCAAGCAGGCCAGCCAAAGGGACTCACCTTCCTTGAGCCTCAACTCCTCATCTGCAATGTGGAGAGCGCCTCCCTCATAGACTTGGGGTAAGAAATTAATGAGGTGCTGAAGTTGAGGATCTGGCATGTGCCAGGGACAAAGCTTCTTTTAAAATCTTGGACCCAAAAGCTCAGAGTTGGAAGGCTTCTAGGTCATCTTGTTCAGCCAGCCCCACAACACCCACTCACTCATGCACACACACATGCATACACATGAACGAATCCCTCCTTTTCGGCCTCCTTCACACGTGGCTGGCCAGCCCTGGGTTACACACTTCTCATGACAAGGTCTCTTTCCCTCCTGGTTAGTGTCATATCAGAAGAGGTCAGAGATGGTAGGACGCTAGCCAAGGTCACAAAGCAGCCTGGAGTTGGGGCAGGAGCCCTGGCTTGCTGCTCCCGGGTTCGTGTATTCATGATCTTCTACCTGCATGAGTAAAAGTCCTTTTGGACTTCAAACTGCAAAGCAGGAGGGACGGTTGCAGTGGCCTCTCCCCTCAGAGTGTCACTGGAGAACCTCCAGAGATAAAGGGGCAGCAGCCTTTCTCAGGGAAGAGAGTCCATGGCAACAGGCTACTCTCGATCTCTCCCTCTGCCATTGACACCCAGGGTTGGTCCTCACCAGGGCCTATCTCTTGGTCACACTGTGAAAATAAATACCAGATAGCTCTTCAGAGACTCAGAGACCTGGATTCCCATCCTGCCTCCACCACTTACTAGCTGTGGGACCTTGGGCAGGAGACTTTATCTCCCTGAGTCTTAGTTTTCTCATCCATATAATGGGGATAATTATACCTATCTGGAAGGGTTGTGTTGAAGTTTATTAGGTGATATACCTAGAATGAGTGAAACAAGACTTGGCACGTGGTAGATATTCAAAGACTGGTAGCTGTTGTTATTGTTGTTGATGAGATGATGTGTCTCACCATGCCTCACCGTGCCATTCTCTCAGAGAATGTTTGTTTCCTCTGCTTCTCCTTCTCTTTCCTTTCCTCTAAGTAAAGTTTTTCTGCCTTGTTTCCATTGTGAATGGGAATGAGAAGAAACAGAGGGAAAATTAAAAGTTCAGAGAAGGAAAGGGAGAGGCAAAGAGTTGGTGGGGTAGGCCTGTGGGGTGGCTGAGCAGGGTGTGACCCAAGGAAAGGTCCACTTTCTTTTTAATCAAAGACGTCTTGCATGCATTTTCATGGCACTGCTGCTGTTAATTTATAAAAAATGCCCCCTAATAAAATTCTGCTTGATTCTTCGATTGGCTAGGCATTAGGCCGCAGCCAGCAGCGATGCGGGGACATAACGGATGCATTTGCAGATTTGGAAAATTAAAGCCATCTATATGGCGCCTGTGGCGGGAGATCCGCCGATCTGCTTGCTTAATGAAATATAAAGATTCTTTTAACCAATGTAAGCACAATTCGACAGCTTGTGAAACGCGGCCGCGCCGTGATGGATGGCTCTCCTGGCTCGCCAGGAATTGCGGGGCGGCACCTTTTAAATATATAATTGATTCTGTTTGGAGTGTGCAGTGGACTGAGCCCAGGCAGGGCCCGGCCTGGGGCCAAGAGTGCAGGGCCTCTGTTTAGAGGCTCCTGCAGGCCTTGTAGGGTTCCAGCCTGGGGGGGCCTCCCTATAGGGGCCACCAGGACTCAGAACTGGATGTGGAAGGGGTTCCTGCAGCTGGGCCTGGCTGAAGACCTCAGTAGTGCAGGTCCTGGCTGCCCCTATTGCTGGGAAAGGGCCCACTGGGCAGGGGTCACCCTCTTGAGGCCTATGTCCTGGGACAGAGGAGGTAGTGGGCTAGGACTCTGGGTCTCCATTTCCTCCCGTGGACCATCCTGGGCTGTGGTGGTCCTGCCTCCCTCACAATCTCTTGGTCTAAAATTCCTTCCCATTCATTCAACATTTACTATTTACTAAGCACCAACTGTATGCCAGGCTCTGTGCTAAATGTTGCAGAAACTAAAATGGCTAAGACAAATTATTTATTTTCTGTGTTGATCTCTCTCCTTGCTTTTTTTTTCTTTCTCTGTATTTTTCTCTTGTTCTCTCTCACACCTTGTTCAGGGGTGGAAGAGCCACAATACACTGACCTAGCAGCAGGGGACAGGGCCACATGACTTTCTAGGGTACCATTTAGTGTACTGTCCCCTGGTCGCACACTTACAGACACATCATTTGCACACATGGGCTCACAGGCATGTACACCCACCAAGACACATAAAATAGCCAGATATACGCATAAACAGAGACAGATGCATATACAATCATGTGGCCGATCCCAGTTGGGTTGTGTACACACATGGCCGCACATGGACACTGAGGTGGGCTTCAGACCTATGGCTGTGTGGTACCACATGTGTACAGCTCAGATGGTAAGTAGCATCCACTGACAAGGGTCCCTCTATGGCCTCAGAGGAGAGCAGGGGCCTTGATGTCCAGCTGTAGTGAGGAAGAGGAGTATGAGCTGGAGGGAGAGGAGCTTAGCAGGGAAGATTTAGGCTTCCACACAGCTTCATCTCACAGCACACATACATGCACACAGTGTGCACACGAACATGCATACCAGAGGGAATGTGTTTTTTCTTTTCTTTTCTTTTTTTTTTTTTGAGACCGAGTCTCACTCTGTCACCCAGGCTGCAGTGGCGCGATCTCTGCTCACTGCAACCTCCGCCTCCCCGGTTCAAGCGATTCTCCTGCCTCAGCCTCCCGAGTAGCTGGGATTACAGGTGCCTGACACCACGCCTGGCTAATTTTTGTATTTTTAACAGAGTTGGGGTTTCACCTTGTTGGCCAGGCTGGTCTCAAACTCTTGAGCTCAGGTGATCTGCCCACTTTGGCCTCCCAAAGTGCTGGGATTACAGGCGTAAGCCCCGCGCCCAGCAGAATGTGCTTTTTCTTGCTGTCCTCCTATTGCCTTGGACCAAATCAGAGAAGATAGAAATCAGGGAATGGAATATGCTGGGGAAAGATCCTGTGCGACTGGGGTTGGGAAATACTAGCTAGTGGGAAGAACTTCACCTGTTGACACCTGTTTCACCACTTTCTACCTCCATGGCCTTTAGCAAATTATCCAATCTTTCTTGCCTTCCATTTCTGAATCTGTAAAATGGGGATAACATTTTCTACCTCCTACGGTGTTGGGAGAATTGATGGAGATGTCTGATGTATCAGAGGCATTTAATAAATAGTTGTGATTATTAATTCATCATCTGATCCTTATTTCCTAATCCTGCTTCTGCGCTAGACCCTGTGATCTGGGCTGGGGGCGGGGTGGGTGTCCAGAAATGCATGATATAGTTTCTGCCCTCAACGAGCTTAGTCTAGTCTAGTTGGGGAGATAGAAGTGTCATCACAGCACTCTGCTGCAGGCACTAGAATTAAGAAAATACATGGAAGGTGCTGAGTGTGGTATCTGGCACAGAGTGTGTTCAGTACATTATAGCTAGTACTGTTGTTGTTGTCATCATTGTGATCATCCTCATTTCTATGATCTGAGAATACTTATCACAGCCTGGAGTGGAGAGAGATGCCTTGTCAGAGGCGACTTGGGGAAGGCCCCATTTCTGAAGAGGGCTCAGTTGAGCTAGGCCTTATGGAGAGGGAAGAATTTGTTAGGGGAAGGGAAAGAAGAGGAATGGTGTTTCAGGTAGAGGGCCCAGCAAGAGTAAAGGCGTGGAGATGAGAAGGAGTGGTAGGTAGTCTGGTAGTGCTTGGTGCTGGGGAGGGGGAGGGCATCAGGCCATACTGGGAAGATCTCAGAGACCTTCCGAGGGCCATGGGGATGGGGCAATTGTGGGGCCCAGAGAGGGATCTCTCTGGCTTCAGTTAATAAAGCTGCATTGTGCATCAAAAACTGTGAGATCAGCGATAATTAAGTCAATTAAAATGTCACTTACCACATCAACAGCAGTGAGTTCTAAAGCAACAAAGCCCCTGAGTTTGGTGGGGGAGGGGCATTCCAAAAGCAGGAGTTGGGATGGATGAAATTGCTTCTAAACTCTGTTCCCCCTTCCCCACCTGGAGCTTGTGACACTCCAGAGCCTGGTTTCATCCTCATATCCAGCGAAAGACGTGGATACCTCCCCCCAGCCCCTACCCCCCTCCCCCAAAAAAGAAAGAAAGAAATAATATAAATGTGAAAATCACGTGTAATCCCATTTGCTATCTCCCAGAGATAACCTCTGTTAACATTTCAGGTTATAACCTTCCAGACTTTTTTCTATGCATATTTATACATACATTACAAAAATGGATCGTATCATGCATACTGCTTTGTTACCTATTTCCCCCACTCAACAGTATATTGTGAACATCAGCACATACAGATACACATCATTGTTTTAAATTGCGGTGCTGTAGTCCACTGGGAATACCTGTCCCCTCATTTGCTAAACTAATCCTCTCTCGATGGACAGT
The DNA here is from genome assembly GCF_000001405.40 of Homo sapiens. NCBI lineage: Eukaryota > Metazoa > Chordata > Mammalia > Primates > Hominidae > Homo > Homo sapiens. Next base: position 46,500,870 of record NC_000001.11, read on the forward strand.
TAGGTTTTCAATTGTTTGCCATCACAGGCAGTGCTGTGATAAATATTCGCATACACATATCTCTGCATACTTGAAGGGTACGTTTCTAGAAATGGAATCATTGGGTCAAAGACGATGTACTCTCTAAAGGCTTTTGATGTAAGGAATAAATAGCTCTTCTGCCATCAAGGTAGGAGAATGACCATCTGCCACTCCCCTAGATAACCCTGTGTAATAATTTTTCTTTATATTTGCTAATCTGATCGGTAAACAATGACCTTTCTTTTCTTTTCCCTCCCCCTTCCCTCTCTCTCTCTGTCTCTTTCTTTCTGTTTCTTTCTCTCCCTTCCTTCCTTCCTTCCTTCCTTTCTTTCTTTCTTTCTTTCTTTCTTTCTTTCTTTCTTTCTTTCTTTCTTTCTTTCTCTTCTTTCTTTCTTTCCTTCTCTCTTTTTTTCTTTCTTTCTCTCTGTTGCCAAGGCTGGAGTGCAGTGACATGATCTCAGGTCACTGCAACCTCCACCTTCCGGGTTCAAGTGATTCTCTTGCCCCAGCCTCCCGAGTAGCTGGGATTACAGGTGTGGGTCACCACACCCGGCTAATTTTTTGTATTTATTAGTAGAGGTGGGGTTTCACCATGTTGGCCAGGCTGGTCTCGAACACTGACCTTAAGTGATCCCAAAGTGCTGGGATTACAAGCGTGAGCCACCCACGCCTAGCCTTTTTCTTTCTTTGGTTATAAATAAGGCTGAGCTTTTTGTCATGTCAGTTGGCTATTTGTATTTCTTCTTTAATGAGTTGTTTCTTCATTTACTTAGCCTATCTTTTACTAAGGTGACTATCTTTTTATTTATTTAGAGATGGGGTCTTGCTATGTTGCCCAGGCTGAATTCAAACTTCTGGGCTCAAGTGATCCCCTCACTTTAGCCTCCTGAGTAGCTGGGACTACAGGTGTGTGCCACCGCACCCAGCTTTATTTTTTTATTCCTAAGTAAGAGTTCTTTGTATATATCATGGATATTCCCTTTTATTTGATTTGTGCTATTTATTTTTTATGAATTCCTCTATGTCATATACAGTATATAACAGATATTTTTCCAAATTTATTGTTTGCCTTTTAGCTTTGTTTATGGTATATTCTGTTATACTGAGGTGTAAATTCTTCATCTCACCATGTCTATCACTCTTTTCTCTTAGCTTTCTGCCTTGAGGTTATGGTTATGGTGTGTGGAGTGGGCTTCTGCAAGTGAATGTTGTTGGAGGAAGTTAATGTGTGAATGCTGACTCTGAAGTCTGTAAATCTAGCCCTCAGCTCCAGACTTCTATATCCAACAGCCAATTCAACATATGCTTACTTGGAAGTTGGATTCACGTGTCAGTCATTCTTGCCATGTCCCCCAAAACCTTGGTTTCCATTCTCTCCCTCCTCAGATCTGCTTCTCCAACTCAATGCTCTTCATTCAGGAAAAGACCCATCTTCACTCAGCTGTTCAGGATGGAAACCTGAGTTATCCTTTTTTTTTTCCCCTCTTTTCCTCACATCTTATAACTAAGCTATCAGCAATCATGCTGATTCTACCTTCAAAATACCAGAATCTGACCATTTTCGGCACCTCCTCCCACTCTAGTGAAGGCAGCATGGTCACTAGCCTGGACTTCTGCAGTGTCCTAGTGGCCTGGTCTCTCCACTTTTCTTCTTGCATCTCTGCAGTTTTTTCTCTGTATAGCAGCCAAAATGAGCTTTTAAAAACAAACCATAGGCCAGGTGTGGTGGTTCACGCCTGTAATTCCAGCACTTTGGGAGGCCAAGGCAGGAGGACTGCTTGAGCCCAGGAGTTTGAGACCAGCCTGGACAACATAGTGAGACCCTATCTCTACAAAAAAAATAAATAAATTATCCCAGCATGATGGTAGTCCCAGCACACCCAGGAGGCTGAGGTGGGAGGACTGCCTGAGCCCCAGAGATTGAGGCTACGGTGAGTCAAGATTGCACCACTGCACTTCAGCCTGGGAGACACAGCGAGACCCTGTCTCAGAAATAAAAAAAACAAAACAAAACAAAAAAACCCAGATCATATTATGTTACTTCCCTCAAGACCCTCCAGGGGCTTCCCATCACACTCGGGATAAAATCCAGCTGGGATTTCCATTGGGCCGTGGGATTAGTGGGATTACAATGGGCCGTGGAGCCCTCTGGCTAGCGGCCCCTCTCCCTCTAACCTTACCTCCTTCACCTGCTCCCTCCATCTGTGCTCCAGCCACCCTGGTTTTCTTGCTGTTCTACACACACAAGCTTGTCTATGCCTCAGGGCCTTTGTCCTTGCTGTTACCTCTGCCTGGAAAGCCTTTCCTGAGAGCTCCACATGGCTGACTTCAAGTTTCTGCTCAAATGTCGGAGAGCCCTTTCCTGACCACATGTTCTAAAACAATCTCTCCTTTCCCTCTTGTCATTCTCCTCCTCTGCCTTATTTTTCTTCAGAGCCCATATTCCAGTCCGACAGTAGTACATATATTTTTATTCATTGTTATACATCCCTCTATCCAGGAATGTAAATTCCATGAAGTTAGGGACTTTGCTATTTAGTAAGTGGGTGCTTAATAAATATGTGTTGGATGAATATGTGTAATATACAAATGGATGTGAGTGTAATGTTTGTGTGTAGATGTCTCTGCTGCATGAGTAGATATCTGTGAGCATGTCTGTGTGTGGAACTGTGGGAAATGACATTCAGTTTGTGTCTGTGATTAAGGAGGCTTCTGTGAATGCCTTGCCAAGAATGTCTGCGTACGTGTATTTTTGCACGAAACGTTCATGTGCTTGCCTGCAACTGTGTGTGTTTGTGTGTAAGCTGTGGTTGTTTGATTATATATAGCCTGTGTCTGTTTCAGTGAGGAGCTGAGATACCTGCATATGTCTTCCTTTTATCAAATGGACCTGCCATTGCCCCAGCCTTCCCTTTTCACCTCCCACACTTGGGAAATAGGAAACACCTTTGTGTTTTGGGGAGACTCCAGATGCGGAGTCAATTCCAAAAATGACATTTCACACTGCTGCAGACTGGGTGAGGGTCCGGATGGGACCTTGGCAGCCTCTTGTTGAGGCTGGAGCCGTCTCAGTAGGATGGATGTCTTCTCTGATGAATGGAATATTTCCTTGGAACAATTGGCCGTGAAAGAATAAGGCTCATGTCCTTCGCCCACTTTTTGATGGGGTTGTTTGTTTTTTTCTTGTAAATTTGTTTGAGTTCGTTGTAGATTCTGGATATTAGCCCTTTGTCAGATGAGTAGGTTGCAAAAATTTTCTCCCATTTTGTAGGTTGCCTGTTCACTCTGATGGTAGTTTCTTTTGCTGTGCAGAAGCTCTTTAGTTTAATTAGATCCCATTTGTCAATTTTGGCTTTTGTTGCCATTGCTTTTGGTGTTTTAGACATGAAGTCCTTGCCCATGCCTATGTCCTGAATGGTAATGCCTAGGTTTTCTTCTAGGGTTTTTATGGTTTTAGGTCTAACGTTTAAGTCTTTAATCCATCTTGAATTGATTTTTGTATAAGGTGTAAGGAAGGGATCCAGTTTCAGCTTTCTACGTATGGCTAGCCAGTTTTCCCAGCACCATTTATTAAATAGGGAATCCTTTCCCCATTTCTTGTTTTTCTCAGGTTTGTCAAAGATCAGATAGTTGTAGATATGCAGCGTTATTTCTGAGGGCTCTGTTCTGTTCCATTGATCTATATCTCTGTTTTGGTACCAGTACCATGCTGTTTTGGTTACTGTAGCCTTGTAGTATAGTTTGAAGTCAGGTAGTGTGATGCCTCCAGCTTTGTTCTTTTGGCTTAGGATTGACTTGGCGATGTGGGCTCTTTTTTGGTTCCATATGAACTTTAAAATAGTTTTTTCCAATTCTGTGAAGAAAGTCATTGGTAGCTTGATGGGGATGGCATTGAATCTGTAAATTACCTTGGGCAGTATGGCCATTTTCACGATATTGATTCTTCCTACCCATGAGCATGGAATGTTCTTCCATTTGTTTGTATCCTCTTTTATTTCCTTGAGCAGTGGTTTGTAGTTCTCCTTGAAGAGGTCCTTCACATCCCTTGTAAGTTGAACAGACACTTCTCAAAAGAAGACATTTATGCAGCCAAAAAACACATGAAAAAATGCTCGTCATCACTGGCCATCAGAGAAATGCAAATCAAAACCACAATGAGATACCATCTCACACCAGTTAGAATGGCAATCATTAAAAAGTCAGGAAACAACAGGTGCTGGAGAGGATGTGGAGAAATAGGAACACTTTTACACTGTTGGTGGGACTGTAAACTAGTTCAACCATTGTGGAAGTCAGTGTGGCGATTCCTCAGGGATCTAGAACTAGAAATACCATTTGACCCAGCCATCCCATTACTGGGTATATACCCAAAGGACTATAAATCATGCTGCTATAAAGACACATGCACACATATGTTTACTGCGGCATTATTCACAATAGCAAAGACTTGGAACCAACCCAAATGTCCAACAATGATAGACTGGATTAAGAAAATGTGGCACATATACACCATGGAATACTATGCAGCCATAAAAAATGATGAGTTCATGTCCTTTGTAGGGACATGGATGAAATTGGAAATCATCATTCTCAGTAAACTATCGCAAGAACAAAAAACCAAACACCGCATATTCTCACTCATAGGTGGGAATTGAACAATGAGATCACATGGACACAGGAAGGGGAATATCACACTCTGGGGACTGTTGTGGGGTTGGGGGACGGGGGAGGGATAGCATTGGGAGATATACCTAATGCTAGATGACGAGTTAGTGGGTGTAGCACACCAGCATGGCACATGTATACATATGTAACTAACCTGCACAATGTGCACATGTACCCTAAAACTTAAAGTATAATAATAATAAAAAAAAATAAAACATTAACTTCTACTTAAAAAAAAAAAAAAGAAAGAATAAGCCTGCAGGAATGTGGAGTGGGGCAGGCCCTGGACTGGCTGTGTGGCCTCAACTTGTCACTGTTCTTTCTCTGAGCCTCAGTAGACTCAACTGCAAGTGGGGCTTGTCATTCTTGGCCTGCTTGCTTCTTGGAGATATGGTGAGAATAAAGGGAGGTAATGGCGGTGAATGTATGACAGTCATAACAACAGTATTCTTATCAGTATTCTTATGTTTGTGCAGGACCTTAGGGTTTATCTCATTTCTTTTTTTTATTTTTATTTTTGGAGACAGGGTCTCGCTCTGTCGCCCAGGCTGGAGTGCAGTGGTGCAATCTCGGCTCACTGCAACCTCCGCCTCCCAGGTTCAAGCAATTATCCTGCCTCAGCCTCCCAAGTAGCTGGAATTACAGGCATGCGCCACCATGCCCAGCTAATTTTTGTATTTTTAGTAGAAACGAGGTTTCACTATGTTGGCCAGGCTGGTCTCAAACTCCTGACCTCAGGTGATCCGCCTGCCTTGGCCTCCCAAAGTGCTGGGATTACAGGCATGAGCCACTGTGCCCAGCCCTGGGTTTATCTCATTTCAAAGCAAATGCCTCAGTGGGCAGTCTAGCTCTGATCTTGGCTCCAAGTGGGCCTCAATGGATATTGGTTGAATAAGTAATAAGTGTGTGAGTGAATCAATGAAGGTAAAAATGAGTAAGTGCCTGAGTAATTGAACGAAGAGATGATTGCATAAAGCAGCAAATGAATTTGTAAATCACAATGACTAACACTTTTGAGCACATACTATGATCCAGTCCTTTGTAAAGGCTTCTCTTAATCCTTGCAGCAACCCTATGAGATAGGTACTATCATGAACCCCATGTTGCAGATAGAGAAACTATGGGTCAGATAAGTTAAAGCCACAAAGCTCCTGAGTGGTGGACTTGAGGTTTCAGCCTGCCCTGGGCAGTCTGACTCTAGAGCCCAGAGCCCTAAACCCACACTGGCCCTGCCGAGTGAATCGATGAATGAGTGGGTGAATGAAGGAGTGAATGCAGGAACCCCCACACGGTAAGCCACGGGCAAGACAGGCTCCCTTCCGATGGAGGGAGCTTCTGACCCATCAGAAGGTGGGCATCCAGGGTCTGGACTGGGGGTGGGTCTCCCTGAGGGCAGAGTCTGATAGGCCTGCCTCATGGCCCCTCTCCCTTTTCCGTCTGTAGGCGGATGCCGCCATGCAGCACTACGGGGTGAACGGCTACTCACTGCACGCCATGAACTCACTCAGCGCCATGTACAACCTGCACCAGCAGGCAGCCCAGCAGGCCCAGCATGCCCCCGACTACCGGCCTTCAGTGCATGCGCTTACATTGGCTGAGCGCCTGGCTGGTAAGGGCCCTGGGGATGGGACCATGGGGACAGGACTGTGGGGGTTGGGGGAGAAGGCTCTGGAAGGCAAAGAGGAGAGGGAGCACTGGCCAAGCTTGTTCTAGGGGGCTCAAAAAGACTCAGGTCACTTAGCAACACAGAGAGATGTCAATTCAAAACTATGCATGTATATCCAGAGTGCCTTTTGTTTGCCAGCACTGTCCAGGGCGCTGGAGCTGCCCTATGCTTTCAAATTCTCAAAACAAGCCTGTGAGGGAGGCATTCATTAGCCCTATCTCACAGATGAAGAAATGAGGTAGGAGGGTAAGGGACTAGTCCAGAGTATTATGGCTGGGAAGTAGCTGGAAGAGGCTGGAATGCCCAGGCAAGGAGAGTTCAGGCACAGGGAATTGTAAATAACAGCTTCTATGTTCTGACACCAACTGTGAGTTAGGCACTGTGGGAGTCTCTCTCTTTCTGTGTGCCTCAAATCATCCAATCCCCATGTGGAGAGGTTATTATTTCCATTTTATGGACAAGGAAACGGAGGCTCAGAGAGGCTAAATCTGGGCCAAGTGGGGTTGGAACGTAACATGGCTAAAAATATGAGCTTTGGAGTCCTAGACTTGAAATCAGCACGGGCTTTCCCACTCAGCTCTCTTCTCTGAGCCTCAGTTTCTCCTTTTATAAAAAGGAGACAATGGCCATGCCCATCCCCTAGGGTGGTTGGGAGGTGATTTGTGATGACATATGCAAAGCATTCAGCAGAGCCTGGTAGGTGCTCAGAGGTCATTATTACCCAAAGCCCAAGGTAAGTACCCATATATGCCTATGAGGGACCGGCAGTCTGGTGCCCCACACCTGGTTCTACTGACTGTTGCCCTGCCCTGCCAGCCTCTCGGTGGGTGAGAAAAGGATTCAGTGGCATGGATGGGGAGTTTGATGTCCTGGGAGGTGGTGCCACCCACCCCATCCTGTCCCAGGTCCAGCCTTGAGCAGCTGGTAAACCCACATGGGCTCAGCCCTGTGCCAGGCAGGCCTCAGAAAACTTCAGGGAACTCCTAGGGAGAACAGGTGCCCATGACCCATGAGAGGGCACAACAGGAGGGTATCCAAGGTCAAATGCTGGGGCAGCTCAGAGCAGCAGGATCAGCTGGGGTAGTCAGGAAGAGCTTTCTGAAATCCACAGGGGCAGGAACCAGGCCTCAAAAAGGCCAACATGAGCAAAGGCACAGAAATGGGATGGGATCTCCACCTGGGTAGCAGCACTGGCCTGGCAGGGAGGGCATGGCCAGTCTCACTCCTTTAGACCCTGCCAGGCCTCTGGGCAGAACTCAGTGGATAAAGGTTCTCTGGACCAGTGTGGAGGCATTAGTTTCTAGTGTGGGGATGTTGGATACAGTCCTATGCACAACCTGGTGGTGACATCAGCTCCTGACAGTATTCCAGGACCCAAGGACCAGAGCACAGAGAGGAGTCAGGGACAGGGGGCTCATGTCCGCTGGTGGGGGCAGAGGAACTGGGGTGTTCAGCCCACCCCCAACTCTCTAATTCTTAGGAAGGAAGGACATGAACTCCAAGTGAGCCTTTGTATGGAGGCCTTGCCTTCCAGCAGAGGCTCTGCCGGCGGTTTAGAGAGCCTGGCTTCCCTGTGACACCTACACGCCCCCCACCCCCCACCCCCCACCACCCCTGCAGTCCCTGGAGCCAGCAGTAGGATGCTGAGCTGTTGCTCCTTCCCCAACCAGAGTGGGGCTGACAGAGCGGTCCCCACTCCTTCCCCTGCCCCAGGATGACTCAGCTCAGGGCTGAGTCAGGCCTAGGATTAAGGTCAGTCTGTGAGGGGTTCAGGACTCTCTTTTTAAACTGAAGAAGAAGTATCTCAAAGTCTGGGGCTTCCTGGATACCCAGTTGCCTCTTCCTATTCTTTTTTTTTTTGCGGAGGGGGGATGGAGTTTTGCTCTTGTTGCCCAGGCTGGAGTGCAATGGTGCCATCTTGGCTCACTGCAACCTCCGCCTCCTGGGTTCAAGCGGTTCTCCTGCCTCAGCCTCCTGAGTAGCTGGGATTACAGGGGCCCACCACCACGCTCAGCTAATTTTTTGTATTTTTAGTAGTGACAGTGTTTCATAATGTTGGCCAGGCTGGTCTCGAACTCCTGACCTCAGGTAATCCACCCGCCCAAAGTGCTGGGATTACAGGCGTGAGCCACTGTGCCGGGCCTCCTCTTCCTATTTAGGGTGCTGTGGATGACTTCCCATTCCCTGGAGGGCGGGGGAAGGACTCTGGCACCCCTTTGCAGAGGCTGAGATGACTCAAGTTCCCTTCAGCACAAACAGGGCAGGATCCACTTATGACATGATGGGAGGCAGTGAGGAGAGCGGTTACTGTCTATCCTTCAGGGGCTAGTCAAGTGAAAGGGCTGAAGGCTATACCCCAGGATGGAGGCTAGACCTCGGCCCTAGGTAGACACCTATCCTGGGTGGTTATCATGTTACCAGACATGTGGACAGGACTGTGGAATCAATGGTCCATAGTCCTGTCTCCCCTACAAACCCACAGTGGTTGGAACCAGGTCTCTTTGTCCTTCTGTTCTTGGGGAGGCAGCCACAAGGGTCAAGACTGAGTGCAACAAGCCTTACCTGAGACGTGAGCCCTGCCACCCCCACCCTCCCCGCTCCACTCTTACCCCTTAGCCAGGCTCTCTGTTCAGGAAACAGAAGAGTAGGAGCCTGAGGCCCTGCCATCAGAGACTCTAGGCCAGCTGGGATGAGGGGGTTTACATGCAGAGGACAGAGAATCAAGTGCTGGTGAATTCTGTCTGCCTAGTCAGTCCTCCCTTGACTAGACCTTGAGATGGGTACCAGCCCAGCCTGGCTTCTCATGGGCAGGGACCAGTACTCTGATGCTAAAGAAGTCTTAGTATTCAGAATCTAAGGGCTATAGGGTCTTAGAACTCCTGTGATATGGACTTACAGATTATTAGCATCATGGAGTCTCAAAGTATACTCATAGTATCCATCTTAGGGTAATACCCACCTACCCAATCCCAATGCCAAATAATGAAGACCCCCCTCAATCATATGCCTGACAGCCATTTTTGGAGTTGAGTTAGACCTCTGTGGTCCTGATAGTGCATAATGGGGTGGAGAGACCTTGAAAGCCCACAGCCATATGGAGAGGGGATGGCTGATTTCTAAGGGTAAGGGACCAGGGCCAGCTCTGGCAGCAGCCTGGGTGTCCACAGTGGGTCAGAGCAGGATAAGATTCAAAGCTATTTCCCATAATTAAATGGGCCCCCTCTCCTTGCCCTCCAACGGCTGTACATTTCAAGACATCATCTTGGAGGCCCGTTATGGTTCCCAGCACCGCAAACAACGTCGCAGCCGCACAGCGTTCACGGCTCAGCAGCTCGAGGCCCTGGAAAAGACCTTCCAGAAGACTCACTACCCAGATGTGGTGATGCGTGAGAGGCTGGCCATGTGCACCAACCTGCCTGAGGCCCGGGTGCAGGTAGGGCCCAACTCTCCTAACTAGGCCTTGCAGACAAACACCAGCCCATCAGTCTGCCCGCTTGTCCAGGAGCCAGCATGTCATCCCTGTGCCAAGGTGCAACTGATCTCTCCATCAAAGCCTTCAGTGATAGGAGGGGAGTTTGGGAAGGGACAGAGGGTGTGCATTCCCTAGAGGGGTGGGGGGATGTTATCACGTACATCCTCTCCCAGAGCACCCTGCTCCACACCAACCCCACTTCTTTCTTGCCCACCTCGGACTGCTCCTTTCCCGTCCCCAGGTGTGGTTCAAGAACCGCCGGGCCAAGTTCCGGAAGAAGCAGCGTAGCCTGCAGAAGGAACAGCTCCAGAAGCAGAAGGAGGCTGAGGGCTCCCATGGGGAAGGCAAGGCCGAGGCCCCCACTCCAGATACCCAGCTGGACACTGAGCAGCCCCCACGTCTGCCTGGCAGCGACCCCCCTGCTGAGCTTCACCTGAGTCTGTCTGAGCAGTCAGCCAGTGAGTCAGCCCCCGAGGATCAGCCGGACCGTGAGGAGGACCCCAGGGCAGGGGCTGAGGACCCCAAAGCTGAGAAGAGCCCTGGGGCTGACAGCAAGGGGCTGGGCTGCAAGAGGGGCAGCCCCAAGGCAGGTGAGGTCTGAGGGGTACCATGGGAGGGCTGGGGTCTGGGGGCCCTGAGCGTGTGAAGCAAGTCAGAGGCGAGTAATCAACTGCCCCTCAGGGGCATGGCGCATCAGAAAGGACTGACCACAGCAGGCCTGGGCCAGGTTTTCACCCTTTAGTTGCAGAGCCGTGGGAAGGTCCAGGGGGTCCTGAGGGACGGGCTGGGTAGCAGGGGTGGGATACTGCGGGAGCTCGGGGCAAAAATTATTTATCAACCATTTGGAAGTATTCCAATATTTTAACAACCAGTTGGATGTCCCAGTGCATACTGGGCGAATACTGTATTAGTACCAGAGATTCCCACGTGCAGCAGAGACTCCGAGCACATTTCTGAAGGAACAGAGCTCTGGCATGAGGCATATCTCAGATACAAACCCTAAGCCCAGCAGGGAGGGGACAGGGGCTGTGAGCTGAAGGTTGGAGTGAAGGAATGGGAGCTCTGGGCAGGGTGGGGGAGGGGGAAGTTTACAGCCCTTGAAAAGAAAAAGAGACAGACGTGGGGGCCTTGGCAGGGTCCCTGGAGCTTTCCCAAGAAGCCTGGGTCCCTTTCTCCTAGGATTCTGAGCCTTGCTTCAGGGGATGCTCTGGCTGAGATGGGATGGATGTGGTTTCAGCCGAAGCCTGTCTTGTCTATAGTGCCAAGGAGGTGAGAAGGCTGAGTGCACCTCTCCTGGCAGACCAATGCCCTTGTCCTGAGGGCTTTGTTCTTGGGTTCTCTGCTTGCAGATTCCCCAGGCAGCCTGACCATCACTCCTGTGGCCCCAGGGGGTGGCCTCCTGGGCCCCTCCCACTCCTATTCCTCGTCCCCGCTGAGCCTCTTCCGTCTGCAGGAGCAATTCCGCCAGCACATGGCGGCCACCAACAACCTGGTGCACTACTCGTCCTTCGAAGTAGGGGGTCCGGCCCCTGCTGCTGCAGCGGCGGCTGCTGCTGTGCCCTACCTGGGCGTCAACATGGCCCCGCTGGGCTCACTGCACTGCCAGTCCTACTACCAGTCCCTGTCAGCAGCCGCTGCTGCCCACCAGGGTGTGTGGGGGTCTCCTCTGCTGCCTGCACCCCCAGCAGGCCTGGCTCCTGCATCAGCTACCCTGAACAGTAAAACCACAAGCATCGAGAACCTGCGGCTCCGGGCCAAGCAGCACGCGGCCTCCCTGGGACTCGATACGCTGCCCAACTGACTGTCTGGCTTCCAACCCAGCCAGGGGTCTTAGGTGTCCCCTCCTAGCCCTGTGGTTATCCCTAGGTGGCTCTCGAGGAGTTAACTCCATGAGCCCAGGGATCCTAGGGCCTGGGGTCCTGTTCCCTGCTCCGCTTCCCCATACCCCAGCCCGAGGTGAAGCCCACACCTACACACCCTCTGCATGGCCCTGCCTGGACCCCATGGAGGCCGAATAGGGAGGAGGTGAGAGGCTGGGGTGCCCCAAGCTTCCCTCGGAGAAGTGAGAGGCTCTCCCTGGCTAGATCCTCATCTCAATAGCACCTCCTCCCTTTTCTCCCTATCCTTCTGCCCCCTAGTAAGTCTACGTGTGGAATGTGAGATATAAATATAAATATATAAAGCTATATTTTCAGGCTCCTGCCTGCCCCAGGCCCCCTGCCCCACTCCCATCTCTTCTTCCCTGCCACCCCTCCCTGCAGCCTCCGCGGCTCACTCCAGCCATCCCTTCTGTTTCTCCTTCTCTCTCCTTCCTTCTTCCCTTGATCTCCCTCTTCCTGTCTCTGTCCTGGTCCCTGCCCCCGTCTCGGCCCAGCCTCTGTATTCTCCACCCTTGATCTTTCTCCTTGTCTCTCCCGCTGCCCCTGGTTTCTTCCTTTGGTGTTGGCTGTGTTGGTATCATCAGTTCTTGAGCTATATTTTGTTTGGGGTTGTGGCTGGTTTTGGTTTTAGTAATTTTGCGACTTCCCGTTGCTCTCCTTCTATTCCCTTCCTTCTGCCCTGCCTGCCTCCCTGCACCTGCGGCCTCTCTAGGAAGCTGTTCCTTTCTATGCCCAATAGAAGCAACAAGGCCCTAGCTGGAGACTCTGGGGATCTGGAGCTGCAGGCAGGAGGTGGCACTGGCTCCCACTCCCACCCCTGCCCAGGCTGGCATCTAGAAGGCGTCATGAATTACTTTCTCTTCTCTCTTCTCAATTTTGAGGTCCTCATTCCCAAGATTGAGGAGGCAGTAGTTAATCTGGGAAGGCAGTAGAATGGCCAGCATTCCTGCCTGTAAGTCTTCCCAAGACAGAGGCCCGGTGACACAGTTCAGCCAGGACTGACCACAGGGCTCTAGAGCTCTCTTTGGTGAGACTTCCCTGGATGGAGAGCAGCAGCAGGGGAAGAGGTGCTCTCAGAGACAGCAGGGCTGGTGCTCTTCTCCCACAAGCTGAGCCTCCACGTTCAGCAGATACTGTCCAAGGCAGGGGTACGGCTGACCAGGAATGAAGGTTGAACTCTGCTCCTGAGCACGGTGCGTGCAAAGCATATAGCAGCACATAGGCTCAGGCTTCTGTAGGCTTCCTGTCCCAGAGCCAATTATGGAAGTAAGGGCTTCCCTCCAGCTAGTCACTGGAATGGAAAAGTGTGTTCCTGTTCATAGCCAGGAAACCCAGCTCAGCAAACTCCCTTTCAAAGCTGTGTGACCGGCTGGGCATGGTGGCTCACACCTGTAATCCCAGCACTTTGGGAGGCCAAGGCAGGCAATCACCTGAGGTCAGGAGTTCAAGACCAGCCTGGCTAACATGTGAAACTAATAATAATACAAAAATTAGCTGGGCGTGGTGGCACATGCCTGTAATCCCAGCTACTTGGGAGGCTGAGTTGGGAGGATTGCTGCAATCTGGGAGGTGGAAGTTGCAGTGAGCCGAGATCATGCCACTGCACTCCAGCCTGGGCGACGGAGTGAGACTCCATCTCAAAAAAAAAAAAAAAATAAATAAAAGCTGTGTGACCTTGGGCAAGCCTGTAGCCTCTCTGGGTCTGTTTCCCTGTCTGGGTTAGATGGCCTGTAAGGTCCTAGCCAGCTCTACATTCTGCATTTGCTCGCAACCTTGTAACACAGAAGTTTTTAGTTAAATTGACAACAGAAGGTTCTCAAAAGCACAATATATGAAGTAGGAAATTACTATTGCCTTTCTGTGGAGCAAGGGGTGTTGTACACACAAGCCTCACTGTAGACACTGCCTCAGTTTCCCCATAGGCATAATGGGTCCCTTCTAGTTCAGGCAATCTGGATTTGATCTTGAGTTCCAGTGCCAGCCTCTGGAGTCACTCCATTTTCATACCTTTTCATGATCTCAGGGGCTCTGGGCAGTGGGAGGTGATGGCTTGGACAGATTCTTGGTCATGCTCCCCAACTCTTGGTGGCTCACCACTGAACACTCCAAACCCTGCTTAAAGAAGTTGATCTATCTGAAAGCCAGGGTAAAGATTGCTAAGGCTTGTCTCCTCTCCCAGTGGGAAGAGAGAGGTTCTGTTGGTGTCCTGGTTGAATTGCTTTGCAGAGAAGTCAATGCCCATCACCCTTGATGGGGGTCAGCCTAGGCTGGGGCAGATGGAGAAGGCTTTGGACAGGAAAAAAGTGAGCAGGATGGTAGTCTAGGCCAGGAGAAGTGTTTGAACAAAGCAGCAGAGATGAGACTCAGTAGACCATGGGAAGGGGGTGGCTGGCTTCACGAGAGGTGGGGCTAAGGGGCCTGGAATCCAGGCTAAAGACCACACCTACATGTGGCAAGCACCAAGACAGGCATTTGAGGGTTTCCAAATCCTCAGGTCTCTTGCTGGGGTCTGGAATTTGGAAGGGGAATCCACCAGCCATGGGGGCATCAGAGGAGAGACTTAGGCAGCGCTGTGGGAGGTTGGCAGATTCCAGGAGTGACAGAGGAGGTTTTTGGTTTGGGAGGGATTTTGTGGCCAATAGCCCATCAACTGTCCTCTGGGATTAGCCCCAGGAAGTTCTGTTTCTAAAACAAAAAATAATCATCTGGATAGGTATGGGAAGCTTCCTAGCTGCTTTTAGGCTGAAGCTTTTTGTCAGTTCCTGGGTACAAGTGACTGTCACTAGGCCTTGGAATCCAACAGCCTTAGATATCACTACCTCCTCCAGGAAGCCTCCCCTGAACTCCTAAGGGGCAATGTTCTGTCATGGCTGGAGGCAGGCCCACCTTAGGAGCAGCCGAGCTTCCCTCAGATGTTTGTTAACACTTGTCCCATTCAATTGACCCAAATCTGCCAGAGAAGGCAGGGAAGGTACATGTGGTCCCTGCCCTCGGAGGGCTCTCAAGTTTAGGGCACCAGCCTTGGGTACTGAAAGCAGCTGGAGAGCAAGAGGAGAGGACACCTGTGTCTCCTCCAAGCACACTGGTAAGCGGCACCGTGCATCTCCTCTGAGCACGCTTGTAAGCAGCACCGCGCTTCCCTTCTTGTGGGCAGAGGGTACAGGCCCACCACACCTGATGCTGGAGCCCCTCCCAGGCCTGCTGGGCCAACCTGGGCCTGAAAGCCAGAGGCTCAAGCTCTGACTGTCCCTTCCAGGAATGCCTCATGCCTGGCCTCTCCCTGCTGTCTGAGTCTCCATTTCTCTGTTTCCTCACTCCCTCAGAGCATGGTCCAGGGGCCCGGATCCCAACCCCAACTCCAAGGCTGGTGGGCTCTACAGACTGCTTTCCAAACCAGCTGTTTTGTGACCATTTGTGCTTAGAGGTCGTGCCAGCCCATGGCAAAGACACTGTGTACTGTATTTATTTATTCTGTTAGTGGAAAAAAACAAGACTTAATTCACCCCTGCCTGTCCCCTCGCCTGCCCCCTGTGTAGTGCTGCATGACACTCTGTGTATCTGTCCTTCTGTCAGTCTCATTCCCTGTGATGTTGTGACCTGTTCTTTGTCTTACTTGGCGAATAAAAGAGAACCCAGCAGCCCAGACCTCAGTCCATGTTCATTCCCAGAGATGCCCGCAGTGGCCTGAGCAGGCAGTGTCTCCAGGTCTGTTCACTGCCCCTCTGATGCCATGGCCAGTGGGGAGGGAGGCGGACCTACTGCACTATTGGCCATTGTCACACTGACTGTGTAGCTCTCTCTGTGGCCCTTACTAATCTGCAGCCGGGATGCCACTCTGGAGTGGCTGCAGGGGAGCAGATAATGGGAGACAGTTCCATCTTCTCTAGGCTGTTTGGACCTCACCCAAACACAAGTGGCAGAGTAGCCTGGGACATGGGACGCCTGAGACAAGCAATGCCTGGGAGTATTCAGTGTAGCTTGGGAGACGGATGGGTCTGCAGGACAGAGAGAGGCAGGGGACTCTGTGGAAAACTGCAAGTAAGCCAGGGCCAAAGGGGAGTGGTAAGAAGAGACATTTGGATCTACAGCCAGAGCTATTTTCCAGTGGAAAGGGAAGCCTTCAGAGGCTGTGAGCTCTGTCCTCAGAGGTGAGCAAGCAGAGGATGAAGGAGGGCTTTCTGCCATGGTGCGCTGGGGTGTGTCTGTGTTGTTATAAGTCTATCTGCAGGTCTGAGAACCTGTGCTATGAATTCCTAAGTGTCTGCTTGCATCTGTGTGTGTACGAGCACATTCACGATGAGCAGGAGAGACAGCGCGAGATAGACGGCAAGACCGTACATATAGGCAATAAGTGCAGAAAAAATGCACAGCCAGGAAGTTCTTGCTGTGAAACCCTGGTCCCTCCAGCTGCATTTCAAGAAAAAGAAGACAAGAGATCTCTGCTCAGTCCTGGCTGCTTTGGCTCCACCTTCTTCCCCGGTGCTCCA
Source organism: Homo sapiens (assembly GCF_000001405.40). Taxonomy (NCBI): domain Eukaryota; kingdom Metazoa; phylum Chordata; class Mammalia; order Primates; family Hominidae; genus Homo; species Homo sapiens. The sequence goes on from NC_000001.11 coordinate 46,517,061, forward strand.
GAGTGCCGGCGCAGGGCCAAGAGCCAGAAGAGGTGGTGCATGCACCTGGCTGAGGTTTAGGGGAGGTGACAGTCTCCTCTGTCTGCGGATTTCCTGGTAGGAGAACCCAGCAGACCTGAATGTATGCAGGCAGCTGTCTGCTAGGCTTCCCAGGGGCGGGCCCTGACCTCCCCACTTCCCAGGTCCACCCCAGGAGACGCATTCCTCTCTCCCCAGCGGGCTGAGGATTAGGGCGGGGAGCGTCTCCCTTTCACCTTGTCCCCTGCCTCCCTGGGAGGGGCTGAGAGATCAAATATCTGCCTCAAATCTCCCACTGCTCCCTCCCCTGGCCTGAGCCATTGACTGCCTCCTACGTACTTCAGCCCCAAGGGACACACCTTCCCTGGCATAAAGGGTACCCTGGTAACACTGCAGTTCAAATCACTCATGCACTCAGCATACACAGAGCACCTGCTGTATGCCTATGCCTGTGCTGGGAGCTGGCTACATAGAAACAAGTAAGGAAAACACTACAACACAGGGTGATATGGTGTTCAAAAAATGGAGACCTTGGGATGGGCACAGTGGCTCACGCCTGTAATCCCAGCATTTTGGGAGGCCAAGGTGGGCAGATCACCTGAGGTCAGGAGTTCGAGACCAGCCTGGCCAACATGGCAAAACCCTGTCTTTACTAAAAATAACAAATATTAGCCAGGTGTGGTGGCGTGTGCCTGTAATCCCAGCTATTCAGCTACTCGGGAGGCTGAGGCACAAGAACTGCTTGAACCTGGGAGGCGGAGGTTGCAATGAGCCACGGCACTACTGCACTCCAGCCTGGGCGACAGAGCGAGCCTCTGTCTCAAAACAAAAAACAAAAAACAAACAAAAAAAAGGATACCTGTGGGAGCACAGAAGAGGACCCCTAGCTCAGTCTAGGGAGATCAGAAAGGCCCCTTGGGAGGGAGACTTTTGACCTGAGTCTCATGGGTCCAGTGTTCACCAGGAAGTCAAAGAGAAGGGTGCCCTGGGAGAGGCATAGCTCATAGAAAGCTGCAGGATTGAGCCAGCTTGCCAAAGCCCTGAGCCCTGAAAGAACAAGGGACTTGTCTGGGTGGGGCTTGAGGATGGTGGGGGTGGTGCCAGCCAGTGAGGATGAGGAGGGAAACAAGGACCTTGGACTGAAGCCCAAGGGCCAAGGGTGTGGGAGGCACTGGAAGCTATTCCCAGTGAGGGAGTGGGGTGATCTATGCGTATTTTAGTAACCCCCACTTTCGCTGCATGGTGGCTCATGAGAAGGAGGTGGGGGCAGGAGATCAGAGAGGAGGCCAGTATCTGTCACGTCCTGGTGAGAGGAGGGTGGCATCCATCTGGACTGGGGGAGGGAGTGCAGAGCAGGGGTCTGATTGATGAGAGATTTCGGAAGGAAAATTGTTGTGGTGATTTTAAGCAGGATGGGGAGGGTCAAGGGTACTTTCAAGTCTCTGGCCAGGCAATAGGGTAGATGGAGACCCCTACTCTGTTGGAGTGGAGTGAGTGTCCGAAAATGATCCTGAGCTCAGGGTAGTCTTGTTTGCTGCATTTGAGGAGACTTCTATTTATTCAAGGGAAGATGTAGGGTCTGTCTCTGCTGCTGACACAGACTTTCTCTGTGCCTGGCACCTTACACGTAAGAAGCCACTTGGCTGGGCATGGTGGCCCACTCCTGTAATCCCAGCACTTTGGGAGGCCGAGGCGGGCATATCATGAGGTCAGGAGTTCAAGACCAGCCTGGCCAATAGGGTGAAACCCTGACTCTACTAAAAATACAAAAGTTAGCCGGGCGTGGTGGTAGGCACCTGTATTCACAGCTACTCAGGAGGCTGAGGCAGAAGAATTGCTTGAACCCGGGAGGCAGAGATTGCAGTGAGCTGAGATTGCAGCACTGCACTCCAGCCTGGGCAACAGAGTGAGACTCTGTCTCAAAAAATAATTAATAATAATAATAATAAATAAAAGAAGTCACTTAATCCTTACACAACTCTATGAGGTAGGTACTATTACTATCCTCATTTACAGATGGGAAAACTGAGGTACAGAGTGGTTAAATAACTTGCTGAGGGGCCACATAGCTAGTCATGGGCCAACCAAGGGATGAACCTGGCTGGCCTCAGAATCCATGCTCTTAGCCTTGATGGTTGTCACAGGGAGATGGTGAATGAAGCCACGTTGCTAAATGAGATTACAGAGAGAGAAGCAGAGGATGGGACCTCAGGGAAACGCTGACCACAAAGAGAAGAAGAAGCTACTGGTGGAGCCAGGATGAGCTAAGCCTGGCTTGCTGTTTACTGAGGGCAAATAACTATCCCTCTCTGGTCTGCAGTTTCCTATTCTGTTGAATAGGAATCTTTAACCAGGTCCAGCCTGCTTCCTGGGTGACTCAGAGGAGGTAAAAAGGAGAAGGCACTGGGGAGGCTGAGAAGCTGAGCAGTTCTAGGCCCAGCATGCCGTTGGTGCTCAGATAGCCCATGGTGGGGGAAATGGGAAAGGTAGGGGGCTCCCCGAAGCTTCTCTCCAAATTCCCCATGTTCTCTCTTTCTTTTTTTTGAGATGGAGTTTTGCTCTTGTTGCCCAGGCTGGAGTGCAATGGTGCGGTCTTGGCTCACTGCAACCTCCACCTCCCGGGTTCAAGGGATTCTCCTGCCTCAGCCTCCCCAGTTGCTGGGACTACAGGCGCTGACCACCACTCCTGGCTAATTTTTTGTATTTTTAGTAGAGACGGGTTTCACCATGTTGGCCAGGCTGGTCTCAGACTCTTGACCTCAGGTGATCCACCTGCCTTTGCTTCCCAAAGTGCTGGGATTACAGGCGTGAGCCACCGCCTGGCTGAGCCATGGCGCCCGGTAGTTCCCCCTTCTCTTAGGCCTTGGCCAATGTTCTTGCAGCTCAGGGGTCTGGTTCCTTAGGGGCCCTCAGGGAAGGGGCCCCTGCTGAGAGGGTCTGGGGAATGGACCCCTTTAGGGCTGGGCACTTCCCTCATCTCTTTCCCACAGAGCTGCTCTGGGCTGGAGCCCTCCACCCCCATCACTCATTCTCCTTTAGCTTCTGGGAAAGCCGATTAGGAGGTGGCCTTCTACCCGCCCCCCTGACAAGTGTGTCTGAACTTCCAACAAAGGCCCTCAGAGGGTTGCAGAGGGAGGGCTCAGCACTGGGAACCTGACACCACTGGCCAGGGATCACCCCAGCAGCCTAGGAGGCAGCTCTGTGGGGCTGCCCACCCCACGGCAGGCAGGAATGTCGCTCTGAGAGGGGACCTGGTCCCACAAAGGCCTGGGGGCTGGGCTGAGGCAGGCTGGAGAGGTCTTCACCTGGGAGGCCTCACAATAAGGAAGACAGCAAGGGCCAGCACCCAGGAAGGCACGTGGGAATAGGCATACACGCCCCCACACACTGACAGCCTCTCACACACATTCCCCATACATTCACAGCACACACGCACACACGCATCCTCTCACACCCCTGGGACATGTTGACTTCTGCACTGGACCACACAATCCCAGGGTGTCTGTCTCCCTGTCTCTCATGCCTGTGTACACAGCCCCACTGCAAACCGGCAGACACACAGCCACGCTCTGTCGCCTGATGCTCCACACACCCGCTCCACCCCCAGACATGCATTCTTCCCGGCTTGCTCACACTCCAGACAGCCCCTGAATGCTCAGTGGCACCAGCTCCCCTGTACAGACAGCCTCTCGAGCCAAACTGCTGGCCTGGTGCCCACAGAGACTTGGTGGCGGCTGCCCTGTGATTGTGGAAGATGCCACCCAAATGCCCACATAAGAGTCAGACACTGGTCCCAGCTGCCATGTGAACACCCATGTGCACCAACCCACACATCCACCCCAAGGGGCTGCCTTGAGCCCACCTCTTCACAGCATGCTCCCTCCTGCAGCAGCCTCATGGGCGTGTGACCCATGCAGTCACACAGGGCCCTGGGCTCAGAGGGCCCGCAATGTTCTGATGTCACCATCTTGAAATCTTTACATTTTAAGCAAGGGGCCCTGCATTTTCATTTTGCCCTGGACCCCATAAAATATATAGCTGGTCTCACTCCCACCCCATTTCTATTTATTTATGTATTTATTTGAGACAGAGTTTTGCATTTGTTGCCCAGGCTGGAATGAAATGGTGTGATCTTAGCTCACTGCAACCTCTGCCTCCTAGGTTCAAGCAATTCTCCTGCCTCAGCCTCCCAAGCAGCTGGGATTACAGGCGCCTGCCACCACACCTGGCTAATTTTTTTGTATTTTTAGTAGAGACAGGGGGTTTCACTATGTTGGCCAGGCTGGTCTCGAACTCCTGACCTCAGGTGATCCGCCTGCCTCAGCCTCCCCAAGTGCAGGGATTACAGGTGTAAGCCACAGTGCCCAGCCCACCCCATCTCTTTCAGCTAAGTCACTGGCCCTTCTGTGGCTTCAGAAACCCAAGGCCTCCAGAAAGCCCTCTGCTTCTCCCACCTGCCCAAGGGCCACCACTTCCTCTTCCAGCCACGGTTTCCTTCTCCACCCCATTCCTCATCAGGCAACTGAGTGTGAGGGGTGGAGGGAACTACCAAGAGCATCCTATACACACCTCCTCCTAGTGTCACCTTGGGGCTCAGTATTCTCCTTGGTAAAGTGGGGCGAATGATAATGCCTACTTCAGGGTTCTTTGTTAGGAATAAAAGATAACATCTGTAAAACACTTAGCACAATTTTGGCATTTAGTAAATGCTCAATACTTGCTTGTTTTTTTTTTTTAAATTTGTTTTTACTTTTATTATTTGAGATGAGGTCTCACTGTTATGCCCAAGCTGGTCTCTAGCTCCTGAGCTCAAGTGATCCACCCACCTTGGCCTCCCAAAGTGCTGGGATTACAGGCATGAGCCACGACGCCCGGCCAATACTTGCTTGTTATTATTGCACTTATTACATTATGATAAGTGCCACTAAACAAAAGTAGACTCAGTTCCTGGCCCTATATATAGTCTAATGGATAAAATGGAGATTACTCAAATAATCACACATATATCCACGTAAAGGAGCAGGGGTGAATGAGAAGTGCACACGTCTCTGACCTCGAAGGGCTTACGGCTAACAGGAGGGGCAATCTGAGGCTAGATTCAGGATCAATCTAGGGCAAGACACAGCTCGATTAGAGGTCAGAGTTGGAGCTCAGAATGGGCCATGGCAGGACTCAGTTTGGGGCAGGGCCGGCTCAGTCTGTGACTGGTGCCAAGTCAGTCACAGTTTCATTTCTAGCACTGACTCACTGTGGACTATTTAATAAGCTGCTAGGCTTCTGGGAACCTCTGTTTCATCATCTGTAAAATGGGGAGGTCTCTGTCTACCCCCAGGCTTGTGGGAGTTGAGTGCGGTAATAATGGAAGTGAAGGATTAAGCTTCTGTTGCCACCACTAATGACTCCAAGCCCGGCCCCCTGGGGCTCTCCTCCCCCAGCTCCTTCCAGGCCGGGGAGGCTGCGTGGCCCTCACCCATGTCTCCCGCTGCGGGAAACTGCCACCTCAGCCTGGGATCCTTTCCAAGAAGAGTCTGGAGATTTCACAAAGACCTCTGAACAACAAAAGTTGCAGAAGCGATATTTCCTCCTGGGGTTGACCGCCCCGTGGCTCCTTTATCTTGGCAGCCAGGCTTGAAGAGCTGTTCTTGGAAAGAGCCTGTGTGGGCGTGTGTGGGTGCACGTGGGTGTGAGTGTGTGTACAAGCTGCTCTTTGTTGTTGGTCTCATCTAAGCGGGACGATAGACCCGCAGGCCTGGGTCCTTCCCAGGTCACCCTGCCCATCTCCTGGCCTCTGCACAGCATGTGCTGGGCAGCCAGGAGGGAGGGAACACATTCTTTTTTACCTTAGGATTCTCCTGAAGAGAACTCCAGAACACAGGAGCCCCAGTGCTTCAGGAAGAATCCAGGGTACCTGAGGCAGAAGCTTCACGACAGGGGGCTGAGGCGGAAACTTGACGACACGGGAGATTAAGGGGAGGTAAAGGCAGGTGCTCATCGGCCCGCCCCTCGCTGTCTCCTTAGCATGCACAGCCCCTGTGGAGGCAGGGCCCGCGAGACGTCTGAAAGGTTCACCTCCTTCAGGTTTACCTTCAGTCTGCCCTCGGTAAGCTGCCTAGAAAGGACCGCGCAGCCTGCAAGCCCCAGCCTGCCTCTTGGACTGTGGGCTATTGGAAAAGCCCTTCTCTGGGCCTCAGTCCCTATTCATTTTTTTAAAGACAGGGTCTCACTCTGTCACCCAGGCTGAAATGCAGTGGTATGATCACAGCTCACTGCAGCCTCACCTTCCTGGGCTCAAGCCATCCTTCCACTTCAGCCTCCCAAGCAGCTGGGACTACAGGTACACATCACCATGCCCAGCTAATTTTTGTATTTTTTGACAGAGGTGGGGTTTCACCATGTTGCCCAGGCTGGCCTTGAACTCTTGAGCTCAAGTGATCCGCCAGCCTTGGTCTCCCA